>NW_018654717.1:4256461-4558042 GCF_000001405.40 Homo sapiens
AGAGGTAGCACTCATGAAGCCCTACAGCGTGCCAGATGCTCTCATGCAGCATCTCATTTAGTCTTCACACCAGTCCTAAGAAAGCAGGTTATACAATCCTCATCTTGCAGCTGATGGAAGTAAAGCTGTTGCAACTGCCAGTAGGAAAACGGCAGGATTCATATCCCACCTTCTGGCTCCAAAGCCCATTCTCTTTCCTTTGTGCCATAATGGTTTTTAAGCTGAGAATTAATTATCTTTGGATCCTTCCTACCACCCATTTCAGGACTCTCCCAACCCCCGTAACACATATACATACTAGCTACATAAAAGGATTACGTTTTTTTAAAAAATAGGAAAAATCTCTCCAATCTTAATATTTGTCTGAGTCTTTAAATTTAGCAAAACACTTCAGGGTTTCCTGTCTTCAGACAGGCTGCCATTGTTAAGTGTTAGGGAAGGGCCCGTCCTACAGGAGATGAAATACCTTGTAATCCCCAAAGCAGTGAACTCCAGCAGCAACTCACATTGTAAAACAGACCAAATAATGAGAAACACATTTATGTTCCCCAACTAGCACACAGAGAAGAGAGAAAAGGAGATGTGGTCTTTGTTCTGAGCAGTTGGGTTGCTGGAAACTCATCATCCATCAACACACAGGACACAGAGAAGGAGAGGGAACAGAGCCAATCTCTCTCCCCTGTGCGCAGAGCAAACAGGTGGGGCAGATGGTGGGGAGGGTTTTTGCCTCATCAAAGAGGTACGTGGATTGAAAAGTTTGAGACTCAGCCCTTGCAGCAATTGCAGAGAGAGGGATTGCGAGGCAAATATCAATGCTTAACTCTTGGAGAGGCTTTTGGAATGCTGCCCAAGTCTGCACTGAGAATGAGGGCATGATCCTCTGCCCCTTGAGGAGACTCTCCTGGTTGCTTGGATTTGTCCTGAGAGTCCACGACGATTCTCATGCTCATATTGTAATATGCTATTATTTTAGAAATTGGAGCTTGTCAAGAAACACCGTAGCTAATGTTTCAATTGTCCTCAATGCCTTGTCTGCTATTTGTATTTGATAATATTCTCCAGCAAAGCTTTTAAATTGCTGATAATTACTACTATACTTGTTATTATTAAAAAATTAGTTTATAACAATTATTAGTAATAGTTGAAGCTAGCTGATTGGTGTATAGGGTACCACAATAAAAAGATAAAATAAAAAAGAAGTTTCCTTTATTTGCTTTTGAATGATAAGTAACACTTTAAACACACAGGCTTCTTCCTGTAAAAGTCACACCTAGCTCTTCCATTGACAAAATAATTATTTTAAAGTCTTGGCCAGGCATGATGGCTCACGCTTGTAATCCCAGCACTTTGGGAGGCCGAGGCGAGTGGATCGTCTGAGGTCAGGAGTTCGAGACCAGCCTGGACAATGTGGTGAAACTCCATCTCTACTAAAAATACAAAACAAAAAAAAATTAGCTGGGCATGGTGGCATGTGCCTGTAATCCCAGCTACTCAGGAGGCTGAGGAAGGAGAATTGCTAGAACCCAGGAGGCAGAGGTTGCAGTGAGCGGAGATTGCACCACTGCACGCCAGCCTGGGTGACAGAGTGAGATTCCGTCTCAAAAATAAATAAACAGTCTTAAGCTGTTTTACAAACTTTCTTACTTTCTTCTTCTTCTTCTTCTTTTTTTTTTTTTTTTTTTAGAGACAAGGTCTTCCCTTCCAAAAATATTATCCAGGTGTATGCATATACCTGTGTCTATATTTGTAATGGGTTGAATTGCATGCCCCCAAAATTCACATATTAAAGTTTCAACCCCCAGTACTTCAGAAGGCGACTGTGTTTCAAGCTTGTCCAACCTGCAGCCCTTGGGCCACATGCAGCCCAGGACGGCTTTGAATATGGCCCAACACAGATTCATAAACTTTCTTAAAACGTTAAGATTTTTTTAAAGCTAATCAGCTTTCATTAGTGTTAGTGTATTTTACGTGCGGCCCAAGACAATTAATTCTTCTTCTTCCAATGTGGCCCAGGGAAGTCAAAAGATTGGTCACCCCTGCTGTGTTTGGAGACCTGGTCTTTAAAAAGGTGATTAAGTTAAAATGAGGTAATAGGGTGGGACTTGATCTAATATGACTGATGTCCTTATAAAAAGCGGAAATTTGGAGACAGACATACTCACACGGGGAAAGCAGCACGTGAACGTGAAGGCAACCATTAGAGTGATGGGCCCACGAGCCAAGGAACGCCAAAGACTCCCAGCAAACCACCAGAAGCCAGGAGACAGGCCTGAACAGATTCTCCCTCCCAGCCCTCAGAAGGAACCAACCCTGCCGAAACCTTGGTCTCAGACTTCCAGTCTCCAGAACTGTAAGCCAATACAATTCTGGGACCTAAGAAGCCACCCGGTCTGTTACTTTGTTATGGCAGTCCTAGGAAACTAAGACAAAACACATCTCTAAAAATATAAATCCCTGGTCTCAAGAACTCAGGGTATGAAGAAGCATAAATCTGAATCTTGTCCAAGTGGCAAACCACTGCTCACAGCCCTGGTTCCTTCCTGCTCTCAGCGCTCTCAGCTCACAGCCGTCATGCATCCGAAGAGGTTGATATGTGTGAGAAAGACCGAAGGAAAACAATTGCTCATTTGATTCCCCGTAATCTTCAGTGATGTTCCCTATCTGTTTACCCATGACAAGAGCAAATCTTATTTCCTGACATCTTCACCTACTTAACCAATGAACCAGTTTGTGGCTATAAACAAGATATTTGCTCATTCCAGCCCAGACTCAGAGGTGAGCCTGACCACAGGCCATGTGTGCAATGGTGTAGACGGGAAGATTCTGAACAGAACGAGAAGCCAACACCCCTCCAAATCCTCTCCAAATAAGGGTCTTCACACTTAAGATCCTTCACACTGTGGGGATGCCATCGCTGAAACACATACACAGGCGGGGCACAGTGGTTCAGGCCTGTAATCTCAGCGCTTTGAGAAGCCAAGCCAGGCAGACTGTTTGAGCCCAGGAGTTTGAGACCAGCCTGGGCAACATGGCGAAACCCTTTCTCTACAAAAACTACAAAAATTAGCCAGGTGTGGTGGCACGTGCCTGTAGTCCTAGCTACTTGGGAGGCTGAGGTAGGAGGATCACTTGAGCCCAGGAGGCGGAGGTTGCAGTGAGCCGAGATTGCACCACTGCACTCCAGCCTGGGTGACAGAGTGAGACCCTGTCTCAAAACAACAACAACAAAAACACATGCACACACTTCAGCGTAAGTTCAGAAAGCTCTTTCCAACATCCACAAATTAACAATTTTGTTACTGGGTCTTTTTAGAGGGCATTTAGGAATGTCTGTCTCTTTAAAATATGTGGATGGATTCTGAAATACTATTGTAAATCCAGAAACTTGACTTGACTCCCAAATGTACATTTCACATTTTTGGAAACTGGGAATAATTTGTTCTTAAGTGCTGTCATATGCTAACCAGACAGATGCTTTCCCTTGGGATTCTTTTGAAAACTCTCATAACATTAGACCTTGACCTAAGAACCACAGTCAAATTTATCTTCCCTGATGGATTCATTTATAGAAAGGCAAAGTTCAGACTTCTGTGTTTGACATTGAAATGCAAAATAAGCAAAACATTTTTATTTGAGCACAATATCACCAAATAATGGCAAGAACTCTTTTTTTTTTTTTTGAGACAGAGTCTCGCTCTGTTGCCCAGGCTAGAGTGCTGTGATGCAACCTCCTCCTCCTCCTGGGTGCAAGCCATTCTCCTGCCTCAGCCTCCCAAGTAACTGAGATTACAGGTGCATGCCACCACACCCAGCTAATTTTTGTATTTTTAGTAGAGACAGGGTTTCACCATGTTGTCCAGGCTGGTCTTGAACTCCTGACCTCAAGCGATCCACCTGCCTCAGCCTCCCAAAGTACTTGGATTACAGGCGTAAGCCACTGCTCCCGGCCAAGAATTCTTTCTTGTGGTGTTGTTTTCTAACTTTCTTGCATGTGGTGATTAAGTCAGATGCTGAAGAAGGGCCGACAGGGAGATAAAATGCAATTTCTGGGTGTTCTTGAAAAATTAACTTGCAGCATTATTTTAAACTTACACATAAATAAAATAGGGGAACATATATGTGTTAATATAAAGACTGTTGATTTTTGGAAAAAAATATTTTCAGAAGATCATTGGTGTCCCTTGCTGAATTCTGAACTTAAATGCAATTTTCTAGCTCCTTAAATGCTCAGTATTAGAAAGTAATATTACACACTATAAAAAGTTTATAAAATACAGAAAATAAATATTACCCCAAATTTCATCACTCAGAAACAGCTTGGAATATTTCTTCTCTGTCTTACTCTCCTCTCAAGCCTCTCAAATTGCAATTATACTGGAAAGTTCATTGTTTTATTGTGTTGTTGTTGTTTTTTGATCTTGTGTCTTTCCTCCACTTATTATTACTTTGAAACCATTTTCTTGTTTCACCTATTTCTTTTCTAAAGCACAATCTATAACTGAGGACATAGTTTTATCTATAGAGGAGGACCCCAGAGAGAGTTTCCTTTCTCATTTCTTCTCTTTTGTCCTATTTAAACTTTTAACCGTGTGCATGTGTAACTTTTTCCATTTAAAAACGAATACTCCTAAAACATCATCTTCACAGACTGTGTAATTCCAACGTATTCTACTTCATTTTCCACTCCAGGTCATGTAGATTTTTTTCCAATATTTTACCATAATCAATAAGCTAGAGTAAGTACCCTTAACATAGATCTTCATCTGCATTGCTGATTATTTCCTTTGGCTGGATTCCTAGAACTAGAATGATTGGGTCAACCAATGAGAACTTTGAAAGGCTTTTACATCACTGGAGAAACAGAACAAGTTGGCACCAAGGTGTCCTCCCACCAGCAAAATGCACCTGAGCTCACCACACCCCTTCTCTGTCGGCCCCTCTTCCTTTCCTCTCTCACAGCATATCAGGAGGAGGATGAAGCAGTGGAGTTTCTGCATAATTGGGTCAAGCAAGTGTCCTGGGTCCTTGGATAAGGTTTGCTTACAAGGAGAAGGTGGGATTTTCATTACTGGCTCTTGGTGCCTGTCTGTGTCTCCCGGTTGCACATCCGCACACGTGCAGATTGGAAACATGGCACAACGAGACTGATGACAATCCAAAAAAATGCAAATGTGATATCATCTCAGCCGTCATCCTTGCTTTGCAAGTAGCACACCCTCTTTGCCAGCGGTCGAGTCAGGAGCCGTTCTCTTGGATAATTTCAGGGAATCTGTCTCATTGTTCACATTCACATCCTCCTCCTCCCAATCTTATTTCCATTCCCACCAGCAAAATGCACCTGAACCCATCCTGCCACACCTTTCATTTCTTCACTGAAAAGCTAAGCGGACTCTGCCACCTAATCCCTCTGTTTTTCCTAATGGTGGGAAACAACAAAAACCCAAGGCATCGCTCCGGCTACACAAACCTCGTCATTTTGTACAGCTAGTGAAGAAGAGGTGGGGAGAACAGCATAGGATTGGAATCTGTGGGCTCCGGGGCAGGACTTTGATGGTGACCAGGAGTGGAGTTCTGAAGGTAGAGCCAGGAGTCTCCACTCAGAGCCAATGGGGCTCCTCTCTGCTTCCTCCTCATAGGGCATTTTCTTCCCTCTGAAGTTTGCATCATCTAGGGGACCACAGTGAACCACCAGTGGTCTATGGAACATACTTTGCAAACCCTTGTGTCCAAGTCATTCTCAGAAAAGGAAGAAGAATCTTAAGTTCCCCACTGGAAAGAGATCCAGGCTGCGTGTGGTAGCTCACACCCATAATTCCAGCACTTTGGGATGCCAAGGCAGGAAGCCCACTTGAAGCCAGTAGTTCAAGACCAGCCTGGGCAACACAGCAAGACCCCATCTCTATTTATAAATATTTTTAAAATTAAATAAATTAAAGAAGGTGAGAATGGTCTGGAATATGCCAGAATCATCTTTCCCTTTGGCCTATATGTTTTACAGGCAACAAAGAAGCACAGGTGAGAGAAACTCAGTGAAGAAAAGGAAAGAAGAGAGTGAAGCGGGAACCATGTTATTTCCCTAATCTATTTGAGGAAACCGAGCCTTAGTGATGGCGAATAACTTGCCAAATATCACACAGTGAGGAAGTGGTTGAGCCACAGTTCTACCCTAAGTCTGGCTAACTCTAAAGCCAAGGCCACCACATAACACTGTACGTGCTAACCCTGCAGCTTAGGAACTAACGTCACGCTGCTCTCCAGGGTAGGAGGAGCACGTAGTGAACCTATTAACTCACCCGCATGACCTGGTCAGGGAATGTGTTTGTCCTGTTCTGCAGAGACACTCATTGTCAACTCCCTGGTTAAACCCTCCAGCATGCTACAATCCAAAGGCAATGACGTGCATGTGAGCAATGAGGTGGATTCTCTGAAATTACCCAGGAGAACAGCTCCTGACTCAGCTGGTGAAAAGGAAGTGTGCTGCTTTCAAACAAAGGATGACTGACTAGCAGCCAGCTGAGCCCACAACTTGCACTGGTTGAATGGGCATTGCTCCCCCTCTGCGCCATCTCTCCCACCACTTATAAATGGGTGGATGGGCAACACACAGAGAGATACTCACTGTTAATCTCCCAGCAGTTTACACAAACGTCCGCTTGCATCACATGTCAAATTTCCTTCCCACATAAGCTGTGGTTTGCCGGTCGCCACTCCTGGTCCTTTCCTCTTTCTCTTTAATGATAATAAGAATGTCGAGAGCTTTAGCAGAATGGGCACAACTTGAGCTAACGGAATACCGTAAATGCAATTTCAGCGACATTAAATAGTTCAATGTTTAACAGCAAAGAAAGTGGGAAATTGAGTCAGTGAATGGCTAATTTGACCTGAATTATTCAGAAAACACTTTAATTTTTTTTTTTTTTTAATTTACAGAGGCTCAGACACAGAACAAATGCATGCACTGGTGTTAAATGCAGAGAAGAGAAGGTGTTATCTCCTGAAATGGATTCTGCTTTCTTCGGGGTTAGAAGGCCTCCTTTTTGAACTGACCTCAACCCTGCTGATTTTGTCTCCTTTCCTGGCCATGAGGATCAGAAATCAGCAATGATTTCATAAGTAACTTCTCATGAAACCACATACCGCAGCGTGAGTCACACATGTAGCTCTGTGCACCTGTAGGCGTATATGCCATTCTTTTTAAATCTGCCAGGAATGTGATGATCAACTGGACCCAGTTTGCCTGGGATTTTCCTTATTTGTACTGAAAGTCTTGTATCCTGGGAAATCCCTCACTTCCAGGCATACTGGTGTGATTGACCATCCCACCCAGGAAATGAGGAAGAAGCAAGGGGTCCTTAATGTGTTGTCCCTACCTGAATCTGCCCCTTTCCCTCTCTGTGAAAGTAGGGAACCTCAAACCCTTGTGGGGCCTGATGCTCCCACCCAGCTGCATGGGGAGGACATTTATGTCAACTTGAGCAGAAAGTAGGGGATCTAAATTTATCTATTGAAATGTGTTGCTACATCTCCAAACTAAGATGTCTGTATCTGCGTGTGCATTAAAACACATATAATTACACAAGGAATACATGATCACTGGATAAAAATAAAAAATAAAAATCAAAATAAAAATAAGGGCAGGGTGCAGTGGCTCAAGCCTGTAATCCCAGCACTTTAGGAGGCCGAGGTGGGCCTAAGGTCAGGAGTTCGAGACCAGCCTGGCCAACATGTTGAAACCCTGTCTCTACTAAAAATACAAAAAAAAAAAAAAAAAAAAAATAGCCACATATGGTGACATGCACCTGTAATCCACAGTTACTAGGGAGGCTGAGGCAGGAAAATGGCTTCAACCCGGGAGGCGGAGATTGCAGTGAGCCAAGATCGCTCCACTACACTCCAGACTGGGCAACAGGAGTGAAACTCCATCTCAAAAATAAATAAATAATAAATATAATTTAAAAATAAATAAAAATAAGATGAAGGTGGGGGGCAAGGGGAGGGAGAGCATTAGGACAAATACCTGATGCATGTGGGGCTTAAAACCTAGATGATGGGTTGGTGGGTGCAGCAAACCACCATGGCACACATGAACCTATGTAACAAACCTGCACATTCTGCACATGTATCCTGGAACTTAAAGTAAAATTCAAAAAACTTAAAAAAAAAATAAGATGAGAAGGTGAGAAGGAGGTCAAAGTTACTCAGAATCCTACCGCCCAGCACTAACTAGTTTAAAACTAGTTAAAATTTTGAGAATTTTCCTGTGTACACTTATAGATTATAATGTAGGCATATAAATGGGTATACATAATAGTAAGTCCATTGCAGGAAAACATACAGAATAATGGTTTGACACTCTTGCTCAGTCAACAGTATGAGTATTTATCCAAGCCAATATGTATGTTTTTACAACATCATGTTAATGGCCACATAATATTCTATAATGTGTGTTTATCACAGTTAACCACTTTGATTAGGTAGGACATTTAGGCTGCTTTTCATTTTTTACTGTTATAAACAGTGCTGAAACCAACAGGCTTGTTGCTATAATATTGAACACATCCTTACTTATTTTGTTACAATGCATTCTTAAGAGTCAAACTATGGGTCAAACAGAATGAATTGGTTGGTCGGTTGCCTAGTTTTGAGACGGTATCACTGTGACCCAGGCTGGAGTGACGTGGCGTGATCTCAGCTTGCTGCAGCCTCGACCTCCCTGGCTCAAGAGATCCTCCCACCTCAGCCTCCAGAGTAGCTGGGACTACATGTGCACATCACCACACCCATCTAGTTTTTGTATTTTTTGTAGAGACGGGGTTTTGCCATATTACCCAGGCTGGTCTCAAACTCCTGGGCTTAAGTTATCCTCCCACCTCAGTCTCCTGAGTAGCTGGGACCACAGGTGCAGGCCACCATGCCCAGCTAATTTTTGGTATTTTTGTAGCATTGGTGGTCTCACCATCTTGTCCAGGCTGGTCCTGAACTCCTGGGCTCAAGCAATTTGTCCACCTTGGCCTCCCAAAGTTCTGGGATTATAGGTGTGAGCCACCACACCTGGCCCGCTATCCCTGTTTTTTTAGCATTCATGGTAAATGCCGCAGTCTAGACAAACAAATTAGGACTTGAAAGAGGACGGGAGTTATTTCCTAATAGTAGGATAAAATTCTCTTTTCTGTGATTCCTCCTGGTTGCTCAAGAGATTATCTTCTAGATACACACAAACCAACACATGCATGCTTATGCACACACTTTAAAAAAAGCATCTTGATCAAATAAGAGTTTGCTAAATTTGTCCTCAGCATGGAGACTGCCATTAACAAGTTAGAAAAAACCTGCTGTTCTGCGTCTCACAGACCTCAGCTAAGGAAAGACCACCATTTTATGGACACCAATCCCAACAGCTATACTTTGTTATAAATTAGCGTCACATATTCCTGTTTAATTCTTATTGACTCCTCCTCTAACTTTTACTTTCTCATCACTTAGAGTGAATCTAAATTAGGGGCCCTGAACTTTCTCTGTTAAGGGCCAGATAGTAAATACTGTAGGCTTTGTGGGCCATTACAGTCTTTATCACAACCACGACACTCTACAAGTTTAGTACACAAGCAGAGAGAGGCAATACATAAATGAATGAGTGTGGCTGTGTTCCAGTAAAAATTTATTTATAAAAAAAGATGGTAGGGCCGGGCGCGGTGGCTCAGGCCTGTAATCCCAGCACTTTGGGAGGCTGAGGCAGGTGATTACTTGAGGTCAGGGGTTCAAGACCAGCCTGGCCAACATGGTGAAACTCTGTCCCTACTAAAAATACAAAAATTAGCCAGGCATGGAAGTATAAGCCTGTAATCTCATCTCCTTGGGAGGCTGAAGCAGGAGAATCACTTGAACCCAGGAGGCAGAGTTTGCAGTAAGTCGAGACCATGTCATTGCACTCCAGCCTGGGTGACAGAGCAAGACTCAGTCTCAAAACAACAACAACAGCAACAAACAAACAAAAACAGAAAGAAAAACAAAAAAAGCGGTGGGCACAGAATGTAGCCATCAGGCTGGAATTTGCTGATGTAAATCACCTAGGGTTTGTTACAAAGCAGATTGGTAGGCCCCACCCCCAAATTTCTGATTCATGAGGTCTTGGGAATAGGTCCAAGAATCTGAATTTATAGAAGTTTCTAGGTGATGTTGATGCTGTTGGTTGGTGGGCTGGAGGGGGATGCAGGGGGGATTACATTTTGGAAACGACTGCTATAAGGTGGTCCCATAAACCCATACTTAATAAATCATCATATTCATACAAATCACAACATTTTTCTCCTGAGCGACTGAAGTGCTTGTGTACACCTCTCCACTTCAGCTTCTTCAGAAGGTTAGAATGATCAGCTTTTGTATCAGTCCAGCTATCTGGTAAAAGTCAGTGGAATCTCTCTAGCTAGTGTGTAAAGGAAGGGCTTTATTAATGTAGTTAGGGTACTCTCAAACTCCTTGGAAAAAGAGGGAGGAATATTTTCCTGGGTCATCTTCCAGGAGCAGCCCCCAGAATGCCATTGCAGAGCTGACCTGATGGCATGCACCCAACCCCTCCCGCTTCCTCCAAGCCCGAGTCCTAGTCAAAATCTTGCAGCAAGAAGGTCTGACTTTCCAAACTGAAGTTGAGTGTCTGAGCTGTGGAGTTAAGGGAGGCTGGAAAATGCAAATTTGGGGATTTGATATCGGGAAGGCAGGCAACTACACAATGATAAACGTGGGGCAACCAATGTTCAGGTTTAGGGCAGCCACTGTCCATACAATTCCACTACGGGCAAAGAAAAGGTACAGTGAGAAGTAGAAAGTTACAAAGCAATAAAGTCCAGCTCTCTGGAATTCATTTCAAAATAATGTAGTTGGAATGGACAAAAATGTGGTGGAATAGATGAGGCGGTATTCTTTGAGACAGGGTCTCAATCTCACTGTTTCCCAGGCTGGAAAGCAGTAATGCCACGAAAGCTCACTGCTGCAACCTCCAACTCCTAGGCTCAGGTGATCCTCCTGCCTCAGCCTCCCAAGTAGCTGGGACTACAGGTGCACACCACCACACCAGGCTAAATCTAAAAAAAAAAATTTTAGGCTGGGCACGGCGGCTCACGCCTGTAATCCCAGCATTTTGGGAGGCCGAGGCGGGTTGATCATGAGGTCAGGAGATCGAGACCATCCTGGCTAACACGGTGAAACCCCGTCTCTACTAAAAATACAAAAAATTAGCCGGGCATGGTGGCAGGTGCCTATAGTCCCAGCTACTCAGGAGGCTGAGGCTGGAGAATGGCGTGAACCCAGGAGGCGGAGTTTGCAGTGAGCCAAGATCACACCACTGCACTCCAGCCTGGGCTACAGAGCGAGACTCTGTCTCAAAAAAAAAGAAAAAAAAATCATAGAGACAGGGTCTTGCTTTGTTGTCCTGGCTGGTCTTGAACTCCTGGATTCAAGCAATTCTCCCACCTCAGCCTCCCAAAGTGCTGGGATTACAGGCATGAACCACTGTGCCAAGCATGAAGCAGTATTCTTCCCCCCCGCTTTTTTTTTTTTAACATGGACCATGCAAAACTCTGTATCATTTCAATTTTAGTATATGTGCTGCCAAAGTGAGCATCATGAGGCAGTATTGATTATGAGTTGATGATTGCTAAGACTGGATACTGAGTACAAGGTGGTTCATCGCACTGTTCTCTCTTCTTTGGTATATGTTTAAATTTTTCCTTAATAAAGAGATAAAAGTTTATAAGGCATCGAAAGCAGAAAGAAAAAGAATGGAGATAAACATCAATTTTTGACCCCTAGATGGTATGCTTTCTCTTGTTACGGTATGCTTTCTTTAGGGGGCAGATACCATGTAATAAGAGATCTTTGGATGGAAGTTACCGTCAGAGCACAGCCATTGTTTTAGCAACATTCCAAAAGGAATAAAAGAAGTAATATTTTTCACTGAAAGTAGATCAAGATAAGGGATTATTGCCACAGTCATTGACTTTGCTTCCCCCTGACAAATGCACAGTGACCACTTGTTACATTCAATGGAGCGATAAAAGCTCTGTTTGGCTGGGCTTTTCTAGGGTTATCAGGAAATAAAAAATGCAGGGCCCCAGTTAAAATTAAATTTCAGATAAATAGCAAATACATTTTTTTAGTATACTTATGTCCCATGCAATATTGAGGAAATGCCTATGTTAAAAATTTATTTGTTGTTTACCTGAAGTTCACACTAAGGTAGATATTCCATATTTTATCTGGTAACCCTACTTTTATGACTTACAAAATTTAGGATATTCCATCATCCCCACTTTTCTCCAATGCATTCCATGTCTTAGTTCACCCTGAACTGACTAGACCGGACTCTTGCAATTTTGACTCTTCGGGCATCTCATCATTCACTTTCTCTATGTTTCTAGAAAGACTTTCTCCTAGACGTTAGATAGGTTCAAGGGTGGACTTTCTGTCCGACCTTCTGGCCCCTGAAGGGAAATGGGGAAGGAGAGAATCCATTTGCCTAAGTGTTCCCAAGCAGGTGCCTACTTTCTAAGATGAGGAGCCCAGATGTAGGTCCTCATCCATTTCTTTCAATATCCTTTCAACACAGCAGAGATTAAGACCCCCAAGAAGTACAGATCATTCCTGCTGTTGCATCTTTTACACAGATATGGACTTCAAAGGAAACAAAGGAAGAATGATTTCATGCCAGAAAGCAGGAGATACCTTCTCATCCAGCTTAACTCTCATTTTGTGAATGTCATTTTCAGAATATTAACACCAGATGATCAGGTTTCCATGGCAGAGAAGCCCTTCTGTCTTTTCCTGCCTACTGGTGACTTGGCAACTCATTAGCATGTCTACTGGACGTGAGCCAGAGGAAGGAAGTGATAAAACACCATGAGTCAACATGTTACTTGCCAGAAGTTCTGGTAAAAGGAGTAAGAGGAAAACAAGAAAAACAAAGAAAACAAGAGTCTTAGGATATTGTGAGGGTCTCCATTCTCCTTCCCCTCTAAACCAGGCTCATAGTGGACCTCACCTGATGGAAGGTTCTAGAAAGAGACTAAACTTCACTTCCTGGAGTCGTAAGAAATATCTGCCATTCATGCTTTCCATTCTACTCTGAGGTTAAACAAATATTAAGAGTTCTAATGGGGTGGGGGGATACAGTGACTTTAAAAGTTGGCTGCAGGGTCCAGATGGACTAAGATGAAGGCAGAATTCTTCATACAGAGAGAACAACTTTTGCTCAGAAAAACAATATTAATGGGTTTATTTGGTCTTCCAGTGCAGGCTAATGAGAAGTCTAGACATAGAATAATTAAATTGCTTGTTTTTCATAAGAAATGGGAGTTGTGGGGGTTCCCTCTCTTGGCTTTGGAGCACCCCTCCCTTTGTCTCTGTACAGGGGAGCTTCTTTCTTTCTTCCCCCTTCTTTCTTGCCTATTAAACTCCCTGCTCCTTAAAACAAACAAACAAACAAACAAACAAACAAAAACCAAAAAAAAAAAAACAAAAACAAAAGAAGAAGAAGAAGAAAGGAAGAAATGGGAGTTGTTTTAAGTGTTCCCTTTAGGTAGGGAAGACACGAATTCTGAGAGCCATAGAAAGAAAGAGAGTGAAGAAATGGGTAGCAGAGGGGAAGAGGGATCCCAGGGAACATATCAGGGGAAGGATGGCCGGAGAGAAAATGGCTGAGCTGGCAATGCCTGAGGGATTCCAGCATCCACTTTAAAAAAATAATAATTTATTGTGGGAAATTTCAAGTATGTACAAAAGTAACCAGACTAGTATAAAGAACCTCAATGCACCCTTGGCAGCTTCAACAATTATTAATGCACAGCCAATCTTGTTTCATCTAAAATGCCCCACTCACTCACCTTTCTCCCATTAATTATCTTGAAAGAATCTCCAGTGATATTGTTTGGCTCTGTGTCCCCACCCAAATCTCATCACAAATTGTAATCCCCATGTGTCAACAGAGGGTCCTGGTGGGAGGTGATTGGATCACATGGGTGGTTTCCTTCAGGCTGTTCTCATGATAGTAAGTGGGTTCTAAAGAGATCTGATGGTCTTTATAAATGACAGTTGTCCCTGCTTTCTCTCTCACCTGCTGCCATGTAAGACGTGCCTTGCTTCCCCTTCACCTTCCACCATGATTGTTAAGTTTCCTGAGGCCTCCCCAGCCATGAGGAACTGTGAGTCAATTAAACCTTTTTTGTTTATAAATTACCCAGTCTCAAGTAGTATCTTTATAGCAGTGTGAGACTGGACTAATAAATCCAGATAGCATATTTTGTCAGTGAACATTTCAGTATAGCATTAAATCTTAAGTAGTAGCCAATTCTGGGCTGTGCTGTCTGCCCCATTCTTTGCACCGCTGCCCTCCACCCCCCATTTAGCTGATATCTGCACTAAATGCTTGTTCCTGCAGGAGCCGAGTGAGTGGTGCCTTGGGGGAGGGGCAAATGAAGAAGTGGCCAAGGTCCACACTGGTGACGATTCCACACTCAGAGCTCTGTGCTGCTAGAACCCAAAGACACGTCTAGAAAACAAGAGACAATGGGGAATAAGGCAATAGCAAGGTGGAACGGGTGAACGTGAACCTTGTGAAAACCTGCAGGAAAATCAGGGCAGGGGTGCTGCACTTCACAAAGGTGTGCAGTGTGGCCTCAGGAACTGGAGAAGTGTCAGGGCCTCTCTGCCTCATCTCCTCTAGGCAGCCTAGCATGTGTGCTGTTCACGTCTCTGTCTGCTAACTGGTTCTTACTGCCAGGCTGCAAGGAGAAATGTCACTGTCACTCAGAGGGCAGACTCATCACAAGCCATCCTGTCAGGACATCACATGAACATGGACAACAGAGGCTCCTAGACACTAGCAGGGCACATCTAGTCAGGCTACTTGGGTTATACAGTTGAGAAAATAAATGGACTTTGATCTGAGGAATGCAAGTCCTCTTAAATTATCAGGCCCAGGGAGACATTAAAATGAGACAGCAATCACGTCCTACTCCCCTCTTAAAACTGCTTTCTATTACCACAAGTAGCTGTAAAATAACCTAATAATGCCACATCAAACACTATAACCACACCCTATAGCCTAACAATGTACAGCCAATCACTAATCAGTGTTATTCCTGTAAGCCAGCTCCTGACAAACAACTTTGTATCAGCCTACTCCCTGTCACTCAAACTTTTTTTTTTTTTTTTTGTCTTTAAAAACCTGCTTGTGGGCCAAGCATAGTGGCTCACACCTGTAATCACAGCACTTTGGGAGGCCAAGGCTGGAGGACTGCTGGAGCCTAGGTGTTCAAGACCAGCCTGGGCAACATGGCAAAACCTCGTGTCTACAAAAAATACAAAAATTACCCAGGCCTGGTGGTGTGCACCTATAGTCTTAGCTCCTCTAGAGGCTGAGGTGGGAGGATCATCTGAGCCTGGGGAGGTCCAGGCTGCAGTGAGCCGTGATCCACTGCACTCCAGCCTGGATGACAGTGAGACCCTGTCTCAAAAAACAAACAAACCTGCTCGTAACAAAGATCGAATGGAATTCATATCCAAGGCTACCTGGGGCTGAGTCTTCCCAGCAGCTGTCCTCACTTCGGCTAAACTATTCCAGTTATATTTTAGGCCTCAGCTTCTTTCTTTTAGATCGACACAGTCATTTGAACTTTAGCAAGCTCCTCTTTTTTGCTAGCCCATTCTGGACACATTTTAAATGAGAGTCACAACCAACATTTTTGCATTATTCAAAATAGCTTCAAGAAACCAGGAACCCTTCACATGTATTTGTTTTCTTCTTTAGAACAATGCATTTGTTTAGGGAAAATGAAAACGGTCTATAGCTGAACTCATGTTAGTGTTTTCCGGAATCAAATGCTCACAGGAACTCAAAGCTCTTCTCCGGAGATCAGGGCTTACCCTTGCCTTCAGTGCTTCATCTTCTGCTCTCAACATCTGCTACTCCTCCCCATTGTTCCACCCTTTCACCAAAGGCCTGCTGTCAGCAATTTTCAGTAAATAGCCTTTTTTACAAAAGTGTCATTTCTTTCTCATATTAAAATTCCCTAATAAATCTTTTTTCCCCTCCCTATGAGTTTTTCTGACACCCATAAAGAATTTTCCTTTCAACATCCTGTCTTCTTGCCTTCTCCACTCAAAGCTTCACTTGACACCTGCCTTCCAGGTAAGACAACACCCCTTAGAGCTCATAATCTTGCCAGGTTAGTCTTTACATTTTTTTTATCCTGATAAAATCTTTGCTCACTCAGCACTAGTAGCGATTCTCTCCTCTGAGAATTGAGGTTTGTGTACTTGTTAATGATCCCATAATGCCCCTGTAGTCTCTGTAGGACAAGGGCCCCACAAAAACAAAAGAAGAGAAAAAAGATAATCTTCTCTTACAGTTTTGGTTCTCTGACTTTGAGCATGCAGCAGATACCTGGAAGGCTTTGTTGTAACAAAGTCTGCTGGACCCCACCCTGGAGTCACTGATTCAGCAGGTCTGGGTGGACCTGAGAATATGCATTTATATGCACAGATGAAAATGACTTGGTCTCTGGCTTCCACAAGGCTGCAGTCTAATGGATAAAACCCTCTTTTGATCTGGGTAGCACTTCAGAATTTGAAAATCTCTGTCATATTGATTAGACTTAAAAAACACCCTCACAACAGTGTGAGGGGAAGCAGAGTCTGCACTTTGGGTTAAAAAACTTGAGTTTGAATTCCAACCTTACCAAGTATTAGCTCTATGGTTATGGTTAAGTCGCTTAAACTCTCAAAACCTGAGTTATCTGTGAAATGGGAATACTACTCTCCCAGGGAGGTAATACTTGTGTTTGTAAAAATACTGTATGAGCTAAAAAAAAAAAAGTGCTATACAGATACCTAATTAGAAAAAACACAGGGCGGTAGGGCAGGTGTGGTGGCTCACACTTGTATTCCCAGCATTTTGGAAGGCCAAAGTGGGTGGATTGCTTGAGGTCAGCAGTTCAGGACCAGCCTGACCAACATGGTGAAACCTTGTCTCTACTAAAAATACAAAAATTAGCCAGGCGTGGTGGCGCACGCATGTCGTCCCAGCTACTCGGGAGGCTGAGGCGGGAGAATCACTTGAACCCAGGAGGTGGAGGTTGCAGTGAGCCGAGATCACTCCACTGCATTCCAGCCTGGCTGACAAAGCGAGACTCTGTCTCAAAAGAAAAAGAAAAAAGAAAAAAAGATAGGCTGGATCAGTGTCACCAAGACCATGAGAGTATTCTGGGAACACAGGAAGAAAGCAGCGCATTCCCCTGGCAGAAAGAAAGGTTGGATGGGGTTGGTGTTGGGGATCAGAAAAAAATTCCCCAAATATGCTGCTTTGGACCTCAAACAGAGAGTACCTGCGGAGGGGCAAACGCAGAGAAGAGCTTTCTCTAGTCCTCTCTTATCTGACTAAAGGGGAGTTCCTCCAGAGGAATGCAATCGTCAGCCAGGGAAGCTTAACTCAGGAAAATAGACTAAAGGTCTGACCTCTTGCTCAGAGAGACTTTTACCATAGGCTACCAATGTATTCCTCTGAGGTCTGCTGCCTGAGACACTTTCTCTGCATTATAAGCAGATAAAGCAGCCTTTGTTCACAGTGCATTTCTGCCCCTCTGTCTCCCACATCTCATCACCACCACCCTCCAGGAGCCCCCAGCCCCTATTTTTTTCTGTGGGGTATAAAAGCGTCAGTCAGCTGGTCCTCCTCTGAGTCACAGTTTGTGCGGCTCCTGTGCACATAGGCACATGATAAATTTGTATGCCTTTTCTCCTGTTAACCTGTCTATTGTCAGTTTCTTCCAGGGACTCAAATTATTGAACCTTCAGAAGGTAAAAGGAAAGTTCCCTTTGCCTCTACATAGGTTTCATGAAACAGGTGGAATTTTTGGTGGGCCCTGAAGGTTTTCAACAGGCAGGGAATTAAGCAGGGAAGGAATGTGGCAGGGAAATGCATGTCACATTTAAGAAATGGAGAACATGAGAAAATTATTAATCTGATGATATGGCTGGAAAAGAAGTGTAAAACCACAGAAAGCTTTGAATACCAGGAAAAGGAGTTTCAGCATACTTCAGTAGGTAATGGGTAGCTAATAAACATTCTGACCAGCAGATAAGTAACACTGGCATGCGTATGAGGTACATTGGAAGGGGAAGAGCATGGAGGCAGCGAAAGCTGTGAAGTCCACATTCTTTAACAGCTATCTCTACCTCACCTTTGGTTTTATTCCCATGTCCTCACCTTCCACTGGTGTGGCCTTATAATAAATCTCTATCTTCTAAATCATCAACTCTGCCCCAGAGAGCTCCTTCAAAGGTGGGGCAGCTCTCCTGTGGTCCTAGCCCTGCCTTCTGCAGCACTGCAGGAGAACACACATCCCCGCTTCCCCCTAAAGATTCTTGGCAGCCCTCCTGTCCTCATTCAGATTTCTCTTCTTGTTAAATATGCCCAGTTTTTCAGCCATTTCTCACTGAAGTGGCTTTTCCACCATTCTAGTTACCCTTCTCTGGATATTATGTAGTTTCTCCCACAGAAAGAGAAGCACATGGTATTACCAAAGGCAATGGATAATTTAAAGAAACAAACTCTTGATGGGCCAATAAGAACTTAATCCCCCACCCACCTCTTTTCCTTACTGGGTAACTTTATTGGGAGTACTTGAGAGAAAGTCAAGTTCAAGGCCCAGATGAGTTCTCACTTGTCTATGGTATCATTTACATGTTGGCACCTTGGTCATATTTAAATCCTTCATCTCATTCTGACTTGGGTTTGCTTTGACTTACAGATGAACCCTAGATGTTGTATATCTTTCCTTTAGGGAATTTTATGGATGCCAGTCCTGTAATTTATACCCTCTCTTCTGTACCGTAGTTTTAGGGGACAAAACTGTGTATACATGGCTTGCTTGTATTTTTTCCTTCAGATTTTCTTTTTTCTGGCTGGGCACAGTGGCTCACACCTGTAATCCCAACACTTTGGGAGGCCGAGGTAGGAGGACCACTTGAGCCCAGGGGTTTGAGACCAGCTGGGGCAATAAGTGAGCCCTCGTCTCTACAAAACAACAACAGCAGCAAAAATTAGCTGGGCATGGAGGAATACACTCATAGTCCCAAGCTACTTGGGAGGCTGAGGCAGGAGGATCACTTGGACCCAGGAGATTGAGGCTGCAGTGAGCCATGATTGCATGATTGTGCCACTGCACTCCAGCCTGGGTGACACAATGAGACCCTGTCTCCAAAAAAAAGCCAAGTGCAGTGACTTACCCCTGTAATCGCAACACTTTGAGAGGCTGAGGCAGGAGGATGGCTTGAGCCCAAGAGTTCAAAACCAGCCTGGGCATATGGCAAGACCTTGTCTCTATAAAAAATAATAAATAAAAATTTTTTTAAGATTATTTTTCCCTTTCACTGTAATAGTAAACCTAATAGTTAACTTCTGGGTGATCATTACATTTTATTTCTTCAGTTCATGTTCATTTTCCCTGAGCCTGAAGGGTTAACCTGTCTGTGGTTGATGTGTGCACACCGTGGGGATTCTTTGTGGCTTTCCTAAGCCCCCTGTAAGTCTCTTTAGAAGCAACAACAACAACAAAATGCATGGCTAATAGATTTCCACTTCTAATAATAGGGTCAGTGCTATTCCATGTAAAGACCGTGTTCATAATGAAAATAAAGCATTGCAAAAAAAAAAAAGGCATGTTCAGCATGTGATATTAACCTAATGTTTACATGGAGGCTCTCAAAAGTGAATGTCTTTAGCTGTGTTCTTATTATTGTACACAAACTCCTCGGTAATCTCTCATCAGTCTCCAAACCCTGAAAATATTTCCCAATACATGTCTCCCTCATTTCCTCATAGTATATAACACATGTATCCAAGGAAAACTAAGGAGAGACTGGGTTTTCGCTTTGTGTGGGAACGCATTTCACCTTGCTTGCAAAACTGAAAGGTCTGTCTGGGCTCAGCTGATAAGATGTTTTGGTTTGATAAGACTTTTCTTCTGTGTTGCTTGGTGTGGAGACATAGTCAGATTCATTTAGAAAACATTTTTTATTGACTGTGACTCATTAGAAAGAATGTCATGTGCTGGCATTTCATCACCGAACAGGGAATCTTGGCCATATAGGGCCTTTGGCTCACATACGATTCAGGAAAGGAATAATGGGCTTCCACGGGACCAGAGGAATGCAAGTAAACACGTGGTGCCCGGCGCTCTTCTGTGTCACCTCACTGTGGCGCTGGTGGGGGCAGGCTTGCTCTTGTGACACTGAAGATTAAGACCACACCAGACCACACCAGGAGATACTGCTTTTCCCTTAGAAGGACTCACAACCTAAGAGGACGATGTGCTCTATTAATTAAGGTTTTAGGAATTTAGAAATTTTTAAAAAGGAAATATGACAGGAAGTTCCCATATAAATGCAGGCACAATAAATATAAAGTACTGGCTGGGCGCAGTGGCTCACGCCTGTAACCCCAGCAACTTTGGAAGCCCAAGACGGGAGGATCACTTGAGTCCAGGAGTTTGAGACCAGCCTGGGCAACAAAGTGAGACCTCAGCTCTACAAAAAATTAGCTGGGCATAATAGTATATACCTGTAGTCTCAGCTACTCAGGAGACTGAGGCCAGAGAATTGCTTGAGCCCAGGAGGTCAAGGCTGCAGTGAGCCATGTTCTTGCCACTGCACTCCAGCCTGGGTGACAGAGCAAGACCTTGTCTCAAAAATAAAAACTTAAATTTAAATTTAAAAATATGGATCAGGTGCAGTGGTTCATGCCTGTAATCCCAGCATTTTGGGAGGCTGAGGAGGGCAGATCACTTGAGGTCAGGAGTTCAAGGTCAGGAGTTCAAGTCCAGCCTGGCCAACATGGTGAAACTCTGTCTCTACTGAAAAAAAAAAAATTAGCCAGGCATGGTGGCGGGTGCCTGTAATCCAGGCTACTCGGGAAGCTGAGGCAGGAGAATCACTTGAACCTGGGAGGCGGAGGTTGCAGTGAGCCGAGATTGCACCACCATACTCCAGTATGGGCAACAGAGCAAGACCATGTCTCAAAAAAACAAAAACGAAAAAATAACACACACAAAAAAGTATGGCTGGGTGCGGTGGCTTATACACCTGTAATCCCAGCATTTTGGGAGGCCAAGGCAGGAAGATTGCTTGAGCCTGCGAGTTCAAGACCAGTTTGGGCAACATAGCAAGACCTCCTCTGTAAGGATAAAAATTAAAAAATAAATTTTAAAAATAATAAAATTTTTGTAAAGTACAATGTTTACTTAGTCTTTTATAAGGTATTTTATAGGGTTTGACTTTTTTAAGAAGCTAGTTGTGAATAAGTAAAAGACCCTAAACAGAAGGTGTACTGGATTCTATGTAGTTTCATGTCAGTCCTTAGAGTCCTGATTGCATAGAGAAAGATTAATTGAAATAGTTTAAGCCTGTTTAAGAAATAAGAGGCTTTCTAATATCAGAAGAATATAATTATTTCATACCAGAAGCATATAATTATTTCATACCAGAAGAATATAATTTTTCAGCGACATTTTAAAATTATTTTTCTCCCTCCTGCACACTGATTCAGCAACATTTTTTAAAGCCTGAGTTAATGCCTCTTCAAAACAATATTTGAATATGGAATGGTTAAAAATTGAACTGGAAAACTCACCAAAATTCTACCTGTTATTTTATGAAAATCTTACTTCACTGATCTCCTTTACAATGCTCTATTTGCTAACCTGTCCATCGGTAACCTCCCCCCAGACACCCCCAACTGTATCTTCTCTCACGCTTACCCTTCTTGGAAGTATTGGGGATCATAAGTTGAGATACTTTACTAAGAGTAGACAATATCCTTCCATAAAGAAGTCTCCTCTTCAATAACAAATAGTGTCTTGCATGTTCGGGACGATGTGACAGATTAATGCTACTATGTGGTGGTTAAGATACTGCCTTCTGCAAAGATAAATAATGTTGATTCACTGCGCTTCCAAAATCAAGGACAAAGCCGAAGGCATGAGGCCAGGTGATAAAGTTTATGGCTGAGAAGGCAACCAAGATTCAAACTGACTGACAGCAGAAGCCAGATGAAGGATTATGCATTTGTTCCCTGATGAGTGTGGTGAATAAAAATAAAAAAATCCTGAAGGCCAGCAGAGTAGAAGAGGGGTGTAAATTAAAGAAAACCACAGAGTGAAAATACAGTGAGCAGCTAGACCACAAAATGTTTTTGTATTTCAGAGGAGGCCGAAAGACGCATCCCGGCAGGTGTTGCTGAAGGAAGGGGTGCAAGACTGAGGAGGTCCTCAAGACTAAGTCAAGACTTGCAGTTCACCCGAGCACACTCGGTGCTGACCCTGACCCTGACCCTCTGCTTCTCTCTCTGGGGCTGCTTCTGTCGGGAGTGGGGTGGGGGGTCACTCTGTTCCTTAGCACTGTGGCAGAGCACATGTCAAGATGAAGCTCTGGTGAAGAATTGATCAAAAATAGTGGCGGAGTGAGATGGAGATTTAAATCAAAGGGCTGATTTATGAAGGCTTCAAAGATTTTTTTTTTTTAAAGAAAGAACATAGATTAGTTGTTTCTGAGGGCTGGAGGGGACAGAGATAGAGGCGGCGACGGAAGGATCCTTCAGGTTTCTTCTTGAGGTGATTAAATGTTCTGAAATCGCGTGTTACAGCTCTTTTGGAATTTGTCTAGCAGGTTTTCTGGTTTTCACTGCAAAACCCCACAGTAAAAAACAGAAAGAAAAAATTATCCTAAAATTGGCTGTGGTAATGGTTGCGCATATGCTGTGAATAGGCTTCCAAATATTGAAATGTCCACTTCAAATGAGTGAACTGTATGGTATGTGAATTATATATCAATAAAGCTTTTCAAAATAATAACAAAAACCTTCAGGCCACTAGAAAGGACCGTCAATGTGGTATGAAAACAAGACTCAACACGGCAACCTCACAGGGCTATGAGGTAAAACCAAAGGACACTGATCACCCAAAAGGAAAGCTATTGTCAAACGTTAGGGAAAGAACTACAGGAAAACTAAATCATGGTATTCTGTATTTCATTTCCACTTAGGAGAATTCTGCCTCTCTGTCATTTTTGCGTGTGTGTACGTGTGTGACAGGGTCTTGCTCTGTCACCCAGGCTGGAATGCAGTGGTGCAATCTCCACTCACTGCAGCCTCGACCTCCCAGGTTCAAATGATTCTCCCACCTCAGCCTCCCAAATAGGCGGGACTACAGGCACGCACCACCACGCTTGCTAATTTTGTTTGTCTTTTGTAGAGACGAGGTCTCACTATGTTGCTCAAGCTGGTCTTGAACTCCTGGATTCAAGCAGTCCTCCCACCTTGGTCTCCCAAAATGCTGGGATTACAGGCATGAGCCACTGCACCCAGTCTCTCTCTGTCATTCTATTTCCAAAGTTGAATCACCTTGCTCTGTTGGAGCTCAAAAACCAAAGGTGTGATGAAGGTGCTACAGTTTGAACTCTTTAAAGGAAGGCATCGGCCATATAGAGTGAGCCACAGGGGAGGACTTCTCCCGTTTCCCTGTAGAATGGGTTACCAAGTTAAAGGAGTCAATTATCCCGTCCTATCTGGAGAAAGCATTCCTCAGATGAATAAACTGGAAACGGAAAACTGGAGAAGGTGTTTTTATTTCTTTTCGTAATTAGGACATCATTTACAAGACTTATATTTCTTGGATGTTCCCCAAATTTTTCACATAGAGCTGGCATTACTAGAAACTTAAATACTTGTTGCTTTTAATTATATTGAATTCCACCGTGGGAGCTTAAAGGCTAGGCATTTTGTGATGGGTGTGCATTCTACTCCCAAATGTAATAACTAGAATAGAAATTCCAGAAAAGGAAAAGTATTTATCAAACACTGAAGCTGCTTTGAGAAATGGCTTTGTCAAGTTAACTGGTTATCATTAGATTTATTACGGTGGTTAGGAAAAACTGACCTCGTAGATGTCTGTCTATAACAATGCAATCATCTGCTTAGAATAATGCCCCGCGTTAGACAGCTGTAAACACAAGAACTTTCCCTTGCGAGTTCAATAATCTTAGCAACAGTTCTCTTTCCAAACAGGCCAAGAAAGATATGTTGCTTTGGGAAACTGGAAATCAACAGACCAAAACAGCCAGAAGAAATGGGTGGAGAGAAGATAGAGCCCGTTCACTCTGCAGTCTCCGCAGGGGTACAGAGTGATGGCAGCCATGGGTGCCCTTGTAAGTCTCTGTCCCAGCTCCCAACCCTGCCACCTGGGGCCACCACCATGATTCCCTGCCCGGCCCTGCACACATGGGCTGCAAAAATGCTGAGGAAAAAGGAGATTTCAAACTAATTCATCCCCAAGTTACAAACGTGGTTCATGGAGCTTTAGTAAAAATTATTTTTAAATTTTTACTTTGATCCACAGACATGCGACTTGAACCAGATTCTTTCAGACGCCAAATGTTCTCTTTCTGTGTGCATTTGCAAGGATGGACTCCACTGCGTAAGTGGACTAATTGAACCTTATGAGCAATGACTCCTGTGTGTGTTCATTAGGAATGTTCCGTGGGTGAATAAGTAGTTGGGAAATGAGTCAATCAATTTCTTCCTTTCTGTTCCATACTAGTAGTTCTGAACCTGCCAATGTATCCCAAATATAACTAGGTATCTTTAGAGTCCTTTTTGTTTTTCTTGAGACAAGGTCTTATTCTGTTGCCCAGGCTGGAGTTCAGTGGTGGGATCATAGCTCATTGCAGCCTTGAATTCCTGGGCTCAAGCCATCCTTTGGCCTCAGCCTCCCAAAGGGCTAGGATTATATGTGGGAGCCACCACACCCTGCTTCTTTAGACTACTCCATTTTTAGACATATATGTTATTTCTTTTTTATTTTTGTTATTTTTTAATAGTCTTTTTAGTTTTGGTTTGGTGTTTTGTTTTTTTTTTTGAGACAGCGTCTCACTCTCACCCAGGTTGGAGTGCAGTGGTGCAATCTCAGCTCACTGCAACCTCTGCCTCCCAGGTTCAAGTGATTCTCCTGCCTCAGCCTCCAGAGTAGCTGGGATTACAGGTGCCTGCCACCAAGCCCAGCTAGTTTTTGTATTTTTAGTAGAGGCAGGGTTTCACCATGTTAACCAGGCTAGTCTCAAACTCCTGACCTCAGGTGATCCGCCCACCTCAGCCTCCCAAAGTGCTGGGATTACAGGTATGAGCCACCTCCACCCAGCCATAATAGACTATTTAAAATTAAGCAAAACTAATCAATAATCAGAATGACTGGAGCGACTTTCTAAAACCTGCAAATTCCTCTGTTGACTTACAATAGTTAAAATACTCAGGGAGGAAATAATATGTTCAATAGTATAATCATTTCCTTCTCTATAATTCCTCCTGTTGCCACATTTGTAAAGTAATACTTTACTTTTTTTATTTACCTATTTATTTAATAATTTCAACTTTTATTCCAGATTCAGGGGGTACATGTGCCGGTTTGTTACATGTGTATATTGCACGATGCTGAGATACGAATGATCTTGTCACTTAGGTGGCAAGCATTAGAGTAATTTTCAAGTGCTATTTGAGTGAAAGCATTGTCTTCTATACTCTCATCTTGAGCAAAAGAAATCATTCTGATTGCATAACTTGTTTATACTTCTCAAAATACCTTCAAACATGTTTGATGCCCATAACTAAGAGAGGGTGATACAGTCCCCTTTGATCCATCCAGCATTGTCAGGGAAGATTACCAAGGAGGTACTGACATAATGGAATGTTACCACACCTTTTAAAAATCTGTTGGAATAAAAATCTTTCTAAAATACATTGCAACAAAGAAATGCAAATTAAAACATAAGTGCTTTTAAAAATTTTTCCTATCATATTAACAAGGATTTTAAAAACTATCATACCCAGCTTCAGAGAGGATTCAAGTGAAAAGATCCTCCTAGACATTCCTAATGGGATTGTGAATTCTGACATTTTTGGGAAGGTGATCTGAGAATATGGATCAAGATGTTCAAACCGTTAACCCCACAACCCTTTTGTCCTTTTAATAAATATTTAAAATGGCCGATGTGGTGGCTCATGCCTGTAATCCCAGCACTTTGCGAGGCTGAGGTGGGAGGACGGCTTGAGCCCAGGAGTTCGAGACCAGCCTGGGCCACACAGCGCGGCCCTCATCTCTATAAAAAATAAAAAGATTAGCCAAGCATGGTGGTGCACACCTGTAGTCCCAGCTACTAGGGAGGGCTGAGGCAAGAGGATTGCTTGAGCCTAGGGAGTCAACGCTGCAGTCAGCCATGACTGCACCACTGTACTCCAGCCTGGGTGGCAGAAAGAGACCCTGTCTCAAAAACCAATAATAAAATTTAAAAAATTTAAAAACAGTGCCAATCACTCTCTGGTCACTCAAGGTACGCAGGTGAACAACACAAGCCAGCTCTCTGCTCTCAGGAAGCTTACATTCTAATGAAGAGAGAGTAAGACAATACATATGTACACAGATAAAGAAAGAAGATAAACTCAGACACAATGCATCCTAGGAAGAGAAGCAAGCATGGATATGAGGACCCTAAAGGCAAGGGAGGAGGTTGCTTTGCTTGGTGCTCAATAAAGACCCCTATGGCAATTGGCCAGTGCTCCCACCAATCCAGCCTCCACTCAGCATTCATAAGACAGTCTCTAGCCAGGCGTCATGGCACACACCTGTACTTCTAGCTACTAGGGAGGCCAAGGCAGGAGGATCACTTGAGCCCAGAGGTTCTGGCCTGCAGCGAGCTATGATGCTGCCACTGCACTGCAGCTTGGGCAACAGAATGAGACTCTGTCTCCAAAAAGGAGAGAGAGAGAAAGAGAACCTCTACTAAAAGCAAACTATGAAACCCAAACTACTTTCCCCAAGGGCAGGAGAGCCACATGAGGTGCGAGGGAAGGTGTTGGGCGAGATTTCCAGAAACGCTTCTTTAAATCTGAGACAGTCTCAGGTCAATTGTATATAATACTATTTTAGATATATCTGAAAAAATTTTTGAATTTAAAAAGAAGTTAATTAAGGGCTAAGGAGAAAAGCAATTCTGGATTAGATGTTGCTCTGAAAATATATGTTCTCTGCTTCCTCCACTTTTTTAGCCATAAAGCTTTGAGCAAAATTGTTCAAGGTTTAGTGGAAACTTCTTGCTTGGGGGAAGGAGACTGTTGAGGAAAGAATGTTATATAATATTTGTGTGTGTATATACATATATGTGTGTGTGTGTGTGTGTGTATTTGCAGCATAACTCTCTGTGCTCATATGTATGGCAAAATTGTAGAAAATGTGAAAGAAGGAAAAGGAGGTAAAAAAAACCTGCTGGGGCAGGAGTTTGTTGACTTGGGGACCTGTCCCAGTTCTGCTCAGACTAGCTGTGTAATCTTGAAATCATTCAGTTAATACCGTGGAACCCAGCTTCTTTAAAACTTGAGGAAATTGGACTGGATCATCTGTAAGGCCTTATCCATGTTATGGAAGGTCTTGTCACCTTTTTTTTTTTTTTTTTAGAAAGGTTCTCACTCTGTTGCTCAGCCTGGAGTGCAGTGGTGCGATCTTGGCTCACTGCAGCCTGGAGGTCCTGGGTGCAAGCGATCCTCTCACCTAAGTCTCCTAAGTAGCTAGGACAATAGGTGTATGCCACCATGCCCAGCTAATTTTTGCATCTTTTGTAGAGATGGGGTTTCTCTATGTTGCCCAGGCTAGGTCACCTTTCTTTTTTCCCTTCTACTATTGATATTGCACACACACACACACACACACACACACACACACATGCACACAGGTTAAAAATGAAATCCCATCATGACCTTTATAATAAACAAGTGCATAGAGCAGGAAAATTCCAGTCATAAAATAATGGACTCTTTATATCTAGAAAACTTAATACAGATTTCAGGCTGATACAGGAACGTGTATACAGTCTTTGAGTATAACATACTTCATGTGTATGAATGACGTACCCTGCAGCTAAATCAATAATGGGGGCTTATATTTGTATAGGTCTTTAGTGTTCCCAAAACGATTTTATGTCATATCACTTGCAATTTTGGAGACTCATGCGATTTTTAGAAATAGGTAGGGCAATGAGAATGATTTCTTTTTTCCTGAGGCTTAGAAGTGTAAAATGCCTTGGCCAGGTTTACACAGCAATAGGCAGCCGTCAAATCTTCTCCCAGTTCATGGGCGTTTATTCCCATCTGCCACATTGCAAGGTAGCTGGAATGACTGTCACCGTTCGTGCTTCCTCCACCCCTCACTCCACTGCAGCTCAGCTGAGGCCACTGAGAACATCAGAACAGTGAGGCAAGGCGATCACCAACTTTCCCAAAATAGAAGCCACCACAGAGACAAACCAGCCAGCTGTTTCCCTCTCAACTCACCCGCCTGTCACATTTTAGTCTCTGCAGTGGGGGCTGCCAGACCTCTTATTTCTTCCTTTCTTTTAAATTTCAGGTAAGAAAATAGAATACTTAAAATGTTAAGTATGTCCCTTCCTTTAAAAACAATGACCGGCACTCATAACTGAACATTCCTTGAATAACAAAATGTCCTACATCTTCACAAAATCATGCATCTGATTCCTTTCTGCCTGTCATTTGTCACCCTCCTTCACCGTGCCCAACAACCCAAAGGCCAGGTGAACACAAAATCAAATCACTGCCAGTGTTGGTGAGTTCAAAAGTCATCAGGTGCCCACTGCCCGCTCTGAAAAGCCATCTTTGCATTGTCCCCATTTTATTGGCAGAGTCCTCAAACTCTTGCTTTCTTCTTATCCAACACATGGGATCACCGGGGAGCCCGCTGTGTCACAGACATCCATCTGTGGACACCAACTCTGAGATGACCACCAACCACTTAAAGGAGAAGAAACAAGTTGTGCAGGTGGAGAAAGGGGAAGAGATGCCCCTGCTAGTGGGAACCCCAATGAAGAAAATGGGGAGATGAGGCTGACGATAAGGAGGACAAAGAAGAGGAAGAAGGTGGGGAGGAAGAGGAGGAGGAAGAAGGTGGAGGCAAGGAAGAGGGTGGAGATGAATGAAGAAGCTAGAGCCCCTGGTGGCAAACAGGGCACTGCAGATAAAGAAGATAGTGGTGTTGATATCGCAAAGCAGAAGATGAGGAGGATAGCCAGGCAGCAGAAAAGTCAAAGAAAAAAAAGGCGGCCGTGACCTATTCACCCTCCACTTCCCTTCTCATAAACTAGACATGGTCACCTTGGAGAGAGAGGCCCAGCCACTGCCGACAGCGCCACCTGCTGGTGACACACTCTCCACCACCCACCCAAAACCACAACATGAGTTTGCAACAGGAGAGGAAAAAGGAATCAAAACTTCCAAGGCCCTGCTTTTTATTTTTATTTTTTTAAGTAATTTTAAAAGGAGATTTGTTAGTATTTTTTAGTTTCCTTTTATATTTTTGCACGTATTGTCAGGAGTCAGGAGTCAGCCTTTTTTTTTTTTTTTTTTGAGATGGAGTCTCGCTCTGTTGCCCAGGCTGGAGTGCAGTGCTGCGATCTCAGCTCACTGCAAGCTCCGCCTCCCGGGTTCATGCCATTTTCCTGCCTCAGCCTCCCGAGTAGCTGGGACTACAGGCGCCCCCCACTACGCCTGGCTAATTTTTTGTATTTTTAGTAGAGACGGCGTTTCACCACGTTAGCCAAGATGGTCTCGATCTCCTGACCTCGTGATCTGCCTGCCTCAGCCTCCCAAAGTGCTGGGATTACAGGTGTGAGCCACTGCGCCCAGCTGGCAGTCAGCCATTTTTAATGATCTCAGGTGATCAAACCAGCCTACTGAGCATCCTCTGCCTTACTTCTGACTTTACTTGTGGTGTGACCAAGTTCATCATCACCTCAAAGAACAAAAGAAACCTCGTAGAAAGAAGCAAAAACAACTAAACAATCTTATTCTGAGCATTCCAGTAACTTTTTTTGTACATGCACTTAGCTGTACTATAGGTAGTTGGTGTCAGGCCTCTGAGCCCAAGCTAAGCCATCATATCCCCTGTGGCCTGCACGTACACATCCAGATGGCCGGTTCCTGCCTTAACTAATGACATTCCACCACAAAAGAAGTGAAAATGGCCTGTTCCTGCCTTAACTGATGACATTATCTTGTGAAATTCCTTCTCCTGGCTCATCCTGGCTCAAAAGCTCCCCTACTGAGCACCTTGTGACCCCCACTCCTTCCTGCCAGAGAACAACCCCACTTTTTCCTTTACTTACCCAAATCCTATAAAACAGCCCCACCCCTGTCTCCCTTCGCTGACTCTCTTCTCGGACTCAGCCCGCTTGCACCCAGGTGAAATAAACAGCCCTGTTGCTCACACAAAGCCTGTTTGGTGGTCTCTTCACATGGATGCGCATGAAATTTGGTGCCATGACTCGGATCAAGGGACCTCCCTTGGGAGATCAATCCCCTGTCCTCCTGCTCTTTGGTCCGTGAAAAAGATCCACCTAGGACCTCAGGTCCTCAGACCCACCAGCCCAAGGAACAACTCACCAATTTTAAATTGGGTAAGCAGCCTCTTCTTACTCTCTTCTCCAACCTCTCTCACTATCCCTCAACCACTTTCTCCTTTCAATCTTTGCACCACCCTTCAATCTCTCACTTCTCTTAATTTCAATTTCTTTCATTTTCTGGTAGAGACAAGGAGACACGTTTTATCCGTGGACCCAAAACTCCGGTGCCAGTCACGGACTAGGGAAGGCAGCCTTCCCTTGGTGTTTAATCATTGTAGGGACGCCTCTCTGATAATTCACCCATGTTTCAGAGGTGTCTGACCACTCAAGGACGCCTGCCTTTGTCCCTCACCCTTAGCGGCAAGTACCGCTTTTCTGGGGTGCAAGAACCCCCCAACTCCTTCTCTCCATGTCTCCACCCCTTCTCTGCTTTTCTGGGTGGCAAGAACCCCCCAACCCCTTCTCCTTCACCCTTAGTGGCAAGTATCGCTTCTCTAGGGGGCAAGAACCCCCCGATCCCTTATTTCCACGCCCCGATCTCTTATCTCTGTGCCCCAATCCCTTATTTCCATGCCCCGACCTCTTATCTCTGCACCCTGACCCCTTATTTCCACACTCCAACCTCTTATCTCTGCGTCCCAACCCCTTATTTACACACCCCAACCCCTTTCCTGCTTTTCTGGAGGGTAAGAACCCCTGAACCCCTTCCCTCCGTGTCTCTACTCTCTCTTTTCTCTGGGCTTGCCTCCTTCACTATGGGCAACCTTCCACCCTCCATTCCCCCTTCTTCTCCCTTAGCCTGTGTTCTCAAGAACTTAAAACCTCTTCAACTTACACCTGACCTAAAACCTAAATGCCTTATTTTCTTCTGCAATGCCACTTGACCCCAGTATAAACTCTACAGTGGTTCCAAATAGCCAGAAAACGGCACTTTCAATTTTTCCATCCTACAAGATCTAAATAATTCTTGTTGTAAAATGGGCAAATGGTCTGAGATGCCCGATGTCCAGGCATTCTTTTACACATTGGACCCTCCCTAGTCTCTGTTCCCCATGCAACTCATCCCAAATCTTCCTTCTTTCCCTCCCGCCTGTCCCCTCAGTCCCAACCCCAAGCATCGCTGAGTCTTTCTAATCTTCCTTTTCTACAGACCCATCTGACCTCTCCCCTCCTTGCCAGGCCGAGCTAGGTCCCGATTCTTCCTCAGCCTCCGCTCCTCCACCCTATAATCCTTTTATCACCTCCCCTCCTCACACCCGGTCTGGCTTACAGTTTCATTCCATGACTAGCCCTCCCCCACCTGCCCAGCAATTTCCTCTTAAAAAGGTGGCTGGAGCTAAAGGCATAGTCAAGGTTAATGCTTTTTCTTTATCTGACCTCTCCCAAATCAGTTAGTGTTTAGGCTCTTTTTCATCAAATATAAAAAACCCAGCCCAGTTCATGGCCCCTTTAGCAGCAACTCTGAGACGCTTTACAGCCCTAGACCCTAAAAGGTCAAAAGGCCGTCTTATTCTCAATATACATTTATTTTATTACCCAATCTGCTCCCGACATTAAATAAAGCTCCAAAAATTAAATTCCGTCCCTCAAACCCCACAACAGGACTTAATTAACCTGGCCTTCAAGGTGTACAATAATAAAGTAGAGGCAGCCAAGTAGCAACATATTTCTGAGTTGCAATTCCTTGCCTCCACTGTGAGACAAACCCCAGCCACATCTCCAGCACACAAGAACTCCAAACACCTGAACCGCAGCTGCCAGGGGTTCCTCCAGAACCTCCTCCCCCAGGAGCTTGCTACAAGTGCCAGAAATCTGGCCACTGGGCCAAGGAATGCCCACAGCCCGGGATTCCTCCTAAGCCACGTCCCATCTGAGCGAGACCCCACTGAAAATCAGACTGTTCAACTCACCTGGCAGCCACTCCCAGAGCCCCTGCAACTCTGGCCCAAGGCTCTCTGACTGACTCCTTCCCAGATCTTCTCAGCTTAGCGGCTGTAGACTGACACTGCCGGATTGCCTCGGAAGCCTACAGGACCATCACAGATACTCTGATTAACTCTCACAGTGGAGGTTAAGTCCGTCCCCTTCTTTTTTTTTTTTTTTTTTTTTTTTTGAGACGGAGTCTCGCTCTGTCGCCCAGGTCGGACTGCGGACTGCAGTGGCGCAATCTCGGCTCACTGCAAGCTCCGCTTCCCGGGTTCACGCCATTCTCCTGCCTCAGCCTCCCGAGTAGCTGGGACTACAGGCGCCCGCCACCGCGCCCGGCTAATTTTTTGTATTTTTAGTAGAGACGGGGTTTCACCTTGTTAGCCAGGATGGTCTCGATCTCCTGACCTCATGATCCACCCGCCTCGGCCTCCCAAAGTGCTGGGATTACAGGCGTGAGCCACCACGCCCGGCCCCGTCCCCTTCTTAATCAATACGGAGGCTACCCACTCCACATTACCTTCTTTTCAAGGGCCTGTTTCCCTTGCCTCCATAACTGTTGTAAGTATTGACAGCCAGGCTTCTAAACCTCTTAAAACTCCCCAACTCTGGTGCCAACTTAGAAAACATTCTTTTTTGCACTCTTTTTTAGTTATCCCCACCTGCCCGGTTCCCTTATTAGGCCAAGACATTTTAACTAAATTATCTGCTTCCCTGACTGTTCCTGGACTACAGCCACACCTCATTGCTGCCCTTTTCCCCAGTTCAAAGCCTCCTTCGCATTCTCCTCTCGTATCCCCGCACCTTAACCCACAAGTATAAGATACCTCTACTCCCTCCTTGGCGACTGATCATGCACCCCTTACAATCTCATTAAAACTTAATCACCCTTACCCACTCAATGCCAATATCCTGTCCCACAGCACACTTTAAAAAGATTAAAGCCTGTTTTCCCTCACCTGCTACAACATGGCCTTTTAAAGCCTATAAACTCCCCTTACAATTCCCCCATTTCACCTGTCCTAAAACCAGACAAAGTTTACAGGTTAGTTCAAGACTGTGCCTTATCAACCAAATTGTTTTGCCTATCCACCCCGTGGTGCCAAACCCATATACTCTCCTATCCTCAATACCTCCCTCCACAATCCATTATTCTGTTCTGGATCTCAAACATGCTTTCTTTACTATTCCTTTGCACCCTTCATCCCAGCCTCTCTTCGCTTTCCCTTGGACTGACCCTGACACCCATCAGGCTCAGCAAATTACCTGGGCTGTACTGCTGCAAAACTTCACGGACAGCCCCCATTACTTCAGTCAAGCCCAAATGTCTTCCTCATCTGTTACCTATCTCGGCATAATTCTCATAAAAACACACATGCTCTCCCTGCTGATCATGTCTGGCTAATCTCCCAAACCTCAATCCCTTACAAAACAACAACTCCTTTCCTTCCCAGGCATGGTTAGTGTGGTCAGAATTCTTACAAAAGAGCTGGGACAGCACTGTGTAGCCTTTCTGTCCAAACAACTTGACCTTACTGTTTTAGCCTAGCCCTCATGTCTGCGTGCAGCGGCCGCCACTGCCCTAATACTTTCAGAGACCTTTAAAATCACAAACTATGGTCAACTCACTTTCTACAGCTCTCATAACTTCCAAAGTCTATTTTCTGCCTCACACCTGATGCATATACTTTCTGCTCCCCGGCTCCTTCAGCTGTACTCACTCTTTGTTGAGTCTCCCACAATTACCATTGTTCCTGGCCCGGACTTCAATCTGCCCTCCCACATTATTCTGGATACCACATCTGACCCTCATAACTGTATCTGGCTGATCCACCTGACATTCACCCCATTTCCCCATATTTCCTTCCTTCCTGCTCCTCACCCCGATCACATTTAGTTTATTGATGGCAGTTCCAGCAGGCCTAATCGCCACTCATCAGCAAAGGCAGGCTATGCTATAGTATCTTCCACATCTATCACTGAGGCTACCGCTCCGCTCCCCTCCATTACCTCTGAACAAACCGAATTAGTTGCCTTAACTCAAGCCCTCGCTCTTGCAAAAGGACTACGCGTCAATATTTATACTGACTCTAAATATGCCTTTCATATTCTGCACCACCATGCTGTTATACAGGCTGAAAGAGGTTTCCTCACTACGCAAGCGTCCTCCATCATTAATGCCTCTTTAATAAAAACTCTGCTTAAGGCCGCTTTACTTCCAAAAGAAGCTGGGGTCATTCACTGCAAGGGGCATCAAAAGGCATCAGATCCCGTTGCTCTAGACAATGCTTATGCTGATAAGGTGGCTACACAAGCAGCTAGCTTTCCAACTTCTGTCCTTCACGGCCAGTTTCTCTCCTTCACATCGTTCACTCCCACCTACTCCCCCGCTGAAACTTCCACCTATCAATCTCTTCCCACACAAGGCAAATGGTTCTTAGACCAAGGAAAATATCTCCTTCCAGCCTCACAGGCCCATTCTATTCTGTGGTCATTTCATAACCTCTTCCATGTAGGTTACAAGCCGCTAGCCCGTCTCTTAGAACCTCTCATTTCCTTTCCATCATGGAAATCTATCCTCAAGGAGATCACTTCTCAGTGTTCCATCTGCTATTCTACTGCCCCTCAGGGATTGTTCCGGCCCCCTCCCTTCGCTACACATCAAGCTTGGAGATTTGCCCCCGCCCCCCACCAGGATTGGCAAATTGGCTTTACTCAACATGCCCCAAGTCAGAAAACTAAAATATCTCTTAGTCTGGGTAGACACTTTCACTGGATGGGTAGAGGTCTTTCTCACAGGGTCTGAGAAGGCCACCGCGGTCATTTCTTCCCTTCTGTCAGACATAATTCCTCGGTTTGGCCTTCCCACCTCTATACAGTCCAATAACAGACCAGCCTTTATTAGTCAAATCACCCAAGCAGTTTCTCAGGCTCTTGGTATTCAGTGGAAACTTCGTACCCCTTACCATCCTCAATATTCAGGAAAGGTAGAACGGACTAATGGTCTTTTAAAGACACATCTTACCAAGCTCAGCCTCCAACTTAAAAAGGACTGGACAATACTTTTACCACTTTCCCTTCTCAGAATTCAGGCCTGTCCTCGGAATGCTACAGGGTACAGCCCATTTGAGCTCCTGTATGGACGCTCCTTTTTATTAAGCCCCAGTCTCATTCCAGACACCAGACCAACTTGGACTGTGCCCCAGAAAACTTGTCATCCCTACTATCTTCTGTCTAGTCATACTCCTATTCACCATTCTCAACTACTCATACATGCCCTGCTCTTGTTTACACTGCCGGTTCACACTGTTTCTCCAAGCCATCGCAGCTGATATCGCCTGGTGCTATCCCCAAACCGCCACTCTTAACTCTTAAAGTAAATAAATAATCTTTGCTGGCAAGGCTATGCTGAACCTCCTTAGGCACTCTCTAGGTAGATGTCCTAGGTCCTCCCAATTCTCAGTCCTTTAATACCTGTTTTTCTCCTTGTCTTATTCCCTTCTTTTTTCACTTCATACAAAATTGTATCTAGGCCATCATCAATAATTCTATAAGACAAATGTTTCTTCTAACAACCCCACAATATCACCCCTTTCCACAAAATCTTCCTTCAGCTTCTCTCTCCCATTCTAGATTCCCACGCTGCCCCTAATCCTGCTCGAAGCAGCCCTGAGAAACATCGCCCGTTATCTCTCCAAACCACCCCCAAAAATTTTCGCCACCCCAACACTTTACCACTATTTCATTTTATTTTTCTTATTAATATAAGAAGACAGGAATGTCAGGCCTCTGAGCCCAAGCTAAGCCATCATATCCCCTGTGACCTGCATGTACACATCCAGATGGCCGCTTCCTGCCTTAACTGATGACATTCCACCACAAAACAAGTGAAAATGGCCTGTTCCTGCCTAAACTGATGACATTGTCTTGTGAAATTCCTTCTCCTGGCTCATCCTGGCTCAGAAGCTCCCCTACTGAGCACCTTATGACCCCCACTCCTGCCCGCCAGAGAACAACCCCGCTTTTTCCTTTACCTACCCAAATCCTATAAAACGGCCCCACCCCTATCTCCCTTCGCTGACTCTTTTTGGACTCAGCCCACCTGTACCCAGGTGAAATAAACAGCCTTATTGCTCACACAAAGCCTGTTTGGTGGTCTCTTCACACGGACGCGCATGAAAGTTGGTTTGTATGAGACGGTTAAAAAGGCCAAAGATAAAAGATTTATTTATTTATTTATTTATTTATTTATTTATCAATTAAGTTGCTGTTTATTTATTTATTTTTTTTGGCCTATTTCACAGATGTGTGAAACAATGTTGTCCAACGATGAAATGGAATTTTATTTTGCTGAGTTGTTCTAACAACAACAGCAAAGACATCATGCATAAATCTTGTATAAGATCCACACATGGTTGCCAAGATAGGAAATACCTATGCCAATTCAATTAAGTCAAGTTAAACAGAAGACGATACTTTCAGGGATCATTTCTGTAGTTTGCTACTAGAGAAGTTCCTCTAAACGTGTAGAGAAAAAAATGTTAAACAGGAATACATGAAGATCATCAAAGAATGGACCAAATGCCACAATGTCATTATCATTTTTATTCATCACCTCATTAACATGGAGAAAACCATTGCCCCTTCTGAATTCTCACGGCAGGGATTAGTTATCATGCCCTTCATACCAGGAGCTAGGCCCATGAGTAAATGTGTTCCTGGTTTAACTCTGGAAATGCTCAGACATTAGTTAAGGGACCATGGGGCACATAGCAACCTACGAGGTCTTAAATAGAAACTGCCCGTGGCTCCACCCTTTCTCTCAGCGCACATTCACTCCATCAGGAAATCCCATCAGCTCTGCCGGATTCCTGGATCTTTTCACTCACCAGCTCCAGGGCCACGTGAGGGCTCTGGGTAATTTGCAGCAGTCTGTCTGCTCCGCCCTCTCCTCCAGCTCCTGCCTTTGACCCCCTGCAGTCTGTTTTGAATGCAGCAGCCAGCCACAGCTACTCTTTTCAAACGGCAGACAGATCTCATCACTCTTGTGGCTGAAAACTTTCTGGTCCTCCCATCTCACCCTTAGGAAAGCCCAAATGCTTGCAACGGCCCCCAAGGCCCTATGAGATCCACCCCCTGGACTTCTCTGACATCAAGTCCTATTACTCCGATTGCTTGCCCCGTTTCGGCCTTCCTGGTTTCCTACTGTTCTTCCCCATGGTTGGTGCCTCTGCCAGACGCAGTGTCCCCAGGCAGCTCCCAAGGCTCTCTCACCTCCTTGCTGGGCTCTGTCCTGACCACACTTTACATCTGCAGCAGGTTTCACCCTCCAGTTTTCTCCAAACCACCCCCTACCCTTGATGCTCATTTTCCTAAAGCAATGAACATCTTTAATTTATTTGACAACAGACTTAAGGATGTTTACTTTCTTCCTCTCCTCACTAGAATGTACAGTCCGTACAAAGAGGGATTTTTGTCTTTTTCACCAGGCCTAAAATAGTGTCTGGCTCATAAAGGGCCCATAAAAAATATGTGATGAATCAGCAAATGACTAGATGCCTAACACTTGTTTTGCAAACCACACACTAGTTAACAACTGTGATTTCTAAACTTGGACCGCAAAAGTGATTGGGTCTGTGAGCTACGTGCTGGGTCATCTAGGTGGCGATTGGAGTTGTTGCCAGTCCCTAGTGCGTTTCATTCTGCAATTACAAGTTGTGTGAGGCAGCACAGCCCAGAGTTGGGCAAAGCACCTGAAAAAAATTAGTGGCTAACACGTACACAGGAGCCAGGCACAGTGGCTCACGTCAGTCATCCCAGAACTTTGGGAGGCTGAGGCAGGAGGATCGCTTGAACCCAGGAGGTCAAGGCTGCAGTGAGCAGTGATTGCACCACCATACTCCAGCCTGGGCGACAGAGCGAGTCCCTGTCTCAAACAAAACAAAACAAAAAAACAAAAAAACAGGCCGGTGTGGTGGCTCAGGCCTGTAATCCTAGCACTTTTGGAGGCCGAGGCAGGCAGATCACTTGAGGTCAGGAGTTTCAGATCAGCCTGGCCAACGTGTTGAAACCCCACCTCTATAAAAAACACAAAAATTAACCAGGTATGGTGGTGCTGCCTGTAGTTCCAGCTACTCGGGAGGCTGAGGTAGAAGAATCACTTGAACCCAGATGACAAAGATTACAGTGAGACGAGATCTTGCCACTGCACTCCAGCCTGGGTGACAGAGCAAGACTTTGTCTCAAAAAACAGACAATTACATGGGGAAAGTGTTCCCACGTAATTGATGGGATAGTCAAAATTGACGGGTAATCAAAAGTGTTTGATTACATCAAAAGTAATCAGGGAAGTATTTATCAAATCAATACAACAATTTTCCAGCTACTACATTGGTAAAGGTTTTTAAAAACTATAATAGTGCTGGCAAAGGAACGAAAAAAATGCACCTTTAGACTTTGCCCTTTAGAAAACCGAGCCCTTCACGAAGTTATTTCGAAAATGGGCCAAAAGCCTTAAGATGTTGAGGAATTCATTTGTGGGAATTTACCTTAAATGTGGAAACATCTTTTTGGACAAATATTTTACTTACAGATGCATTTATAAAAGCCAAACTTGAAAACAACCTGCATGACTGGCCATAAGAACATGGTTAAGCAAACTATACACGGCTCATCAACTCGATTCTGTTTTAGGGACTCACTAATAGTTTAACAACGTGGGCAAGTCCTAATATGATGCTGTATAACCCCTTACCCCAACAGATAAGGGGAAAAGGCAGGTCAAATCACAACAGAGGTAGGAGCAGGACAGAGCTGTGCTCCTGCATTCTCTGACTTCAGGGAGTGCCCCATCCAGCTGATCCCAAATCCGCAGAGACAGTGTCTTCCACTTCCAGCGGAGCTGGGGATCACAGCTCCAAGGCCCAGAAACCTTTCCATTTCCAAACTCTTCTTCACGATGTCTCCTCGAAGCTCCAGGAACCCATAGCACATAGGCACCCTGTGAGATCCCAGAGCTTCTGAGGGATGTGTATGAATTAGGATCCAAGTAACAATGTTGGAGCTCAGAAAGTGATGCCCCAAAGTGAAGGCTTAGGAGTGAAGTTTCTCTCTGACCTTCCCCTGCCTTTCTGTCTCTTGCCCCTCATTTTTCCCTGAGGCAAGCCACAGAAACTAGTATTCCTCTTCCCCAAGGTAGGTCATAGAAACCAGAACCCCTTTCCCTCAAAGCTAGCTATAAAGCTTAAAAATATTCCTCCCGGGCACAGTGGCTCATGCCTGTAATCCCAGGGTTTTGGGAAGCTGAGAAGGGAGAGGATCACTTGAGGCCAATTCAAGACCAGCCTGGCCAACATGGCAAAACCCCATCTGTACTAAAAATACAAAAAATTAGCCAGGCATGGTGGCGGGTGCCTGTAATCCCAGCTACTCAGGAGGTTGAGGCACCAGAATGGCTTGAACCAGGGAGGCAGAGGTTGCAGTGAGCCGAGATCGCACCACTGCACTCCAGTCTAGGCGACAACAACAAAATATTACTCTCACCTTCCCCCACCTGTCAATGTATCAGCCGGCCATAAATAAAGACCCTCATTCCAGAGGGGTCCTGCCCTACACCAAGGAAGAAGAAATGCTGCAAACGAGAGGCCAAGAAGAATCTGAACAGGCAAGCCTGGCTAGGTTTCCCCATTCCGTTTGTTACCATCAGTTCTGTTAAGTCAAGTTTGGCTTAAAGCTCTCTCCTTACATATTTTAAGTTTGACCTAAAGCACATCATGAACTATAACCTCAATGGAGTTGTAAATAGACTGTAGTCTTCTCTTGTGCCAATCACTGAGTTTTGGCCAATCAAATGTGGCCAACTGTTTAAATTGCATTCAAATAACGCAAACACTAACCTATAACCAATCTGCCTGTTTCTGTGCCTCACTTCCGTTTTCTGTATGTCACTCTCTTTTTTCTGTCCACAAATCTTCCACCACGGGGCTGTGCTGGCATCTCTGAGCCTACTCTGGCTCAGGCAGCTGCTGATTCGCGAATTGTTGTTTACTCAATTAAACTCTGTTAAATGTAATTCAGCTGAAGTTTTTCTTTTAACAGTTCATACCCTTTTTGTCCAATCACATTTCTATTTATTATGTGTTGATTTTATTTATTTATTGTTTATTTTTGAGACAGAGTCTTGCTTTGTCACCCAGGCTGGAGTGCAATGGCACGATCTCTGCCCACTGCAGCCTTGACACCCTGGGTTCAACCGAGTCTCCTGTCTCAGCCTCCTGACTAGCTGGGATTACAGGTGCCTGCCGCCACTGCGCCTGGCTAATTTTTGTATTTTTAGTAGAAATGGGGTTTTGTCATGTTGGCCAGCCTGATCTCAAACTCTTGGCCTCAAGTGATCTGCCCCCCTTGGCCTCCCAAAGTGCTGGGATCACAGGCGTGGGCCATGGTGCCTGGCCCAATCACGTTTCTACGTGGCTGTCCCTGCTTCCTTGAACCTAAATGTAAACACGGATAGTTTACTCTGGGTCTTTGGGTCTTTATCCTGAAGCCTCCTGTGCCACATAAAACTAGAATCAAATAAATTTGTTGTGCTTTTTTCCTGTCTTTTGTTGTAGGGGTGTCAGCCGTGAGCCTTACGATGGGGAGGAAAGGGATCATCCCCTTTCTGTCGCTACAATCCTCACTCCAATTACATAAAGAATAGAAACAAAAATGTAAGAAGTATAAAAAAGAGAAGAAATGTATTTGTAGAAAAGGAAAGCTGAATCCTACAAAAAAGTGCAGCCGAATAGGACGAAGTGGGTACATAACTGATGTATTTTGATGGGGATAATTTTGCCCTCACAACTGTTTTCTAATGGGAGCCTGCCATGAGTCCAAAATAGGTTATTTAAAATGTGCTCTAAAACACCATTCCCACTACAATTTATATCACCTTTAATGTATGCAATCCCCTGATGTTGCTTTTCCATGGTAAAAGAGTTGGACCATCTCTGGGGAATTTCAGCAGAATAAATCACAAATCTGGTCAACTTCATATGTGAATGTGGAAATGGGAGTTCTAGCCTATCAGGCCTTAGAACTTTGAATGCCACAGGGTGTTGTTTACCCCCCTATCACAGACATATTTCCTTTCACTTCCAAACAACCTGTTGAAAACCACCAAAGAGAGGAAGAAAGCAGAGAAAGAGAATACTATACTCTGTTATCAATGATTTGAACGTGGTTCTCTGGAGGCAATAGAGGACTTGGCTGCTTTTCAGAAGAGAATTCTTACAATCAGTTCCTCCAAAGTTCTTAGGGTTTCAACATCAATTCTCTAACATTCACTGGGTGTCCTACAGTTCAATTCTGGTACTATCAGGAGTTACTGTCATATCACACAAACCAAGGCCTCAGTTCCACAAAACGTCCAGGGCCAGTGGGGTCCCCAGGCTACCTGCACTTCTACCTGGCTGACTATAAATTGAGGAGTTTCCATGACTGCTTCAGGTTCATTAACAGACTACGGTGACTCATAGAACTCAACAAAGCACTGTATTGATGATTCACATACAGTTTCCCATAAAGGATACGACTCAAGAACAGCCAAATGGAAGAGACGTGTAGGACGAGGTATGGGGCTAGTGGCTGGGCTGTGGAGCTTCCATTCCCTCTCTGGGCATGCCATCCTCCCAGCACATCATGAGCTTATCAACCCAGAAGCTCCTGGAAGCTTGTTGCTCAAGAGTTTTTATTGAGGTGTCATGACTTAGGCATGATCAGCTAAATCATTAGCCACTGGCTGGGCGCGGTGGCTCTTGCCTATAATCCCAGCAATTTGAGAGGCCAAGGCAGGCGGACCACTTGAGGTCAGGAGTTCGAGACCAGTGGGGCCAACATGGCAAAACCCCATCTCTACTAAAAATATGAAAATTAGCCAGGTGTGGTAGTGCATGCCTGTGGTCCCAGCTATTCTGGAGGCTGAGGCAGGAGAATCTCTTGAACCCGGGAGGCAGAGGTTGCAGTCTGCTGAGATTGCGCCATTGCACTCCAGCCTGGGTGACAGAGCAAGACTCCGTCTCAAACAAAAACAAAAACAAAAACAAAAATAAATAAATCATTAGCCACTAGTGATTGAACTCAATCTCCAGTTCCCCTCTTCTCTCCAGAGGTTGAGGGGTGGAGCCAAAAGTTCCAACCCTCTAATCATAAGCTTGGTCTTTGTAGTGTGGCCAGCCTCTCTCCTGAAACTATTTAAGGGCCCACCTTGATTCACCTCAATAGCATAAACTTAGTTATGATCAGAAAGGATTCATGTATAACAACAGACATTCGAACCACTCGGAAATTTCCAAGGGTCTTTGATGCTCAGTGCCAGGAGTCAGGGATAAAGACCAAACATATTTTTTATTATACCATAGTTCTGAAATGTGTTTTCTGGGTAAATCTCTTGATTGCAGTTTCCCTAAATGTATCCTGAAGTTAACATATTTAACCTCCTTGCCAACTGTGCCCCAGTTCTGTGTGCAAAAGATGTCCCTTCATACGTGTGCACCTAGCATGTTCCTTGATTCGTTCACGGGTAATAGTGGTATATGCTGCTTACCCAGAATGCTGCTGGTGTCAGTGACGGTACCTTGCCAGAATCCCAGAGACTCAGTGCTCTAGGCGAGTTCAACCAATCAGCACCAGAATAGGAGGTGACTGTTCTCAAACTAGTGGAGTTTGTCCAGTTCTTTTGGTAGCAAGAGACGCCTGACTCAATTTTGCTTAAAGGGGATTTATTGGAAAAAAAAAAAGTATATCTAGTCCTTTCCATGGACACGGAAGAATGGAAGAAAGCAGAGAAATAGAACACAGAGAGAGACAAAAACACTGCCAGGAAGTGTACTAGGAGCAGTAGCTGAAACTCACAGAAAACGTCCCATAGAGGATAAGCCCCAAGTTTCAGCCTTGGGCAGACCCGTGTAATAAGAGCTAACACAAATAGGGTCAGTACAATAACGGCTAACATTTACTGAAGGGTTATTATTCACTAAACACTATTTTAAGCACTTTATAAACATTAATTCTTTCATTTCTCACTACGACCCTATGAGATCTGGGCTGGCATGCCCCCGTTTAACAGAGCAAGGTCACTTATTTTGTGGCATGGCATCTGAGCCTGGGCTCTCAATCCTTACACCATACTCACTCTCTAAGGATGGCTACAAAACGACTCTGCAGCTACAGTCTGAAGTTTAAGCAATTATAGTCCAAATGACTGAAAATTCTCATAAGTGAGTGCATTCGCCTGAGAAAAGGAAGTGATCATTCAAACTCATAATCAAGGAAAATGTATAACTACATAGGACACTTACAAAGATCTAAACATACAAACTCAGAAAAACTAAAGAAGTGGTTCTAGGCAGGACCAAGAGGAAGGCGTTTCCCTTAGTCGTGCTTCTTTTTTTTTTTTTGAGACAGGGTCTCAGCGCTGTCACCCAGCCTGGAGTGCAGTGGTACAGTCTCGGCTCACTGCAACATCTGCCTCCTGGGTTCGAGTGATCCTTCCACCTTAGCCTCCCAAGTAGCTGGAACTACAGGTGCATGCTACCATGCCCTGCTTATTTTTGTATTTTTAGTAGAGATGTGCTTTCACCATGTTGGCCAGGCTGTTCTCGAACTCCTGACCTCAAGGGATCTGCTTGCCTCAGCCTTCCAAAATGCTGAGATTACAGGCATGAGCCACCACGCCCAGCCCTTAGTCATGCTTCTTAAAAACACCTCCAATTTGAGCATGTTAGCAGTTTCAGCCCCCTCACCATGTGATGCTGTGAGCCACCTCAGGACTCCACAGAGTCCCCACCAGCAACAAGGCCCTCACCAGATGCAGTCCCTCAACCGTGGACTTCTCAGCCACCATACTGTAAGAAATAAACTCCTTTTCATATATATATATATTCATATATACATACATATATATATTCATATATACCTCCAATTCCCTATGGGAAAGTAATATAATTAATACCAGAACTAATATCTATCGTACCTACTTTAAATAATAATTTGTTACTTTCAGCTAATTCTTTCTGCTATCATTTTAAAGTCCAGAATAAAGAATCTACCTCCAAAGATCATTAAGTTCAGGATCAGAACCAGATGAACCAGCCCAGACAAAGAAATGAGCCCACTGAAAGAACAACGCCTTAACAAAGCTCATTTCCATCCAAAGGTGCTGCCCTGAGTCACTTTTGCACCTTATTATCTCTTTGGTCCCCACAGCAGAAGAGCAATAGGAATGATGCTGTTATTTTTATTGCATAAAGAAGGAAGAGGCCCGGAGTTGTGGTGGGATAGACCTAAGTTCCCACAGCTAACAAGTCCTGAAGCTGAGACCGGAATCCAGGCTTCTCCATTCCTTCCGTAACTCTGACTCATTTTAGGGACAATTTCCCAGATTTTATATTAATACGCATCAAAGCTCACTGGCTTGGCCTACGCTCTGGTGACTTATCAGTCAGCAGTGAAACGTTCCCAATGAGGACTCAGACAGGAATAGACCTAGAAAATCTCTTTTTCTGTTCTAGCTTCAAGAACAGACCTAGATTTTTTTTTTTTTTTGAGATGGAGTTTCACTCTTGTTGCCCAGGCTGGAGTGTAATGGCACCGTCTCAGCTCACTGCAACATTGACTTCCTAGGTTCAAGTGATTCTCCTGCCTCAACCTCCCAAGTAGCTGGAATTACAGGCATGTGCCACCACGCTCAGCTAATTTTGTATTTTTAGTAGAGATGGGGTTTCACCATGTTGGCCAGGGTGGTCTCGAACTCCTGACCTCAAGTGATCCACCAGCCCCTGCCTCCCAAAGTGCTAGAATTATAGGTGTGAGGCACTGCGCCCAGCCTTGACCTAGAAAATCTAATAGTAAGGCGAAAATAGCTATCTTTTTTTTTTTTTTGACCACTTAGAATGTACCAGGCACTCTGTAAAGTGCTTTATATATATTCTACCTCACTTATCCTTAAAACATCACTGTGAGGGGTATAGTATTAGTTCTATCTTACAGACCAGGGAGCCGAAGGTTAAACAGGTTAATTTACCAAGGTAACAGTGGGTAATCCTGTATGATGGGGAGGACGTGTTCAGGTCTAGAACTCATCCTAGCCAAATGAATCAACAGAGGGAGGAACTCTGCAGGCTGCCCTTGGCATGGGCTGATGGTCATGCACTCAAATTGCCTTCTCTGGGCATTGCTGTCCACTGTCCCTCTCTCCTCACCTGCGGCCTCTGAATGACTAGGTTATCTCTCCGTTGATGTCTTCTCTTTGATGCAGAAATCCCATCCGGCCTTTGGGAGGGCTAGTATTCTTTTTTGCGGGGGTTGTGGGAGGCACAGGAGGATGCCTAGTATTCTGATACTTTTCAAAGGGCATGCTTCTGAGATGTCTCCTCCCTCAATGCAGAAGGATCAGCAAGTCAAAAGTTGTTTAACTCCTTTAAGTATTTCCTAAAGGAAGTATTTATTGGGACTCACTGTTAGGCACACAATTTAAGAAAAATAATATTTTCATGCTTTTTTTTTTTAAAGTCAAAATTAATGCCAAAAAATCCACAAAATTCAAATAAAGACAAGATCCAAAGGTCTAGTTGCAGGACTCCCCGCACTCCCTTCACCCCAACCTCAGCAACCCTGTCAGATGCTATCCATATTTCAATACTTGACATTTTTTTTTCACCATTAATTTTTTTGCATTAATGTTGCTCTTTTTTTTTTTTTTTTTTTTTTTTTTTTTGGAGACGGAGTCTCACTCTGTCGCCCAGGCTGGAGTACAGTGGCGTGCTCTCGGCTCACTGCAAGCTCTGCCTCCTCAGTTCAAGCGATTCTCCTGCCTCAGTCTCCTGAGTAGCTGGGATTACAGGCTCCCGCCACCACGCCGGGCAAATTTTTGTATTTTTAGTAGAGACGGGGTTTCACCATGTTGGCCAAGCTTGAGAACTCCTGACCTCAGGTGATCCGCCCACCTCGACCTCCCAAAGTGCTGGAATTACAGGTGTAAGCCACTGCGCCCAGCTGCCCTTTGTAAAGATGGCATTCAAACATTATTTATGTGGACGGCTGCATTTACATCTCGCTCACCTCCACCTATCTTGATCCTGGACTGGGTGCATAAAGAACAGAATGCTGGCCGAGCGCGGTGGCTCACGCCTGTAATCCCAGCACTTTGGGAGGCTGAGGGGAGAGGATTTTTTGAGCCCAGGAGTTCAAGACCAGCCTGGGCAACATAGCAAGACCCCATCTCCACTAAAAATAAAAATAATAATAATTAGCCAGGGGCACGTACCTGTGGTCCCAGCTACTCAGGAAGCTGAGGTGGGAGGATCACCTGAGCTAGGGAGATTGAGGCTGCAGTCAACTATGATTGCACCACTGCACTCCAGCCTAGACAACGGAGCAAGATCCTGTCTCAAAACAAAGGACAGAATTATGACAATGGGCTTTGATTTCCACTGGACCTTTTCCCCATGTCCTTCCCTGCCTCCTTCACACATCAGCTGTTATCTGCTGGCCCCACCAGAAGAGTGACCACAGTTTATAGCTGGGCAACGCCTCACTCCACCAGGCCCTGGGGGAGATGGAGGAAAGGAAAAGTCTTCTCCATTTTCCACCAGAGCTGCAGAAGGAGTTTGGCTGTCTTTCTTCTTCTTAAGGACGCTTTTTAAACTATCAATTGAGTAATGTGCCAGGAGGGAAATTCCTATCTTGAACCCTCACATCAGTGCTGACATGTAATTCGAATTATTGAATTCTCATCACTGCTTCCCTAATGCAGTGATTTTCAGTCTTAAAAAAAAACAAATCCCTATGCCCAAGCTGCTCTCAGATCGATGAAGCAAATCAGTGCCTCCAGAGATGACAGCCCAGCGTCTGCGCTGGTCGCAGCTTCCTTGATGACTCCAGTACGCAGACAAGGTTGAGCACAGTTGCTTTAGAGAAAGACTGGGCTTTGTTTTTCTTCACTCAGGTGGTTGTGGCCCTTCCCAGAGGACAATGCAAGAAAGGCTGCAGAGTCTGGGGGACCTAGGTTCAAGTCCTGGCTTTCCCACTTACTGGCTTTGTGGCCTTGGACAAGAGAGTTGACTTTCATTTCCTCAGCTGTGCTATGGACATAATAACAGAATCTCCCTCTTGGACTTGTTTGAAGAGATCAAGCCAAGGCATCTGGAACACCTGGCATGGTGCCTGGTGGGCGTGTGTGCACTCGTGCACCCCAACACACAGCGTGAACGATTAGTATTAGCAGTGATGAATCCCTTCTTCAAACAAAATGATAGGAAGCTCAATTAATAAATAGGTATAGGTGGAACTGCTCTGTTGGAAGGGGAGGGGAGGGAGAGATGCAGGCTTCACTCTCCTTTTCTTTCTTTTTAAGAGACAGGGTCTCTCTCTGTTGCCCAGGCTGGAGTGCAATTGTGCTATCATAGCTCACTGCAGCCTCAAACTCCTGGGCTCAAGCCATCCTCCCACCTCAGCCTCCTGAGTAGCTGGGACTGCAGATATGCACCTGTGTACAGGTGTGTAAAAATTAGCCTGGCTAATTTTAAAAACTTTTTTTTTTTTAGAGATGGGGTCTTGCTATGTTGCCCAGGCTGGTCAGGTGACATTTTCAGCTTCAGAACTTCTGCAGCCCATTTCCCATCTCCTAGTGGCAAGCATCTGCCAGCCAGCTGACTGGCTAGGCCCAGGGACCACTCTGTGGCCACAGAAGTGAGCAGAGAAGGGCTCCTTAGCCTAAGTGGCTTTCTGGCCACAGGCTAATTAGTGGAGTAAGCCACCACTAGCTGAGCTCACCAACTCACCCGAAAGGCACTGCTATAAACTCCCAGTCCCCAGCCAGATGAATGTCTCTGTTTGATTTTTAGGTGTGGGATGGTGGCTAGAGGCTGGAATGTGTTTCCTAAGTAGGTGAATATCTAAGTGCCCTGTGCAGGAAGATGGTCAGGGCATGCAGGCTTGGCAAGGAGTGCTCCTTCTGGGAAAGAGCAGCTTGCCTGTTTTCCCTGTTGGGAACAGCCGTGCTTTATTCGGTTCTTGGGCAGTATTGATTGTTTCTGCCATATGCTAAAACCTAACAGGTCAAAAAAATCTCAGCCCAGTTCACAGACCTCTGCCAGCCTCAGGCTGATTCGGAGGGTGAGGCAGAAGGTACAGGCTGCAATCAGCGTGTGTGAAATTGGCTCTGCCTGGAGCTCATCTGTGCCACAAAACTGATTGTATTTCCTCTTCCCAAGGGGAGGCCGATGTGGGCCCTGCTTGTGAGAGTGGAACTTCCACTGCTTTCTTCCATTTCTTCCAATCCAGACAGCATCTTGAATTTCTCTTTTCCTAAGGGGATGTTCTTTGTACCAAGCTAATAGCTGCATAAAAGACTCAATAGTAAAGGTGTTTTTGCTTTTTCCTTCCTGAGCAAGAGCTCATTTCCAGAGTTGTTTGGGGAGAAAGTTGATATTTCATACCTAGCATGTTTAAAGTGTGTCCCTTCATTGTTCTTTAGGGATGCTATTTGAGTAAGAGTCGTAGTCACTGGGCTCTTTAATTGCAAGTAACAGAAACCAACTTGTGCTGTCCTTAGCCGGAGAGGGGAATTTCTCAAAGAAATAAAGGAGCATCTCATGGAAGCAAGGAGAGGAGTGTGGCCGTGTGCAGTGTGGCCTCAGGAACTGCAGAGGTCTCAGGGCTGCTCTGCCTCATCTCCTCTAGGCAGTCTCGCATATGTGCTGCTCATGTCTCTCTCTGCTGACTGGCTTTTACTGCCAGGCTGCAAGGAGAAATGTCACTGTCACTCGGAGGGCAGACTCATCACTGCCACTCAAGAGATATGCTCAGAAGAACTAGCATCTTTCAGAACCGCTTCTCAGGACAGAGAACCTCACTGGTCACATTCCATCAGCAAGACCAATGGCGATGGCTGATGGCCCAGCAGCGGTCCTCTCAGCCAAGGTCTCCAGATCTAAGGATCACAGTTACCTGTGGGAATTTGTTTTCTTAATTTAATTTTTAAATGAATTTTCTTTAACACAGGCCCAACTCCGCCCCCTAGAATCTCTGAGTGGGGTCTGGGACTCTGTATTAAAAATTCATCTATAGATATGGCCACGTGCAGTGGCTCACACCTGTAATCTTAACACTTTGGGAGGCTGAGGCAGGTGGATCACTTGAGGTCAGGAATTCAAGACCAGCCTGGCCAACACGGTGCAACCCCATCTCTACTAAAAATACAAAAATATTAGCCAGGCGTGGTGATGCATGCCTGTAATCCCAGCTACTCAGGAGGCTGAGGCAGGAGAATCACTTGAACCCGGGAGGTGGAGGTCGCAGTGAGCCGAGATTGTGCCACTGCCCTCTAGCCTGGGTGACAGAGTGAGACTCCATCTCAAAAAAAAAAAAAAAAAAATTCTATAGATTCTGATGATAAATTAGATTTATTTATATTTTAATACAAATAGAGGTCTTGCTATGTTACCCAGGCTGATCTCAAATTCCTGGGCTCAAGTGATCCTCCTGCCTTGGCCTCCCCAGTAGCTGAGATTACAGGCATGAGCCACCATGCCCAGGGTCAATACATCAGATTTGAGAGCCACTGAAACACAGTTTTTGGTATCCATGAATGTTTCTACTAAAGTCTAATGAGAGCCTGCCTATTAAGCTATCTATTCGTGGAGGCTAGACCTATACAGCTGGAGTGAGCAATTCGTTTCAGTGCAAGTATACGTAAGTGGGATGGGGAAGTCCCTACCCTACAGAGCACTGGCTGTAGAACCAGTCTAGTGGAAATCTGAGAAGCCAGCTTAGGGCTGAACGTAATATTACTACTTTTTTTTTTTTTTTTTTTTTGAGACAGAGTCTCACTCTGTCGTCCAGGCTGGAGTGCAGTGGCACGATCTCTGCTCACTGCAAGCTCCACCTCCCCGGTTCACGCCATTCTCCTGCCTCAGCCTCCAGAGTAGCTGGGACTACAGGTGCCCGCCACTACGCCCAGCTAATTTTTTGTATTTTTGTAGAGACAGGGTTTCACCGTGTTAGCCAGGATGGTCTCGATCTCCTGACCTCGTGATCCGCCTGACTCGGCCTCCCAAAGTGCTGGGATTACAGGCTTGAGCCACCACGCCTGGCAATATTACTACTCTTAAGGGCTTCGTGGTCAGGACTCTAAGGTGAGATTTCAGAACAGTTCTCACCATGTGAAATCTGGCTCAGTGTTAGCAAGATGATGATGCAGGTGTGGCAGGTCAGGGTGAGAGTCAAGGGCAGGTTTGGAATCTCTATCTGCACATTGAGGAAAAGGAGAACTCCACTGGGAAAATACCGTCTTGGAGACTCCAGTGGTGTTTCATGTTTCTGTGTTTCTGTTTCTTCAACATGCTGTGTCTGCTGCTTGGTAAACGATTGCTTCTCTTTCTAATGTCATGATTTGTTCTTCAAGGCTTAGCTTGTGTTTCCACCTGAAAGAGCCCTCTTTGACCCCCTAGTCCATTAAGCTTTGCTTCTGCTCCTACACTGTCCTCTGTGTACTTTGGCCACATCATGGATTGTAATTATTTCTCCATCATCTCCAGTTGATGATGGGTAGTTGGCAATTTGCTAACTAGACCTACCTGTATGGGGGCCAGTGTGAACTCTCCTACTGAACTGACGCAGTGATGTGTCTGCTGACCTGGTCGCTGGCTTCCCTTCTGTTCCTCACATCCTCCTGATTCCCACACCAAAGTCACCTCGCTTCTTTCAACAATCTCAGCACCATTCCAGGATCCGGGATCACTTATCCGCTAATCAGAGAAAATGTAAGGAGCTCTAGACTTGTTGCCCTGCATCCAGCATGCCATGCTAACAAGGACATCCTTTCGCACCATGATGGATTTTGAAGATGTTTTATTTGAAGATGTTTTATCTTACTCTGATACCCTCGCTAAATCAGCTGTAATTCACTACCCATAATTCAGATGATATCCTATTTAACTCCGACAACAACCCTATGAAGAGTTTTGTAAGGAAAATTGGGAGCTCATAAAGGTTAAGTAACTTGCTGAGGTCCCACCACCAGTAAGTCTCAGAACCAAGATCTAAACCCAGGTCTAATTCCAATCTCTTATAGCCTTAAACACCATGCTACACCGTAGGCCTCTTTTGAAACTTACTTTACATTGTTAACTATCTTTCCCTGCTTATGCCTTATTTTCTCAATTAGAATTAAATATTCAGTAAATATTTCTTTGTTGAATATAAACAATACAATTATGGCCTGTAGTCCCAGCTACTCAGGAGGCTGAGGTAGGAGGATGGCTTGAGCACAGGAGTTCAAGTTCTGCCTGAGCAAGATAGTGAGACCCTGTCTCCAACGAAAATAAAACAAAAATAATCTCTCCAATAAACAACACAATTATGGATAGTGTGTCACTGGACTGAACTTTAAAAAAGCTTCCAAAATTGCCCAACCTCTCATGGAATACCAAATACATAATAATTTTCTAGAACTATCTATTTAAAAGTTTCTACCAAAGTGAGTCTAGGCCTATTTGCATCTCATCTGCCTATCATGGATGATGAAAAGATTTCTCCACAATTGTCTCCATCTTCCATAAGAGATGTTCCTGAACTCCAAAGAACCACCACTTCCTCTGAGCTCTTTGATTTAGGCCTGGCCTCTACATGCTTGGGTGAAGAATGTAAAAAGTAAGACAGAATGATGGGGTCCAGGCACAGCTCTGATTATTCATAATTGAGTCACAAAAGCGTCACAAAAGCTGGGCTTGAAACTGGGTGGTTGGGGGAGGGTGCTGCATACACAGGTTTCACCTACATATCTGAGCCACACAAAAACACACTCATTGCTTGTCTTAAAGGTGGGAGTTTCAAGAAGACACAAGTGTTTTGAAGGATGTCAGAAATGGTTTGCATCAATTATACACGAAGAAGTAGAATAACACCTTAAAAATAAATCCGAATTATGTACCCCTTCCACAGTCAAGCATGGTTCCAAGGCCAGAAACCTAAAGAGATGCCCTTAGACGTAAGAGTAGAATCAAACACAATCTATTCCAACAGCAGAAATGAAGTGTCTACTGCCAGGAAGTGCAGCCACACCTTTCTTCTCCAGATCCTTGCAGACTGCAGAGCATGTGCCGGGGGACATACGGCACTGCGCGTGGGAGCATGCAGGGTAACTGACTGAAGCAGGTGCACGTGTAGGTTGAGCATCCCTTCTCTGAAATGCTAGGGACCAGAAATGTTTCAGATTTTGAATCTTCTCAGATCTTGGAATATCCGTATTATATTGATATTTATTCGTTGAGCATCACTAATCCGAAATCATGACAACACTCAAAAAGCTTCAGATTTTGGATCGTTTCTGATTCTCGCACTAGGGATGCTCAACCTGTGTTACCTCCTCAAAGCATAACACTTCCCTCCAGTTTTGTTAGCTAACTTTCATTCTGGACACAAGGACCCATCGCATCTAGGCTTCCTCCAGGGCCACAAAGCCCCAGAAGGCCTGCGGTGTGACAAATGACGCTACCTCCTCAAAGAACAGGGAACTGGCAGATTTGAGTATAATGGGAGGGTGTTCCCTGACTTGAGTGACACAAGAGTAGGCTGTGTGTGTGTTGGAGGCGGGAGAGGGCGTAGCAGTTGAGGAAATAAGCATCTGTTTGTTTCTTAATGTATAAAATTTAAAACGCTGGTGACACCTATGAAATACTCAAGAAATTGGATCTCAAAAGAGAGATCAGGGCAATAGATTTTAGGAACCTTTTGCAGAGAAGGGATAGTTGAAATCTTGTGTGCCACAGAGAGAAATTATCGCAAAGGGAGGACCAAGGACACAGCGTACAAAACATACGCTGGGTGAGGCATTCTGGCAATGCAGCCTCCAAGTTCCTTCTCTTTTCTGTGCAGACATTTCTCTTGGCCTTGAGGAATTCCTAATGCTTATCTTATTCTACTACATCTAATTTCTTTCCCCCAGGTGGGTTTGGTTTGTTCTTGCTTTTCCAGTTCCTTGAGGTACTCTGTTAGGTTGTTCATTTAAAAATCTCTTGGCTGGGTGCGGTGGCTCATGCCTATAATCCCAGCACTTTGGGAGGCCAAGGTGGGAGGATCACCCAAGGTCAGGAGTTCAAGATTAGCCTGGCCAACATGGTGAAACCACGTCTCTACTAAAAATACAAAATCAGCTGGGCGTGGTGGTGCATGCCTGTATTCCCAGCTACTCGAGAGGCTGAGGCAAGAGAATCGCCTGAACCCGGGAGGCAGAGGTTGAAGTCAGCCGAGATCACGCCACTGCACTTCAGCCTAGGCGACAACAGCGAAACTCTGTCTAAAAAGAAAGAAATCTCTCTAGTTTTTAAATGCAGCCACGTATTGCTATAAACTTGCCTCTCAATACTGTTTTTGCTAGGTCTCATAGGTTTTGGTACACTGTGTTTCTATTTCATTTGTTTCAAGGAAGTTTTAAATCTCATTCTTAATTTCTTCTTTCACCCATTGATCATTCAGGAGCATGTTGTTTAATTTGCACGTGTTTGTTTAGTTTTGAATGTTCCTTGTTACTGATGCCTAGTTTAATTCCGTTGTAGTCAGATAAGATGTTTGATACAATTTCGATTTTTTAAAAGCTCTTGAGACTTGTTTTGTGTCCTAACCTATGGTCAACCCTGGAGAATGTTCCATGTGCCGATGAGAAGAGCGTGTATGCCTCAACACACCTGATTTTTAAAAGCTCCCCCTCCTACTCTCCTACCTTCCTTGTATTCTCTCTTGGGAGAATACAAGGAAGTTGCCTGTAGTAAGGAATGTAGGATTTAACATAAATTTTACGACTTAAGGTTTCTTTGTATTTTACTTGTTTCTCCTGAATTTCCAGAATCATCCCTAATACGTTGTTGCTTGGAATTCCCACATTTTTCTCACCAGACACACAGAATGAACAAAAGTCATGCTCATTGTTCCCCCACTGTACTCTTCATGCGTTTTAGGCAGGCGAGCAGAAGTGCAGCGTAATCGCTGAAACACTCAGCGGAGCAAGTGCCTGGGGGCTCAGCTGTCTGCACTGAAAACGGTCTCATTACGCTATACCTTGTATGCATGCAATTTCAGCATGGCCCAGGACTGAGTAAGCACTAGACCGAGGTGGGAATAATGCTAACCCAGGTGTTACTGACTTTATCTAAAGGAACTCAAAAGGCTTGGTGCTGGCGGGCTGATGGAGAGGCTTCTTGACAATGAGGCAGGGGCAGGTTTGTGCTCCACTCTCCTTACAAAAGTCTAAGTTCGTTTTGTCAGCGCTAAGGAAGTCCTAAACAAGAACCTTATCAAATGTGAACTAACACACACCCCCCCACACACACACACTATATTACTGATGAAAACATTTTATTAACATACAAAAATAACAGAAATTTTCAACACTGGACCAGAGGTCTTCATGTGGGATATGTCTAACCCTAGGGCCACCTTGAAACCTTCTAAGGGGTGCCTCAGCAAGGGTAATTTTACAGGATGACCTAATTAATTTGGAATTTAAGGTAATTCTGAGCTTTCATACAGCCCTCTAACAAAAGCAAAACCGTGGCATCCACACTATTTCTTCCGTTCTACAAAACAAAGACACCACTCACCTTCCCAGCTCACTTGGCACTGCTGCCCCAAGGCGTTAGCGAACACAGAGAACAAAGCAGAAGCCTCCTACCACCCGGAAAGTCTCAAGTCAGCTTAAGGCCTTAGGGCTTTGTGACTTTCCCCGTTCTAAACTTCCGTAAAAGGGGATTTAGAAATGGGGATGTTTGGGGACTTGTTAGGATATTCAAAATGTGAATATGTGGTAAAGTGAAAGTAATGATTTTTATTGAACAAATTGGCCACTTCCCTCTCCAAGACTCCTGTCAAGAAATAAATCACTCTTGGTGGAGGCCCCAACAGCAAAAAGCAGCAAGCATCGGTGAGAAATACTGACTGCTACAAACAGCTGTTCTTCTAAGTTACTTTTTCAACTATTTAAAAACTCATCCACAGAACAATCATTGACTGGAAGGAAAAATACCCTTGGACAGTCAAAACAAAAAGAGTTTAGTGATGCTGAATATTTTAATTGTACTTGGAATAATTTTCAGGACTATCAGAATTTTCATGAGGCACTGAATAAAACCTATAGACAAAACTGCTCACAAAAAATGAAAAAAACTGACCACAATCATTTTGTGAAATATTTACTCCAAATACAGTCAAATATGAATCTACTTCATCTTATGAAATGGGAAATATTTACTACCTCTTAACAGAAAATAAATTAGGTTCTAGATATCTGCCAGTTAGTTTTTAGCAGGATAACATTCTATAGGAAAAGCGTAATCCTAGTAAAAGTTAATATTATTAACACTAAAGAATTTTATTTGATTCTTAATTCTGCCAAAAGCCAAATACCTTAGTTCAATATACGTACACACCTATATTGAAAGAATATCTTGCCTTTCATCAACCTAACTTGCTTCCTAAATAACTTGTTTTTGCCACAGATGACTGCGACTTGTTATAAGTTAAATAAGGGAAATTTTAAATCTTGACTGTTTTCACTAATCATTTACAAAAGGTGTTCTGTGATGGTTTTTAATGATTTTTGTATGTTCAAAATTCAGTAACACAACCTGAATTTTCAAGCCAGACCTTTTTCTGACAAAGTCAGTCTGATTTGATTCATGACATGGATATTTTGCTTGATTTCATTATATGATGAACATGTATCATGAAATGAATGACTAAATCTGTAGCTCCAAGGTTTTGACGAAACATATAATAAAAATATATTTAAAGCACTAACTGTGCCAAGAGTATTATATCCTAAAAGGTGTTTTGAAAGTAACAGGTTGGATTTTCCCAACCCTTTATGAATATACTGAAATAAAGGTTTTCTAGGTTAAAGAGTAACAGGTATAATGAATAATTATTTGATAGTCTTGGTAAAGCCCTTTGGGTTTACATCCCCAAATATAAGAACGAGTAAATTCTAAGTAAACACTTCTAAAAGTTAGGCACCTTTCAAAAATTCTGTTTTCAACAAAAATAAACAAGAAACTAATCATGCTGTCAGCTGAAGAATGATTTATCATCACAGATCACAATGTGATTTTTGTCACGGAAATTAAAGAACTGAGTAAAAGCCTTTCAGGTAAAGCTATAGAATTGATGCTGGACCCCCTTTCATTCTAGCAATGTCATATTAATCCAGATATATAAACTAATTGTAAAAACATTATCTCATTAAAGTATTTCCAAAAATTTTAATATATTTACATCTTGATCCATTATGCAAATGACTGAGTAAATATAGAAGAAACTTCACACATCCTTACGGTCACAATAAATAGATCTCCGTGCAATGTAGCCTCCACCTGCTGGGCTCAAGCAATCCTCCCAAGTCAGCCCCCCAAGTAGATGGGACTACAGGCTTGTGCCACCACGCCCAGCTAAGTTTTGAATTTTTTGTAGAAACAGGGTTTCACCATGTTGCCCAAGCTGGTCCAGAACTGAGCTCAAGCAATCCACCCACCTCAGCCTCCCAAAGTGTTAGGATTACAGGCATGTGCCACTGCACTCAGCCATATATAATTTTAAATGTATATACACTTGTTACAAAGATGTATGATAGTATGATCAATGACTTTCAGGCAGAAAAATACAGAGTAAAACCTGATGACAAGCTATAACATGAAAACTGGATGTGAATGTGGTGTCTCCCTCTCTCAAAATATCTTGTTACTGCACCTTGGGTAACTGAAACTATGGAAAGCAAAACCACGGATAAGAGGGGACTACTGTATTACATTAGAATAAAACCTTGTGGGAGAACTGCACCAAAAATAGAAGTTCCAGGAGAAAGAGGAATTTTAAAAGCCTTTATGTATTTTCTATGCAGATGATGGTACTAAATTTCTATGGTATGGAGACTCCACTGATTATATAATGAAGCCTGTTTTGTTTTAAATGTCAATATTTATACTATGAACTTAGGAATAGCTTTAAATGTGCAAATAGGTACAGTTTCCTTTTCAAACAATTTTTTTCAAGTATTAGGGAGTACTTGTGCAAAAAAGTTTGAAAAATCAGTGCTCAACACAAAGGAAAGGCAACCAATGACCTTTTTCAAGGCCAAAGATACTTGGAGCAGATTTTTTTTTTTTTTTTTTTTAATCAGCAATGTACAGACTGAACTACTAGGAAGGACAGCTTAACATTTGTTTGCTTTTCCTGGCACCTAGGGGGAAAGTCAAGCATAGACAGGGATTAAACATTTCTACTCGAGACAGAGCCTCTAAAAATTTATTTATGGTGCACAGTAAAAGGAAAGGGGATAGCTCCTATCTGTAACTCTGCCAAAACAGTAACTCATTCATCACGGCAGTCAGGACTTACGCTACCTTTTGCAATTTCAGGAACAGGTACTAACCTTACAAGATACATTTTACCATCACTAATTATTTTTAACTAAGCACCCATTGTGTCTTAGGTTCTTGAGATACAAGTAAGAACCTGTGCCTGAATAATTTACACTCCTGTTGGGGAAACAGAAAAAAAAAAAACCCAACAATACAGTACATATGAATCTCTGCAGCACAAATGAAGGGCCCAATGAATGTAACAAAAGTGCAATGAACAAATAGAGGGAGTTGTTGCCAAAGGTCCGGGCTGTCTGGGAATAAGTCTGAAATCACAGCAGGTCTTTAACAAAACAGAATCAAGAGAATAAGACTGATGGGCTAACTTCCTGGGGACAGAAGTAGGATGGTGCACATGCGACTCAACGCGAGTGTGATGGTGAGGGGAGTAACTATTACCCTAGAGCAGATGGTTACTGTAAAAGTTGGCAGACAGAAATCAGACTGTGAAGGGTCTTATATGCCAACAGAGAGCTGAGTTTTATCCCATCAGAAATGTGAAGGTTTCTGAGATCAGTGTGCAAAGCAACATTTTAGGAAGGTTTTTTATGACAGTGGTATACAGGAAGAGACAGCAAGAGAGAAGTCTGTTAAATTTTAGCAATAGTCTGTGTAGCAATGATGATAACAGAGGCTGGGGTGAGGATAAAGTGACTGGACAATAAAGGACATTGTGCTAAAAGGGGGAGGGAGGGACTATGAGTTTCATGGTTTCAATCCTATGTGACTGTGATAATCATGGTCCCACTGACAAAAATAAATCCAAAGGGAAAACAGGTCTATGTTCAAAGGTGCAGAGTCGGCAAGCAAGAATGGACACTTCAAGGGGAAGGCTCAATCGCTGCCCTCCATCAATCTGCCATCACCAGTGATGGTGTGCCACACTACATTAGCAAACAGAAAATCACAACCTTGCTCCTCTTTTGTTCTTTTACTCAATAGAAAAAAAAAATGACTTGTATTCTAAACTTGCTCTTGATCATACTATATACAGGCATACCTCAGAGATACTGCAGGTTCAGTTCCAGACCACTGCAATAAAGGGAGTATCACAATGAAGCAACTCACACAAATGTTTTGGCTCCCCAGTGCATATAAAAGTTAAATTTAAACAATAGTCTATGAAGTGTGCAAAAGCATTATGTCTAAAAAATACATATATACCTTAAAGATTAAATTTCTAGAAAAAGGTAACAATCATGAGTGTTCAGCAAGCCATAATCTTTTTGCTGGTGTAGGATCTTGCCTCAAACGTTGAGGGCTACTGAGTGATCAGGGTGGTAGGTGATGAAGATTGGAGTGGCTGTGGCAGTTTCTCAAAATGAGACAACAATGAAGTTTGCTCCATCAACTGATATTTGTGCTTTCACAAAAGATTTCTCTTTATCATGCTGTTTGATAGCATTCTATCCACAGACCTTCTTTCAAAATTAGAGGCAATCCTCTCAAACCACGCCACTGGTTTATCAATTAAGCTTATGTAATATTCTAAATCCTTTGCTGTCATTTCAAGAATGTTTACAGCATCTTCACCAGGAATAGATTCCATCTCAAGAAATCACTTTCTTTGCTTATCTGTAAGAAGTAATTCCTCAAGTTTTATCATGAGGCTGCAGCAATTCAGTCACATCTTCACTTCTAGTTCTCTTGGTATTTCCACCACATCAGCAGTGACTTCTTCCACTGAAGTCTTGGGCCCCTAAAAGTCATCCATGAGGACTGAAATCAACTTCTTGCAAATTCCTGTTAAGGTTGATATCTTTACCTCCTCTCACGAATCACAAATGCTTGTAATGGCATTCAGAATAGAATGGTGAATCCTTTCCAGAAGGTTTTCAACTGACTTTGCCTAGATCCATCAGACGAATCACTACCTATGCTAACTACAGCCTTATGAAATGTATTTATTAAATAGTAAGACTTGAAAGCCAGAACTACTACTTGATCCATGGGCTGTGGAATGGATATTGTGTTTGTAGGCATTAAAACCAACATTAATCTCCTTATACAACTCCATCAGAACTCCTGGATGACCAGATGCATTGTCAATGAGCAGTCATATTTTGAACAGATTTTTTTTTTTCCTGAGCACTAAGTCTCAACAGCAGGCTTCAAATATTCAGTAAATGATGTAGTAAACAGATGTGCTGTCATTCAGGCTTTGCCGTTCCCTTTATAGAGCACAGGCAGAGTAGATTTAGCATAAGGGCCCTAGGATTTTCAGAATGGTTAATGAACACTGACTTCAACTTAAACCAGCTACATTAGCCCTTAACAACAATCAGCCTGTCCTTTGAAGCTTTGAAGCCAAGCACTGACTTCTCTCCAGCTATCAAAGTCCTAGATGTTATCTTCTTCGAATAGGCTATTTCATCTACATTGAAAACCTGTTGTATGGTGTGGCCACCTTCATTAGTTATCTTAGCTAGATCTTAGCTAGATAACTTAGCTAGATCTTAGCTAGATAACTTGCTATAATTTCTACATCAGCACTTGCTGCTTTACCTTGCACTGTTTTATGGAGACAGCTTCTTTCTTTAAATTTCATGGACCAATCTCTGCTGGCTTCAAATTTTTCTTCTGCAGCTTCCTTACCTCCCTCAACCCTCACAGAATATGAGACAGTTACAGTCTTGCTCTAGATTAGGCTTTGGCTTAAGGAAATGTTGCAGTTTGATTTTTTATCCACACCACTAAAACTTTCTCCATATCAGTAATAAGGCTGTTTTGCTTTCTTATCACTTGTGTGCTCACTGGAGCAGCACTTTTAATTTCCTTCAACAACTTTTCCTTTGGGTTTACAACTTTGCTAATTTGGATCAAAAGGCATAGCTTTCAGCCCGTCTTAGCTTTTGACATGCCTTCCTCTTTAAGATTAATCATTTCTAGTTTTTGATTTAAAGTGGAAGACATGTGACTCTTCCTTTCACCTAAACACTTAGAGGCCACTGTAGGCTTATTAATTGCCCTAATTTCAATATTGTGTCTCAGGGAATAGGTAGGTCTGGAGAGGGAGCGATGGGGAAAACACAGACATTTATCAATTAAGTTCGTTGTCTTATATGGGTGTGGTCTGTGGTGCCCCAAAACCACCATGATAGTAACATCAAAAGTCACTGATTACAAATCACCCTAAGAGAGATAATAATAATCAAAAAGTTTGAAATATAGGGAGAATTACCAAAATATGAGACATGAAGTGAAAGTATGCTGTTGGGAAAATGACATAAATAGACTTTCTCCACACAGGATTCACACAAACTTTCAGTATGTTAAAAAACAAAACAAAACAAAATAGTATCTGCGAAGCACATAAAGAGAAGTGCAATAAAATGAAGCATGCCTTGTGGCTCCACAATGATTGAGCAGTATTCATCCTAAAACAAATCTAATGAAATTTACCTTGAGAACATTCACTTGCAAGTAGAAAAGCAGATCTGGTTTAAAGCCTCGGGCATCCGCCCCTTACCCAAGTCTTGGTAAGGAATCCAGAAAAACAAGTACTTCCACCTCTTCATCAGTCAAACTTAAGCCCTTTAGCCTCTGTGTCATTATAAACTCAAGACACTAACATTTCTAATCTCAAGAACATGGAGGAAATTTTAAAGCAAAAATCGTTCTCCTTCTCCACTTATCCCCATCTCCGAAAAAACCTTAGAGCTGGTCACATTAGAAGTTAACAGTATTTTATATTGTTTCATTCAAAGAATGAACATCAAATTACCTCCTGATTTGCAACATTTAGTACAATCGCATTGAAAATGTCTAGTTTAAACCATACAGGAAGATGTTTATTCTACCTAGGACAACCTACCTGTTCCTGGAATATCAGGTTAAGCCAAAGTCTACAACGGGAGGCAGCATAGCACAGAGATAAAGAGCAAGGCTCAAGCCATACTGCCAGAATCTACAGCTCCCACTACTTAAACTTTGGCAACTTAACCGCTCTGGACCTCAACTTTCCCATCTGTAAACTGCAGAGAATGCCTCTCTCCATCACCAGATTCTTACTAAACAATGGAGTAAAGTACTTAACAGTGCTCCATAAATGTCTGATGCAAGTATCATTATTGTACCTTAACATTCAGCTCTACGCTCTCATCACAGTCGCATTTCTTGTTTGTTGATGGAACTTATATATTGCATTACATAAGGGAGGTAAGGGTAGGCAAACTTTCTCCATAAAGGGCCAGACAGTAGTATTTTTGGCCTTGCTGGCCAGATGGTGCCACTGATGCAGCTATTCAACTCTGCCATTGTAGCACAAAAGTGGTCAGAGATGACATGAAAACAAATGAGAATGGTAGTTCTTTCCAAAACTTTATTTAGAGAAACTAAAATCTCGTAATTTTCGTATTATACAAAATATTATTTTGAGCCATTAACAAAAGGGAATATAAAAACCATAGTTTGTAGGCCATACAAAAATAGGCAGCAGGCCAGATTTGGCCCATGGGTGGTAGTTTGCTGACCCCTGCTCTAGATTAACAAATTTACGGGCTTTGGAAGCTTTGTGGGGCAAGGAGGCTTGATATACAGGTTGGTGGTGCAGAACAAAGAGGAAATTTCTAAGTATAATAGAAAAAAGATGTAATGCTGTCCTTCATGTATCAACGCTGGATTCAACTATGTGCAAAACATTTTATCATATGTCGCTGGAATCAAAGATGCAGAAGTCACAGTCTCTGGTCTCGAGGAGCATATACTTCTCCATGGTAGCTTAGAAATGGAAAGTCTTCCTTCAAAGTACAATACATCCTTCTCAGACTTTGACAATGCACCCGTGCGTGCTCATCTGTGAGGCAGGTAGTTTCTTTGGCAACTACAGCTGAGGCCAAACATGCATTATTATCTTGACCACCTGTGCTTCTTCCCCTCCCCAGTAATCATACCAGTTTTTCTCCTGGTCTCCAAATTATTCTGTTTTGCATTATCATTTTGGGGATAATACTTGGGATGATATACTAAAAGTCAACTGGTCACATCTTTTTAAAAATTACCATTTTAATTAGTCTTCAGAGATACCCTCTCTCTCTTAATAGGTAACATGCTTGTGACACCTGTGTTTTTTTGTTTCAATCCAGGCAGAAACTTCTCCCTAGGAGGCAGGATAAATGGATCTATCTCAAGGCAACAAAGACACATCACAAAAACATTTTTTTCAGAGCAAATGTTAAATACTTGATCCAACAGAACACAAATAAAGATAAAATGTAATGCTCTATTATATACTTCAGTTGGTTATAAAGATTGCGGATTTGAAAAAAATCAGCAGAAATCCACTATGTCAATGTCAGAGCATATGAAGCATAGAATAAAAGTTAACACAGCTAATAATAAATTGTTTGTAAATACTAAGTAACTATTAATAAGAAACAATAATAGAATATACTAATATTGTTTTCATGGACATCCATCTCTTACGTGTTTCCTTGTAAAAAGTTGTACTATTTGTCTTTCAAAGACAACACAATAAAAGTCAGAGTAAAAAGCAGTACTCTCAATGTTTAGTATCATCTCATCAGCAAAATCCCAAATCAAATTGGAGGGGAGGACAGAGACTCAACAGAGGAATTAAAATGGGTTAAGACAGTAAAATCTATGGCTGAGCGCAGTGGCTCACGTCTGTAGGAGGTCAAGGTGGGCAAATCACTTGAGGTCAGGAGTTCAAGACCAGCCTGACCAACATGGTGAAACCCCGCCTCTACCAAAAATACAAAAATTAGGCGGGTGTGGTGGCACGCGCCTGTAATCTGAGCTACTCAGGAGGCTGAGGCAAGAGGATCACCTGAGCCCAGGAGGCGGAGGTTGCAGTGAGCCAAGATCGCACCACTGCACTCCATCCTGGCAGACGAGCAAAAACTCTGTCTCAAACAACAACAACAACAAAATAGGGTACTGAGAGCTTATAATGTTGAAGTTCTTAAAAAGAAATACAACATGAGCTTGTTGGTACTTGGCGAAAGTGAAAACAGGCAAAGAAATTAGCAGATAGAGCTAAAAAAACTGGAAACGTAATATTTCCTCGTCATCATCAGATTTTCCAATTGCAGTTTCAGCTATTCAGTATTCAGTAATACTTTACAGGTTATCGTACAGTGCTATCTGGGATGCACAAACATCTCAGCATACATCCCTCTTATCCTAAGAGTTAACTGTATAAACTTAAAGCACTTAGATTTCCTTATTTTACTATAATCTGTAACAGCTCATCTAGGAACACCACACTCTCATATGCCTTCTGTTATTTACACATTATTCTTTATGATACTGATTATATGACTACTGCTGAAAAGCAGAAATTCATTGGCTTAAGAAATCTACTGCCCTATGTAGAGAATTCCCACGCCAAGAAAAATGTCTACTTTCCTGCTTTTCACCCTATATGATATAGGTTTGGAAACCTTTGAGGAAATTCATCTGGTTATAAAATATAAATCTTTAGAATAAAGTAGCATCACAATTTTTATTAAAAGGTAAAAGGCAGGAAGCAAGCAATGTCAATGAAATTGTTCCCTGAAAGCTACAAGGAGAAAAATTCAATTCTGAAAATACATGGGTTTAGCCTCTAGATAAGAGTTTTACCTTATCAAGTCGAAATGCACATTTTAGTTTTTAGAATTAGTTAAGAATTACTCAATACTTAGCAGCCATTTACTATGTAAAATCAGAAAAACAAGTCTTTTATTGACTAACTTCACTAGTGGCCAATGAAGTTTTTTAATAACAAAAACGTAATATATGGTAGAAAGTATTGACTTTATTAACCTCACTTACGATACTGAATACAAAGTAAAATTAGGTGGTGACCCTTAATTTTCAGTCTATTTCAAAGCATGGTCCCTCAGATTTAAGAATTAAGGCATACATATGTCAAAAAAGGAAGGCGAATCAAACAACCAAATCCAAAAAGACCCCAGTGATTTATGTATTATGAAGTTTGAGCTACAGCCCTTATGATATTCCTTTTAGTACTTTCTTCTACGTTTTCATTAATTCCTTCAGTAACTGGATTTTTAACCAAACCCTATAATCCATCATAATTCTTCCAATTATGAGTTGAAAAGAAACATAGGCAGATATGTATACCAAGTACCTTACGAAATTCACCACATACATGGTGAACTTCACATATAAACTTTGAAAATCAAAAGGACTATGATATTCTTGAAATCCAAAGGCTAGATAAGATCTACCTTCCAATCATTTCTGCATTTTAAGATATGGTTTCATCTAGTGATGTTAATAAAGAAACACATTACATATTTAAACACCAGTAAGATATGACATTCAACAGAACAGCCAATAAGATTTTGCATTTTAAAACCAAAAAGAATATATCTTGAACACCTTAAATTATAAAATTCAGTTGTAAGCAGGAACTGTTACTATGTAACGAATACTGTTCATATCAAAAGTGCTGGTGACAAAGAATTCAGTATGCCTTCCTACAAAATCTGTTCACATACATGTATCTATCTCTATCACCTGTAATAAGATTTTAAATGTTTTAAGGTGCTTAAAGTTTGCACTACAGGACTAATTCAATGAGATTCATCTGCTACCTCTTCATAGCAACTTCAATTGGAATGATCCACACACAAAACTGTTACTTTCTAAAATGTGGCATTTGTGGTGGTGGAGTGCCCTCTATTGGTAAGGAAGAGGACACACTCATTAGCTGTCCTGCATGCATTTTCTCGTTGATTCGGAGTTCACACCCATCCTGAAGCATTCGAACTGCTATTCGGGCGATATTCTTAGAGTCATCAAGACCACAGTGAGGCCGCCCATCATAATCCATTCCTAATTTTTCAAGCATTATTGTCAGTTTGGTTTGGCTTCTAGGAACCTGAAAAATAAACAGCTTAGTAAATAATTCTTTGGTGTTCTAAACTGTAATATAAGCCACAGTTAAGATGAAAAATAAGAAACTGAAAATTAGCACTAACAGCTAAATAAAGCTAGGCAAAGGGCAATACCCCCACTCAAATAAGGCAAATAAAAAATTCAGGCCAGGCAAGGTGGCTCACGCCTGTAATCTCAGCACTTTGGGAGGCCAAGGTGGGCAGATCACTTGAGGTCAGGAGTATGAGACCAGCCTGGCGAACATGGTGACACCCCATCTCTTCTTAAAATACAAAAAAATTAGCCAGGCGTGGTGGTGCACATCTGTAATGCCAGCTACCTGGGAGGCTGAGGCAGGAGAACTGCCTGAACCTGGGAGGTGGAGGCTGCAGCGAGCTGAGATCATGCCAATGCACTCCAGCCTGAACAACAGAGCGAGACTCCATCAAAAAAACCCTGAAATTTTCAGAGCTTTAAAATATGATCTTAAGAGTTTCAGCTGAAAATACAGACAGGATCCTCAGACATCTAAAAACTCTGCAGTTTTTTAATTTAAAAATAATTTATTAAAGGGAATGTATTGTTCAGGACATGTAAGTTGAAGATCTACCTTTTTATTTTTAAACCAAGTTAGTTATTTTACATGGTATTTTTCTATAGTGTATTACTTTACTTGACTGATTTCTTAGATAAAAAGACTAGCCTTTTTGGATGGCTAAAGATAATGAAGATTAAGAATGAAAGATGATGTGGTGTGGTATTTTTCAGGTTATTTAAAAACCTGTTCCTTGATAAGTTAAAAAAAAAAAAAAAAAAAAAAAAACTCTCACACTCCCCAAATTCCAATATGTGCCTCCACTTTTAAGAATTATTGGCTGGGTGTGGTAGCTCACGCCTGTAATCCCAGCACTTTGGGAGGCCAAGGCAGGTGGATCACCTGAGGTCAGGAGTTCAAGACCAGCCTGGCCAACATGGTGAAACCCCATCTCTACTAAAAATATAAAAATTATCTGGCTATGGTGGCGTGCGCCTGTAATCCCAGCTACTCGGGAGGCTGAGGCAGAAGAATCCCTTGAACCCGGGAGGCAGAGGTTACAGTGAGCCAAGATCACTCCACTGCACTACAGCCTGGGCGTCAGAGTGAGGTTCCATCTCAAAAAAAGAAAAAAAAAATTGTTATATTTTCTTCATATTTCTATCAAGATTTGTTAAGTTTTACATTCTGTAGTTTGTACAACTATTTTGCCTATGCATCTTGGACCTCAGCTTCTTCATCCGTAAAATGGGACTAACAGCTCTAATATTTACTCATAGGGTTACTGGGATAATCACAAAGCAAATGATGTAAAACACCTATAATTATCTTAAGCTGTAATACTGCAATATACCCTGTACCTTCCACTAATTATCACTTGGAAAACGCACTTCTAAAAATAGTTTGCCCAACACACTGGATAACTTAGGTAGAAGAGACAAATTCCTGGAAATACACAACTTAACAATAATTGAATTACAAAGAAACAGAAAATCGGAATAGACCTATACCTAGGAAGGAGACTGAATCAGTAACTGAAAACCTCTAACAAAGAAAAGCGCTGAACCAGATAGCTTTGCTGCTGAATTCAAGCAAATATTTAAAGAATTAGAACCAAGTCTCCTCAAACTACTACAAAAAAATTGAAGAAGAAATACTTCCCAACTCATTCCATTAAGGTCAGCATCACTTTGATACAAAAGCCTGACAAAGACCTCATGAGGAAAGAAAATTACAGATCAATATCCCCTACAATTATCATGTTGCAATAATCCTTGACAAAATATAAGCAAATTTAAATCAGCAGCATATTAAAACAATTATGTGCCATGACCAAGTAGGATTTTATCCTGAAATGCAAGGATGGCTCAACATTTAAAAAATAATGTTAACACAAGCATTAACAGAAGGAAGGAGTGCAGTAATTGAAAGAGAGTGGTATTAGTATAGACATACAAACTAATAAAACCGAAGAGAGTCTAGAAATAAACTTTCACAAATACATTGAATCAATGGGGAAAAAACAACAGCCTTTTCAACAAACGGTGTTGGGAAAACTGAATATCCACGTGCAAAAGAATGAAGTTGGACCCTTACCTTACACCACATAACAAAATTAACTTAAAATTGATCAAAGACCTAAATGTAAGACATTCAATTATAAAATTCTTAGAATAAAACATATGGAAAAGGCTTTATGACAATGGATTGGACAATGATTTCTTGGATGTCACCAAAACACAGGCAACAAAAGAAAAAATAAAGTAGACTTCATCAACATTAAAAACCTTATTACTAAAGACGTTATCAGTAGAGTGAAATGGCAACCCATGGAACAGAAGATACATTTGCAAGTATATATCTGATAATGAATTAATATCCAGAATAAAGAACTCCTACAACTCAAAACATCATGATACCTCATTTAGTAAATGAGGAAAGAATCTGAATAGACATTTCTCCAAACATGATATGCCAATGGCTAAAAATCACATGAAAAGATGCTCAACATCACTAATCATTAGGGAAATACAAATCAAAACCACAATGAGATACCACTTCACACCCATTAGAATGGCCATAAACACACACACACACACACACACACACATACACACACACACCAGAAAATAACAAGCATTGACAGAGATGTGGAGAATGTAGTACTTTGTGCATTGCTGGCAGGAATGTAAAATGGTACAGCCACTGTGGGAAACAATGTGGAGATTCCTCAAAAAAATTAAACATAGAATTAGCACATGCTCCACCAACTCCTATTCTGGTTATACAGGAAGAAGAATGGTATCTGTACATCCATGTTCATAACAGCACTATTCATGATTGCCAAAACATGGAAGTAACTTAAATGTCCATCAAACAATCAATGGATTTTTTTTTTTTTAACGTGGTACAGGTTAAATATTCCTTATCTGAAATGCTTGGGACAGAAGTGCTTTGGATTTGAAATTTTTTGGATTTTGAAATATTCAACATTTACATTACACCACTTTTGCATCACTCATCCGAAAATCCAAAATTCCAAAACCTGAAATGCTCCAATGAGAATTTCTTTTGAGTACAATGTCAGTGCCCAGAAAGTTTCAGATTTTTGGAGCATTTCAGATATTGAATTTTTGGATTAGGTATACTCAGCCCGTAAATACATACAATGAATTCTTATTCTGCCTCAGAAAGGTAGAATTCTGACACATGATACAACATGGATGAACTTTAAAGACATTATGCTCAGTGAAATATGCCAGTCACAAAAGATCAAATACTGTACGCCTCCACTTATAAGAGGTATATAGATAAGTCAAACTGATAGAGACAGAAGAATGATGATTGCCAGGGTTTGGCAGGAAAGGGAAGTTCAACAGGCACAGAGTTTCACTTTTGGAATATGAGAGTTCTGGAGAATGATGTGGTGATGGTTGTGCAATAATGTGAATGTACTTAATGCCACTGAACTGTTGTGCACTTAAAAATGATTGAGAGCATTTTTAAGTGAACAACAAGTGTTATACAGGGTGGGCATTCCTAATCCCAAAAACCCAAAATCTGAAATGCTCTAAAATCCGAAACTTTTTGAGGGCCAACATAACGTCACAAGTGGAAGATTACACACCTCATGTGATGGTTCGCAGTCAAAACACAGGTACATGACACATGCTTAATTTATGTGTAACTAAGAAAGCTATTGCTTATTGGTAGCATCAGGAAAGATGATGCCAAACAACCAGACTGTCCATATCAGTGGCTGAGACAGTGACAGTTCTGCTTTCTAATGGCTCAATGTACATACACTGTTTCATCCACAAAACTGTATGAAACTTAACTTCAGGCTCTGTGTATGAGGTATATATGAAACAAAAATGAATTTCATATTTAGAGTTGGGTCCTATCTCTAAGGTATCTCATTATGTATATGCAAATATTCCAAAATCTGAAAAAAACCCCAAATCTCAAACATTTCTTCTGGTCCCAATCATTTCCAATTAGGGATACTCAACCTGTATTATGTACATTTTAACCACACACACACACACAAAAAAAAGATTAAAATGAAAAGTCCTAGAGAGTGCCCAAAAAAGAGTTATTAACTTTATTAAACAAAGGCCCAGTCACTTCATCGTGTTTTTAAAAATGATGTGAAATCTAGACAAAGAACAAACCAACCTCTTGCTTCCTCTGGCTTAGCAAGGAAAAGTTCTCAATCAAGTGGCTGAGTTGAAAGGTGAACAAGAGGAAAACAAAAAGGCCAGATTTTGCTGAGCAGTTGGAAGAAGCGCTGCAAAACGCAGCCTCCTTACAGACATTTTTCATCACATGAATCAGCTGAACAAGTCCCTATAAGAAGCTGGAGAAAATGTTTGACTTCAAGTGACAAGATTCTTGCATTTCAAAGGTAACGGAGTATGTCTTTGGAAATAATCATGTTACAACAGAAAACCTTAAAATGTCCACCTTTTGCTTGGGCTTGATATCAAGTGAGGAAAGCTATTGGAAAGTCTCAAGTCTGAGTGCCACATGGAAAAACTGTAGGAGATAATTAAATATTTTTCCTCCCTTTCAACACCAGCATATGATTAGGTAAGGGATCCTTTCTCTGAATCTCTGCTCAGCCTGAGAATCTGACTTCAAGAAAAGAGCTTTATAGGTACAATCTGACTGTACACCAGAGACAGACTTAATGCTCTACCCCCAGAAAAGTTGTGGATTTCTGCAAAGTATCCTGTCATTCATTTGAAAGCAGTAACACTTCACTGCACTTTCAACTTTCTACATGTGTAAGCAAGCTTTTTTTTTAACATGCATGAAGAGCAAAGGCAGAAATTGTCTAATTTCCTGAGAAAAAGAATCCATGTGAGCTTATCTTAAATTCAATCTAAAATTGAGTATTTGTAAAGGGAGGACAAAAAAAAAGAAAACACATTTTACAGTCAAGAGGTGTATTTCATCCTTTCCTTTTACTTCAACAACAGCATTGTAATGCATATACATAGGCCTATAAAAACATAAAGAGGCTGGGCCTGGTGGCTCATGCCTGTAATCCTAGCACTTTAGGAGGCCGAGGGGGGGCAGATCATTTGAGGTCAGGAGTTCAAAACCAGCCTGGCCAACATAGTGAAAGCCAGTCTCTACTAAAAATACAATAAAATTAGTCCAGGCATGGTGGGAGGCACCTGTAATCTCAGCTACTTGAGACGCTGAGGCAGGAGAATTGATTGAACCCAGGAGGCGCAGGTTGCAGTGAACTGAGACCCCACCACTGCACTCCAGGCTGGATGACAGAGTGAGATTCCGTCTTGAAAGAAAAGAAAAGAAAAGAAAAGAAAAGAGAAAAAAGAAGAGAAAAGCAAAAAGAAACAGCTGTATAATTTTGTAAATGCTAACTCCACATTTGCGCTTGATATGCCACGCACAAAGAAAGTTTGGGATTTCCCCCAAAATCTTATACAAAAATCTGTCTTAAACTGTATTTTTATTTATATTGTTTCAGCCTACTTTTAGAAAAACCAAGTCCCATCCTAAGCGAATTATTTCACAGAAATGTATTACAGTTATTTGCCTTTTAAATTAAGCTCCAAGTTTAATTACCCATTTCCACCCTTTGCCCCCAAGAAAGACTGGATAGAAGGTCATTTTTGGCCAGGCGCAATGGCTCATGCCTATAATTCCAGCACTTTGGACGGCCAAGGTGTGCGGATCACAAGGTTGGGACTTCAAGACCAGCCTGGCTAATATGGTGAAACCCCGTCTCTACTAAAAAATACAAAAAAATCAGCCAGACGTGGTGGCACATGCCTGTAATCCCAGCTACTCGGGAGGCTGAGGCAGGAGAACTGCTTGAACCCGGGAGGCAGAGGCTGCAGTGAGCTGAGATCATGCCACTGCACTCCAGCTTGGGAGACAGAGTGAGACTCCGCCTCAAAAAAAAAAAAAAAAAAAAAAAAGTCATTTTTACTTAAAAAAAAAATGTTTTTAGACATACCATATAATATACCTTATTAGCATTATATACAGCAGAAACTTGTGACAGAGTTTTATTTAGGTCTTAGATAAGGTACAAAAAAAGAAGGAAAACATAAGTTTCTTCTACTTATACAACTAATTGCATTATAGTTATCTATTACGAAGAGGGGAAAACCACACACAAAAAGAGCAGGCTAACAAACTGGCCAAAATAAACAGGTGCACAAAGAGAAACCACTGTTTACTCAAAAAAGGAGGGAGCATTTTATTGCCTTATAATATCTACAACTTTCCGATTACACTAATATACTGTGAGCTGTAGATTTATGCATAACTGACTGAAAATTATTTTAAGGTTTATTAATTTTTAATAATAAAAATTATTCCATCTGGGAGTTGTAGCAAAAAAAGAACCTAAAGGGGATCGAGCTTCTCAACTGGAGTATAAACTGACATGAAATACAAAAGACAGAGACACCTCTGAAACCACATTCCAGGATATGATTACAAAATCCAGATAAGGGGAAACACAACAGGACAAATGACTCAGTTTCTTAAAAGAATAAAGTAAAATAAACTGCTAGGGAAGAAAAAGAAGAGATTAAAAAAAACTAAAGAGATGTATTAACATACCAAACATATCAAAGACTAAAAAACTTAAGAGACATATTAACCAACTACAAATCTGTGAACCTTATCCTGATCTGACTCAACACACAAAAGGTAAAAGAAAATATTTATGACTATTTGATGAAGGAATTACTGCTAATTTTTTAAGATGTCACAATGGTATGGTAGCTGTGTTTCTAAGAAAATGACCCTTAGCTTTTGGAGCTACGTAATGAAATTTTTACAGATCAGATAACATAATGTCTGACTTCTGCCTCAAAATAATAAGGAAGAGGAAAGTGGGTGGGGATACACATGAAACATGACTGGCCATGAGTTTCTAATTGTTGAACCTGGGTCATGAGGACTCATACCTATTTCTGTTATGTTTGAAATTTTCCATAACACAATTTTTAAAAAAATTCACAAAATGAGTTCAAAAACACAAAAAAAGATCCACAAAAGGCCAGGTGCAGTGGCTCACGCCTATAATCCCAGCACTTTGGGAGGCCGAGGCGGGCAGATCATTTGAGTCCAGGAGTTCGAGACCAGCCTCACCAACATGGCGAAACCCCGTCTCTACTGAAAATACAAAAATTAGCCAGTTGTGGTTGTGGGCGCCCGTAGTCCCAGCTACTCGGGATGCTGAGACAGGAGAACTGCTTGAACCCAAGAGACAGGGTTGCAGTGAGCCAAGATCGCACTACCGCACTCCAACCTGGGCAACAGAATGAGACTTCATCTCAAAGACAAATAAACCAAAAAACAAAATAAATTCACACAAAAAGATTATCAAATATAATCAAAGGACTAGCACCCAAAGTAAAAATCTATAGACCAGTAAAATACACAGGTAATGAAAAAACAGACTACCCAATTTTTTTTAAAACAGTCAGAAATTTAAATAAGGGGTTCGCAAAAAAGCAATCCAGATAGCTGATACCTCAATGAGATGGTATCACACACCCGTCAGATTTACAAAACATTTAAAATGTATGACAATATCAGATGCTAGCAAAAACTTACAGTAACTATAAACTCACATAGCACTGATAAGAGTGCAAACTGGTACAATTCCATTGGAAAACTATTTTTGTATTATCTAGTAATGTCAATGATGTACATATCCCATGACCCAGCAACTGCACTCTTAGGTTTTTCTTAGAAAAACGAGTGCACAGACACCAGGGGACATGCACAACAATGCTTATAAAAGTACTCTTCATGGAAGCCCCAAATAAAAACAATCCAAATGGCCAGCCAAAGTAGAACAGATAAACAAATCTGGTATAGTCACACAATGGAATTAATAGCAATAAAGTGAATGAACTGCAGTGACATACAAGACGTGGATGGATCTCAAGCATAATATTGAAAAAAAAAAAAAAACAAAAAAAACAAATAATATAGCCAGTATAATACTAATTATATCGTGCTCAAAGCCAGACAAAACTATATAATATAAGGATATACATTTAAATACTAAAGCTATAAGGAATAATAAGAAAATGATTACCATGAAAGGAAGAATTAGGGTTAACTCCAGGAGGAAGGAAGGGAGTTAAGTGGGTGGAAGTTACAAGGGTATTTGCTTTATAGCAATCGGCAAAACTCTACTTTTCTGCATGCATACTTCTCAGTTTTAAAAGACTGTTAAAACAGAAGAGTCTGTAAGGAAAAGCACCTTTTCTCATGAAACTACTTTAGAACATGCTTCTCCAAAATGAAACTGTAAAGGGAGAAAAATGACATAGTATCTAATGCATGAGAATTAAAGGAAATCCCCTAAGATGATTTTAAAAGAAGCCTGAAGAACTAACAGTTCAGATTAGAACAGGATTAAAGGCTCCAGGAAGATAGTCTGCAAGGGAAAAACAGATGAAAAAAGAAAACCTGACAGACTACCTGAGTGTTCTCAGTCATAAGAAGTGACTTACAGTTTGAATGGAGAGTAAGGGGATAAGTAAACAACCGCGGAAGTAAATTATTACATCCAGGGGAAAGTTGTGGACACTCTCCATAGTCACGGGAGTATGAACACTGAGTGCTCTGACTGAAAGGTAATAGAGCTATAGTAGGAAGATGCAGGAAGGGAAGGACAAGCAGGAGTGGTAACTTAATTGAACTCAATCTTGATCTTTCAGGGCAGGAATTCAATAGATCGCAAACTGAAAAGTCAAGAAGTAGTATAAGCATGAAACTTAGAAATACAAAGGTAAATATTTGAAAAAAAACAAAAACAAAAACAAAAACAGAGCTTTACATAAGTTGAAAGTGTTTGCCTCAGAACAGGAACCAGTTCTGGTGAAGGCTATGGCAGAAGACTGCCATTCATTGTAAGTCTTGCAATAATATTTTAAACATTTACACGGCACACGCATATTAACTTTGATAAATGTGAAGTAAAATTAAAATCTAGTGGGGAGCATTTGCTCCATGAACAATCCACATACTGACTGCCCCTACAGTTTCAAACTTGTCAGGTATATATAGTTAACCTACTTAAATAAAGTTAACAGGTTGAATGAGAAAAAGGCTTATCTAATTTGAACATAAGGAATTTGGAATCTGAAGAGTAAGAACTAATTATATGGCTTTTTTCCATGAAAAACACCTGGAAAATTACAATCTAACGTACATGCAAATTTTAACAAATTTATCATTAAGAACCACGTAATTATTAAATATAGAAATTTTACCTTGTAAAAATTTCCATATGACTTCCGAATATTGATCCACTTTTTCGCAAAAGGAGGGTATTTGAGCCTGCTGAGTTGACACTGAATGTTCAAGAACTTACTCATATCCCAAGAACTATAAATTAAAAAAGGACAAAAAATTGATGAAATAAACGCTATGCTATTCTTACAAATGAGTATTTTAAATCATTTATTTATATATGTCAACTTTCTCATATTCAAATGTAACATCAAGCTGAGAAAATTAACCTTGCTTCCTACAAAATACTAATTCAAAATTAAGCTTTAAAAACCAAACAAAGAAGTCGGATATATTAACTTTTGTTCACAAACTAATTCCTATTAGGCTCATCTTGATTGTTTTCATGGTTCTGGGCAGGCTTCTATCTTGCTGAGTATTATGCTAAGCTTACTTTTACTGCCAGACTTAGCATGGTAAGTTGACAGCATGCTTTGAAATAAAACCAAAAACAAAAAAATGAAAGAAACAAAAGCAGCTGGTATCAAATGGTTAAAATACAATCTGTTCTGCTACAACATTTTTCTATAACACTAACCAATTTATTGTAGTTAAGGACAATACTGATTGTGTAATATGGAAATTGTGTTGGTTCCTACGTGGTTTTTCTTAGGCAAGGAGAGTCAGAATAATAGCAGTGGAAATTATAAACTTCAGCAGGAAATAAGAAAAGCCCTCAACTCAGCTGCTATACTGGGAACAGGATATAATCCTTTGTATTTTCTTATAATACTGTCAACTATATTATAAGAAAATTAAAAATAAGTGTATGTCCCCAGGACACTAGTGCTTCTGTACAATTTTCATATACTTTGACGCAACCTCACCTTCCCTGAGCTGCTTGCCTGGGCTGCCAAATTATTAATGGAGACTCTAATGATTGGTTTTTGTTAGTGCTCTTGTTACAAAATTGCATAGGTTTTGAGTGATCTGTCCCACAAAATGAGACTTTACCAGAACTGCGTATACTATACTACAGCAGAAACACCTGTATACTTTAGCAGAGCACTGCTCATTCATGTTTAAAATCAGTAATGGATTTCTAAAGAGGTCCATAAACATTTTTCCAAACTTAACAGTTATGATGTGATTAAATTCAATGCTTTTCTCCTATCACATGTGAGGATCTCCAAACCCTCTATGTTGGTGACATCTCAGGTATAGAGGATAACCTGCACAGTTTGAAACAGAAGTTGTTTAGGACGTTCTTTTCAACCTTAATGGCCTTAAGGTATCGGAGTTGCCCTGGCACAACGTCTGTCATCTATGTTTTAATCTTTCTGATCTTCCCATTTAGCTTTTCATTTAACAAATGCTTTTTGGGCATACACTTTAAGCTCAGCACTAAGGTAAGCATTATGGAAGATTATTAGGCAGCAAAAGTCCTTCTCTGAAAGAATTTTAGATTTCCTTGCAAAAGTAAGTCTTATGTATGTACACAAAGATTATATATCAGAATATATGGTCAGATGTCAACATGAATGGTATATACCATAGAAATTATAAGGTTTCAAGGAAAAAAAAGATCAATGGCGTTGTCAGGGTAAAACACAAGATGGGCTTTGAAAAATGATAAAGTTGTCGAGAAGACACTCTCAGTACAGAGGGAGGCATAAGTAACTACACAGAGAAAGGGTAAACCATGTGAATTCCTGGGCCAGTCTGACTAAAGAGGATTAATGGCAGGTGAATTAGATTAAACAGGTAGCGTGGGATGAGAGGAAAGAGGCTTCAAGGCCAAGCTCAAGAGTCTGAACTTTTTTGAGTAAGGAAGTGTCATGAAAAAACAGAGTTTTAGCAAAGTCTTTTTAGCTTTACATATTTTTAACTTTCTGTAGTGTTCTAGTCCTGTATTGGACTGTGACCACTGTTTTCTTCCTCTCTTTCATCCTTAGGTGAAAGGAAAAATACTATTCCCTGTGGGGTGAGACTCTAGGGTCTCTAATAATAGTTTGTGGTTATTCTAAAAATCAGATAAATAAGGGTATCTTTAATCTTTAAAAAGTAGATATAAAAAAATAATCTTCCTAAATACTTACCCATCTGTTAAAAGTGAGTATTTATACTTTGTTCCTAATTCCTTCAATTTCATCCAGTCAATTACTTTTTTTAGTACCTGAGGGAAGGTATCAGCTCTGTCTACCTGATCCTGAGGATATAAAAGTAAAATATACAAAAATCAGGGCTGCAGCTTCACGTAGACCTACAAAATACCCAGACCTAAGTTGGAGGGGAAGAAACAGTATGAGAAAGGCTGATACTTTAAATTCATGGTTTCCTTGGCTTAGCTCCACCTAAAGTTTCATTTTTAAGAAATTCTAAAAATTTCATAACCAAGTACTGGGACTACTTTCAACTGAAACGTATAATCCTCCCAAAATTAAGATTTAAGATCATCCCCAGTGGTTCTCTTTTTATAGGCCTGAACCTAGCGGCTTACTGGATTTCTAGAGGAGGGAAAAGAGAAATCTCTTCTAAGCTGAAAGCCACAGCTCCCTAAGTGTCTTCCCATCTCAGGTCTCACAATTTTCCACGCATACTACATACTGCTGCCAGACTGATCTTCCTAAAACGTAAATCGGGTCCGCCCTATCACTCTCATACTTAAATCCTCCAACCACTCTCCAAGGCTTTCAGGACAAATAGATGCACAAGACCCTTCAGGATCTGGATTGCCTCTGCCTATCTGGACCATTTTCTTAACAGTCCATACACATCTGAACCATCCTGAACTACCTGTAGGTCTGCCAGTTCCCACCTGAAATGCCCAGCCATTCTTTTCTGCCTACCTATCTTTCATGACTCAGCCCAAGTTCATCAACTTGAGGATGTTTTTCCCCAGGACAGTCTTCTATTCCCTCTGTCATATATGGAAGCCCTTTTCATAGATGTCCACAACACCGCAATAAAACACTGACTTATTAGGCCTACTGTGACCACTGCACAGACATACGTCTATATACACATAAAGATATATACAAATCCTGGCATATATTATAGTAGGCACTCAAATACACGTGGAGTGAATGAATGAACTAACTAAATGAAAAAAGTGCCTACCACATTAGAATACAATAAAAAATCAGAGACCTAAAAATTCATGAAACAGGCTAGGTGTGGTGGCTCATGCCCGTAATCCCAGCACTTTTTGGGACCGAGGAGGGCTTGACGTCAGGAGTTCTTCAAGACCACCTTGGCCAACACAGTGAAACCCGTCTCTACTAAAAATAAAAAAAAAATTAGCCAATCATCGTGGTGTGTGCCTATAGTCTCAGCTACTTGGGAGGCTGAGGCAGGAGAATCGCTTGAACCTGGGAGGCAGAGGTTGCAGTGAGCCAAGATCGTGCCACTGCACTCCAGCCTGGGCAACAGAGTGAGACTCCATCTCAAAAAAATAAAAATAAAAAATAAATGCAAAATATAAAGTCAGGTTGTAAACAGATACATTCTAAAACTTATCTCTGGCTGGGCATGGTGGCTCACGTCTGTAATCCCAGCACTTTGGCAGGCCGAGGCGGGACACTTGAGGTTAGGTGTTCGAGACCAGCCTGGCCAATATGGCGAAACCAGGTCTCTACTAAAAATAAAAAAATTAGCCGGGTGTGGTGGCAACGCGCCTGTAGTCCCAGTTACTCAGGAGGTTGAGGCAGGAGAATCGCTTGAGCCCAGGAGGCAGAGGCTGCAGTGAGCCGAGGTCACGCCACTGTACTCAAGCCTGGGTGACAGAGTGAGACTGTCTCAAAAAAATAAATAAATCAAACATCTCCAAGTTCAGTATGGAAACAATTTGCTGATGCATTTTACAGACGAAATCTTTCGATTCACCACTACAACTCCTTAAGAGGAAAGGCTGAGGAAAATGTTACCAGATATAAAATTTGCTGTTTTTTTTTTTTTAATTATTACAACATGAAAGATCTTTACCAAGCAAGGTATTAAATTGTTCACAACAGTAATAATTTTTTTAAATTATGTATAAAATAAATCCCTAATTTCAAGAACTCTTTCAAACTCTAGAAAGAAGAACTTAGAATTATAACCTGAGTAATTCCAGTTAGACTGATGCAGAAATCAGACAGCTGTGTGTTAATCTCTGGTCTTACATACTGCTGAAACGTGTCTTCCTGCAAGGGAAGGATAGCAAGTTAAAGTAATTTATATGAGTTAAGATACACGATACATGATACACGACGAATTCATCACAGCAGGTTGCAATTTCATAGGATCTCACGGCATAAACCCTTCCAGTTTTTAAGAATAATTCCCCACATCGAAAGCACTCTTAATTTTTAAATTAAAAAATGAATTGATTCATAATTTAAAATATTTTACGATAAAGTGAGTGTGTGAAAGATTTCAACCCAAAATTTAATTATTTTCCTGAGGAACAAAATATTAATAATTTTGTTCATAATATTTTAAAACTATAAAGCGCATTAATGCATCCTCTACTTCAAGATACTAAGTTTTAAAAATAATAAATTCTTTTGAAGAAATGCCAGCCTGCAGTTATAATAAATTAGCTTTAAACTATTTTTCTCTCATTTACTCCTGAATAGTCTTTATTTTCATATAAAAATCCAATTGAACTAAATTCTAAATAGTCAAAATTTAACTGTATGATATATAGGTAGTTTAAGAGTTGCTAACACTGTGTATCTACAGTAATGTTGAATCTTTTCAAGAAGCTTTCACGATGGTCTCTTTTTTTTTTTTTTTTTTTGGAGACAGAGTCTCGCTCTGTCTCCCAGGCTGGAGTGCACTGCCACAATCTCGGCTCACTGCAAGCTCCGCCTCCCAGGTTCACGCCATTCTCCTGCCTCAGCCTCCCAACTAGCTGGGACTACAGACGCCTGCCACCACGCCTGGCTGATTTTTTGTATTTTTAGTAGAGACTGGGTTTCACCATGTTAGCCAGGATGGTCTCGATCTCCTGACACGATGGTCTTATTTTATGCTCACAACTCTGTAAACTAAGTGAGGCCAGTATTGTTATCAGGCTCCGATCTCTAAGTGCTTTTTCCTCTAGCCAGTAATGCCTCCCTAACCAGAACACACTGAGTCAATTTTGAGATTAAGGACAATTTTAAACCCTAAAGATTTAAAGGCAGCAACTGTTAATCCTAGGTAGTAGATATAGAGAAAATGACAAAAAATATTCTTCATGGCAGAAGATTTAAAAATTAAGAAAAGTTTGTATTTCCTAAGAATAAATTCTTTCTACCTACTAATCTATTAAGTGGATGAGCTATAAATGGTTGTAAAGAATTGTAAATGAGCAACAGTAAAGAACAAAAAAGAACACCTGAGGCCAGATGTGGTGACTAATGCCTGTAATCCCAGCACTCTGGGAGGCCAAGGGGGGTGGATTACTTGAGGTCAGGAGTTCAAGACCAGCCTGGCCGAAGTGGTGAAACCTGTCTCTACTAAAAATACAAAAATTAGCTGGGCAAGGTGGCATGCACGTATAGTTCCAACTACTCAAGGAGCTGAGGTGGGATAATCGCTTGAACCCAGGAGGCAGAGGTTGCAGTGAGCCGAGATTGAGCCACTGCTCTCCAGCCTGGGTGACAAAGCAAGACTCCATCTCAAAAAAAACAAAACAAAACAAAACAAAAGAATAATTGAACTTCAAAAGTTAGACACTCTTACCGGATACACTGCAACATTCCACTTAACTGCATATCACAGATAAATTAAGTCTATATCCTTTTAAGTATCACTATTTTATCATTCTAAATGACATTCTTTCAAAAATATATTGCAACTTCCCTTATAATTATAATTCGGTAGTACTAAATAACAGATATTACTAAAATGTTATTCGCTACTAAATACTTTTAACAGAAGAATGCTAGAGAGAACTATACATTCATTGGCCAAATCTTTAATCATCACTTAAATAAATTAGGTAAGTTAAAAGGTAGTAAGGGTTATTAAAACTAAAGGAACCTGGGTGCCTGTAATCCCAGCTACTCAGGAAGATAAAGTAGGAGACTCCCTTGAGCAAGCAAAGGAAAGTAGAGCAGTAAGGGGGGTCAGAAACATGGGCACAGGCCACACTCTTAAATAGGATAATCAAGTAGGCTTTATTTAGAGGTAAGATTTAAGGAAGGACTGGAAGGAAAAACGGGAGGGAGGGAGAGAAGGAGAAAAACATCAGCCAGCAAGACTTCTGGCTAAGAAAACTGGAGCTAAAGTCCTGGCAAGTAATGGGATAAAGCATGCCTGGCATTTTTGAGAATAAGCAAGCAGGTCAGTATGCCTGGAGTGGAATGAGTTAAGGAAAAGAGTAGTAAGACAGGAAACAATCAGAGGAAACAATAGGCCAGGTCATGTAAGGAATATTGGTTGTACTCTGAGTTAAATGAGGAGCCATTGCAGGGTTTTGAGCAGAGGGGTGAAATGACTTGTATTTTAAAAGGATTACTCTGGCCAGTTTTTTGAGAACTGGTTGTAGGCGGACACAGACAGAAACACAAAGACCAGTTAGGTGGCGAATGCAGTAAGTCACATAAATGATAGAGGATCAGAATGAAGTCACAGCAGTTCAGTTAAGTGACTGGGTTCTGGATATATTTTGAAGGCAGAGCCAAACAGGAATCATTGATGACCTGGATGTGAGAGAAACAAGAGTCAAAGATGACTCCAAAGTTTTTGAACTGAGCAATTAGAAGGATTCTAATTAGAAAAAGCTGCCATCCCCCAGGCTACAGGAGGCTAAAGATAGAATGGGCTGGGGTAAGTTCAAAAGGTTGAGACACTTAAGCAGAGATTTCAAATAAGCAATCTGGATTTGGAACGGGTTGGAAATATGTATTTGAAAGTCACCAGCAAAGAGATAGCTTCTGAAAGCTATGGAACTAGATAAGATCATCAAGCGAAAGGATGTAAGCAGAGAAGAGGATGTAAGCAGAGAACGGGGGCTAGGATTGAGACCTGGGTCATCTGATATGGGGAAGCTGGGAAGGAAAGGAGGAACCAGCAAAGAAAACTGCAAGTGGGGAATCCAGTAGGGCTGGAGAAAAATCAAGCAGAACAAGTTATACCTGAAGAAAATGCTCCAAGGAAAGAGTATTCAAGCCAGCAGTGCAGTGTTAATTTTTTTTTTTTTTTTTTTAAGTGAGAATGGCCGGGCATGGTGGCTCACGCCTGTAATCCTAGCACTTGGGGAACCTGAGGCAGGTGGATTGCCTGAGCTCAGGAGTTTGAAACCAGCCTGCGCAACATGATGAAACCCTGTCTCTACTAAAATACAAAAAATTAGCCGGGCGTGGTGACACACACCTGTATTCCCAGCTACTCAGGAGGCTGAGGCAGGAGAGCTGCTCGAACCCAGGAGGTGGAGGTTGCAGTCAGCTGGGTTTGCACCACTGCACTCAAGTCTGGGTACAAGACTCTATCTTAAAAAAGAAAAAAAAAAGTGAGAATGGTCAATTTTGCCAGGAGTTAGGGTAAAGGTCAAAGATGATGTTGATGAGTGATTTTAGTGGAATGATGGGATTGAATACACAGCTTAAACTTTACTGAAGGTTATGGTATAAATTTGAGAGAATGGAAGAAAAGGAAAGAGATAAACATATAAGTACCTATAACTTAAGTGAAGAATTTTCCCAAAAAGAGGAACAAAGAAATGCAGTAGCTGGCAGTGAAGTGGGATGAAGTTTTTACACAGTGTGAAAAATATAACATGTTTTTGTGTAGTGGGAGCAATATAGACAAAAGCAATAAATCATAATGTCCAAATGAGGGAGAACTGCTACAGTAACGTCCTTGAGTAAGAGAGAAGTAAAATCTAGTGACTTATGCAAGATTATTTGCCTTCATAGCTGCCATTTTTCCTTCTAATTTACTGACCTTCAATCTGCTTTGGATAAGAAAATTATAGAAATAGGCTAAGACTATAACTAAAAGAGATTTTGAATAGCACTAATAACCTATGCATTTTAATTCACAAAACCTTTTTATACTTACTCCCAAGTGGGTTGGTAGCAACTGAGGATATCACAGAAGTGACTTTTGGAAAGTTGAGATGTTAGGATATTCTTGCTCAGATTTTATAAGGTAAACAGTATTATTTTAGGGAATTCCTACTAGACTTTCTTAACTAATAAAGCACTGACAAGTATCTAAAGCACACATATTATTTGGCTTAGAAACCAGGGTTATATGAGTCATTTCACCCTTAAACTTTCCACCAGAGAGAGAGGTTCAAAAGTCATTTTTGTAAATTATCATTCTTAGAGATCAGAGTTCACACTAGGCCACAGTGGTGGTTATCAAGCCTGACCGCATATTAAAACCAACTGAAAAGCTTCAAAAAAATGCTGATGTCAGAGGCCCTATCAGAGAACTAAATTAGAATCTCTGGGACTAGGGCCAGGCATCAGTATCATTAGTGTTTTATTTTTTTACTTACCAGGAGATTCTGATGTCCACACCCAGATGTTCTAAGCAAATGGAAAACAACATTTTAACTTCCGCTACTGCAAAAAGAAAGCAGTAGTCTCTAAAATTGCTTTGTTACAGCTTTTCTATTAATCAAGCTGATATAAAGTTCATGGCAAAGAAAAAACTTACTTTAGAAGTCTAATTCTGGCTAAAAAGCAAATGAGGTCCTCCACATAACCAGTAAACACCAGAATAGTTGCTGCTAGAAATACAATTAAAATACAAAAATTCACTTACTATTTCTAAAGTATGCGTATTCAGTAAAACAACCGGAAATTCAATTATTTCATGTACAAACTCAGGTGGGTTTCCTTCTTCACAAGTGGCTTCAAAGTCAATAATACAAATGTAGTCATAATAACTGTCAGCAAAATTGCTCTCTTTCAGCATCAGCTTCTGCTTCTTATAATAGTTTTTCAGTCTCTTCTTTAGAACATCCTTTACTCCTCTAAGTAGAAGAAGAAGACTAGTTACACTTAGGTAAATTCTACAGTCAAGAATCAAAACTCTCACCTGCTGGCACTGGGCTGAACACTGACAATCACAGCGAAATTTAGCAAATGCTAGCTAAAATAAATGTAAGAAAAGCAAGACTCAAAGCTAAGTTAGCAAAGAACTAATTAAAATAATATGTTTATTACAACATTAACATTTTCCTTCACAAGTCTTTTTTTATTTTAGTAGTATATAACAGTATTTTCTCCAACATATACTGGTACTTCAAACCATAAACACTGTCAGCATATACTACCAACACAGTCGTCATACTGCCTTATATACTAAGATAACATATATGATACAAACATTGAAATTAATATAAAATTATTCCACTGGCCAAAATATAAACTTAAGAATATAAAAATTTGGGTTAAGTTGAAAATATCGTATTATCTCTTTCCTTTCTTTTGGCTTTTGTAGGTTAGTCAACTCAAAAGATTCATATGAATATGAAAGCATTATGAGCCTAGCATATAAAGGTGAATGTCTGTTGGCTACTTAACAAGGAAAACTCAATTAGAATACACTCTAAGTAAACTGTCCAAAGGAGCATTATCACACTAGTAGGTTCTTAACTAGAAATAAGTTTCTTAATTTATCATGGGTAGAATATGATTTAGGGGATTTCAATATTATAGGTAGCTTTAAAATATACATTCCACAAATGGAGTAGTGGGGAGGAGAGAAAGGTCATCCTAACAGATAACAGTGATCAGGTGACTTCATTCTTTAAACAATATGTATTTTTCCAAAAAATTAAGTTGCAACCAGCATTCAGGCTTCCTTCAGCGTTATATAAATGAATCCTATATTGGCCTGCAAATATGAAATGGAAGTAAAAATAAAAAGATCTAAATTATAATTAATGTGTAGTGCCAAGTAAAGTATCATGTTAACTGATTAATGACTATTTAAAAAAAACCTTTTTAGTCTTTTATTTTCCTTTCTAAAATACAATTAAGCACTGAAAAAAATCCTACCCATGAAAATAGTAATAATCAACCAGTTAGCTTTTTTAAGATGAAATGTCTTAATATTGTTTCTTTGCTTGAGATTTTCAAAATTATCAAGACCTACGGAGAAAATCCTTAACCTCTTTCATATTAAGGCACTGTGAGTGACCTCTGTGTCATGTGACAGCTTTGGATTACTTTCTTTTTTTATCTTTTTATTGGTTGTTATTGTTGTGGGGTGGGAGGTGTGATAGGGGGAGAGACTACATTTACCAGAGTTGTCTGCAAAGCTAATGGCAGGACAAACATACAACTAGTTGCTCTGGATAGAAACCTGCTATCTTTAACATCTCCTTTGCTCTTCCAAATATTCACCATGTTTGTCAATTCTAACTCAGAAACATATTCAGAATATGATTCTCTCTAATTCTTTCTGCTATGGCTCTCATTAGCTTCGTTGAGCATGGCAAATGCCTCCATTACCACAACACTTCGATTCATTCTTTACTTTACTTGAGAACTGAGCACTAACACCAATTTTCTGCTTAAATATCTTCAGTGGCTCCCTTCTGCTTACGAGGTAAAATGCAGACTTCAGCATAGAGTTCCTTCACAACTTGGCTACAACCTATCATTTGACTATCATTGTCACATGTTCCTGAGGTATACTGTGTACTGCAGACAAAATATACTATAAGCCATGGCCTCAACCAGCCAGATGGCTCACGTCTATAATCTCAGCACTTTGGGAGGGGGGTGAATCACTTGAGCTGGAGCTCGAGACCAGCCTGGGCAACATGGAGAAACCCTATCTTCACTAAAAATACAAAAATTAGCCAGGCATGGTGGTGCATGCCTGTAATCCGAGCTACTCAGGAGGCTGAGGCACGAGAATCGCTTGAATCCAGGAGTCGGAGGTTGCAGTGAGCCGAGATCACACCACTGCACTCCAGCCTGGCGACAGAGCAAGACTCTGTCTCAAAAAAATAAAAAATAAAAGGCATGTTCTCAATACACTTTTATGTCCTATAACTTTGGTTGCACAACAGGTGAAGAAAAGGCAAGATCATGTTGCAGAAACCATACAAACTGGAATTAGAAAAGTTTCTGTTATTTTTTTGCCTGAAATACCCTCCCCCTCCCTTTTCTGTTTGGCACAATTCAAATGTCATCTTTCTGAATTCCTGAGAAATATTCTCCTCTGTATTCTCATGCTGTACCTGGCCAGACCTCCAATATAGCATTGGCCACTCTGTATTGTGATGATTTCTTTGTATGTTTTCCCAAAAGACTGAGATTGCCAAAGTGGGGAACATATCTGTATTTACCTTTATAACTTCAATGCCTAGTGCAGTACTTAGAATTCAATACAGGCTTGTTGAATAAACGTATAAACATACATCTAGATCGCTAGCTCCCACGCAAGCCAGGAGTAAGCAACTGATCTTCACACCTGGGAAGGACAAAAATTTTGCTCGGAAAATCTTCTGTAGGCTACAAGTTGTACCTTCATAACAGAAAGAATCGGGGAAATAGGAGTCAAAAATTTCTTCATACATTATGATGTAGACAATCTAGAAATTAATAAATTTGTGCTCTTTTGAAGAGTGGTGAAACTCTAAAGAGGAAGAATACTACTATTAAGAGAATTATGATTCAGAGATGTCTTGAAAAAGGAAGAGTTTTTACCTATTTCATACAGGCAATTTTTTTTCTTGATGCCTGGCAGTTCTACCGTTTATCAAAAATCGATGTATTTTTCTGGACTCCAAAAGCCATTTCTGCCCCATGGCCCAATGAACGTAAAGTGATTTGTTTCGCAAAAAATTACTAAAAACTTAGGTATGTGTATATCTCATTAAAATACACATACAGTTGACTAAGTTGCATTGTTTTCTCACTCAATATACAGTGAAACATAATGCAAACGATCATTGTAGATTATTTTTTAGAAATTAAAACAAAAAATATTCCTGTTAAGTGAATGTTTTTAATTTATTGTACCTGATTTCAAACAAACTCTTTTTATAAAAGATACAAATGGCAAAAAGAAAATAAAAAATACTCTATCTCACTAATATAACTATCCATCATTTAAATGAGCAACTAAAAAAATTTAAAACACACTTGTCATAATAAGACAGAGACTCCTATACATTGCCGGTAGGTCATTAAAATATTTGACTTTGATTCAGCAGTCCTATCATCTAGAAGACAGACAAAAATAATCAGAGTTGCACATAAAAAATGTTAATTAGTTTTTGTGAACTGTTAATAGGATCATGTCATTACGGTAGGATTACAGATGATTTTTAATATTTCAATGTTTTCAAGATTTTCTAAAATGAGCATGTACTACTTTTATAATTTTATAAGTTATTTTTAATTACCTAGTTTCAAGCTTGAATTCTGAAAGCTTAGCTCTGAGTTCTTCCTTACTCATTCTATTAATACAGCCATTCGTAATGGCAATCTCTTTGTAAACCGGGTCACTGAAGTCACTCGCACTGGAGGTAATGAACTTGGATCCTTTTGTCTCCTGGCCATCAAATTTACACTGTTGAGTTTCCTACCAAAAAAAAAAAAAAAAAATGTAGTTTATAATTAGTACAAACATCACAGATTTAAAGATTCAAACTTTCAAACTTCTGAAGCCTCTTCATGCTACATGTTCAATGAAAAGTGTTCACTGCAGCTCCTAAACGGAGGAAAGGATAAGAAGGAAGATGCGTCTCCAATACAATTTACCCCACTCTATTATGAGTCATGAGGTTCCTCAAAGGAAACAAAGCTAAGTAAAAAGAAGACTGGTGGTGGGAGTCAACACCACCTCAATAGAGAACCCCAGCTGACTATTTACTAGAAATAGCAGCATGACTTTGGATAGCTACGTATTAGCCTCTGATCCTCAATTTCCTTATCTATAAAATGGTAATTTGGTAATGGTAAATAGTGTTTGGGCAGAATTATTACAAAGATTAAATGAGATTATGTGTATCAGACCCCTACACCCACAGTAGCTATTAATAAATGGTAACTATTAATATCACAGGCTATACAACAAGCCCTTCACAAACAATATGCTAATATTTACAAATGAACCCATTTTTAAATGAACTTTTACATTATACATGTGTAATAACTTCTGATAATTTTTTAACCTGACTTCATTTCACAAAGTTAACAAAAATTGCCCAACACAAAAACAAAATGGACCGCAAATCTAATTTACAGCTTCCTAGTACTCAAAGAAGGAAATGTATTTAATTTCAAAACTTACATTTTCCAAAAGTTGTACTTAGGTCCACTAACCAGAAGAACTATAGAATTATGAATTTTTTCATAAATAAAAATCTGTTAAGAAAAAACATGACTCAATTCTATTTTCTCCACAGGCAGTCTCAAATTACTAATATGTTAAGTTCCAAAGATTCATTTGTAAGTTATTTTCCACATGCAATATCACAAATATTAGCTATGTTCCATAATTTTGAAAAATATTTAGTACTAATTATCCCTATTAAAGCTTGTTACCTTAGTTATAATGTACCACATTGTCCTCACGTAAACTGTAATTATAGATCAAGGAAGGATAATCACAGAGAGGCCACAGTCCCTAACTCAGAACTGATCCTGATGGTTCAGGAACCATTTCTTACTCTAAGCTCTCAATTTAATGCAACACACATTTACTGGAAATGTAATGCTAGGTAAGGTGCCAGAGTACTCAAGAGTGACTCACCCATTTCCTTTGAGGAAGAGGTCAGCAGTTCCAATGTGTGAACTGTCCATAAATTAAAGAACAGCCACACTGAGGTTCCTTGTTAACAATGTTAAGGAAAAAAAAAGTATTGCTAGTTGACCAATGATTCACTTTCAACAATATATTAGATTTACAATAGATATTGCTCTGCTTGACCAGAATTTTACAAAAAATTATCTTTTGACTTTAAATTTACATTGAATTTGAAACTTCATCTTTAGTCATCATTTAGTAAATTTCAGGTTAAAATTTAGGTCAACATTAAGTAACAGTTTGTCTACCAAAACAGATGTCTCAGTTAATTTAAGCAGATTTTCTCTTTGGATAAATCCTCTTTCTGATTCACTGGTTAATTCTCATCCTAAACTGTAGCTAGAAAAATTATTCACAAGTAACACTTAGGCCTCTTCTATAGATGCTATAAATTATGACTTCCATAAAGAAAAATTTGCTTCCTTTCCTAGGTCCAGCTCTAGTTCTCTTCCTTCAGTGAAGTTCTAGAGACAGCCGAGGTCCAATCCTCAGAAAGCAGTGTCTCCTCCCAAATTTCAAATCTACACTAATGGTTCACAAAGAAGGATGCTCAAATCAATCTGCCAAGGAGCAGAAAGAAAATACTAAAAACCCTACTTGTATTGTTAATCTGCAGAAAGACAAAATTAGTTTACGAAATACATACTTACATTTGCATCAGCATCCGTACCAGTAACTACATCCACCTATCACATGTCACATATAATACGGACCATATAATGAGAAAAGTGATAGATTCCACAATATGGAGAGAAACATTCACCATCACAGAACTGTAACATTTTGCAATATTCACGTATTCAATTAAGTGGATGTATGGTTTATATTATCTCAAATAAGAGAAGCTTTTACATTATGGGATGTGGCCATGAAAATCTTCTATACCAAACAGAGGTTTACTATCTTGTGGCAAACTACTTTAAAACTGTCGTTGAGGCCGGGCGCGTTGGCTCACGCCTGTAATCCCAGCACTTTGGGAGGCCGAGGCGGGCGGATAACGAGGTCAGGAGATAGAGACCACGGTGAAACCCCGTCTCTACTAAAAATACAAAAAATTAGCCGGGCGGGCGCCTGTAGTCCCAGCTACTCAGGAGGCTGAGGCAGGAGAATGGCGTGAACCCGTGAGGCGGAGCTTGCAGCGAGCCGAGACTGAGCCGCTGCACTCCAGCCTGGGCAACACAGAGAGACTCCCTCTCAAAAAAAAAAAAAAAAAACATAAAAAAACTGTTGTTGAACTTAAAGATGAGTTACAAATTTTCTTTTACAAAAAGACAGGTATTCTATAATTGCTGTCCTCTTCTTATTGGGAAGGGTACCGGAGCTTGATTTTTAGCATTTTTTTAAAGGAACACAATCTGTTGTTGCAAGAAAAAAGAAAACACATTTTAACAGTAAGCTACAAAGTAACTGCTTGTCAAATAAAACTTTTTCTGTATAGAGAACATTTTGAAAACATGTTCTGGAAATGCTATTATTCTGCTGCCAAAAATCTAGGTACTACCTTTTAAAAAAAGAAAAGGAAAACCTCTGCATCTGCACACTGAAAAAAAACTTAGAATTTTTCTTGATTGACGTTCTTCCAAAAGGAGAGTTCTGATGAAATCTGAACCTACTTATTAAAAATATAAATATGCAATAGCTTCTACTAGTTTACAAAGACAACTAGCATTAGAGATAATGGAAATTTACCACCTGAATTCAACAAAAAACTTTGGCCGAGATTGAAAAACACTGTATCATGGCCAGGCGCAGTGGCTCATTGCCTGTAATCCCAGCACTTTGGGAGGCCGAGGTGGGCGGATCACCTGAGGTCAGGAGTTCCAGACCAGCATGGCCAACATGGTGAAACCCCATCTCTACTAAAAATACAAAAACTAGCCAAGCGTGGTGGTGGGTTCCTGTAATCCCAGCTACTAGGGAGGCTGAGGCACGAGAATCACTTGAATCCGGGAGGCGGAGGTTGCAGTAAGCTGAGACCATGCCATTGCACTCCAGACTGGGCAACAAGAACGAAACTCCGTCTCCAAAAAAAAAAAAAAAAAAGTATCATTACTATTATTTTTTGAGACAGGGTCTCACTCTGTCACCCAGGTTGGAGTGCAGTGGCACGATCACAGCTCACTGCAGCCTCCACCCATGGGCTCAGGTGATCCTCCCCACTGAGCCTCCCCAGTAGCTGGGACTACGGGAGAGGGCAACTACGACCGGCTTTTTGTAAAAAAAAAAAAAAAAAAAAAAAAAAAGTATCACTATAAAGAGCATGCAACAGTAAGTTTTTAACAATTACTACCGTCACTAAAGCCAATTTGGAACAGAGACCTAGGCCTTAAGTAGCTGTAAAAGTGTCAAGACTTTCAAATATAAAGAAGCATATTCAAACACACTTCTTTTACTAAAAATAAACTTCGAAATTTATTTTAAAACCCACTTACAGGATGAGATTGACAACGTATCTCAGGCTGAAGAGGGAGGCAGGTGGAAGAGTGGTTCTTTACAAGAGAAGGGATGTGCAAGTACTCTTTGAAATAACAACCTTAGAAGGAGAAAGATAATTGCAAGGATCCAAAGGAAGTGCACACAGGGCAAAAGGAACATACAGAGATCCTTAACGAGACCTTCTTTCCAATGTCAAAGAACACAAGGCAGCGAGGGGCACTGGGAACAAAAGGGAAAAAACTGTGTGAGATGCAATTACCAAGGGAGGCAGGCACCCGACCCCGCAGAGCAGCAAATGGAAGTGACTCAGGAGGGGAATAAGCCAAATTCATGTTATTGAAAAGCTCATTCTAGCTGCCAGATGGAAACTGACTGTGGACGGAAGGAGCAAGAGTTAGGAGGCCTCTTGCAAATACGCACTTTATGAAGCTTTACGAAGTGTTCAACATGTTTATTATTAGGAAAAGATCAATTTTAGTATTCAATCACTTACAATCCGCAGCGCTAGTCAACAATTAACATTCGTTAAATAAGTTTTAAGACTGTTCTACAACTTTGCCACTGTAACTAAGTTCAACCGATGAGATGTCAAAATGATTCATTCAATCTTATACTATGTTTATATGAGACACCAGTTAATGAGCAAAAGCAGCTAAGACGAAGCTCCACTTAACAGGTACAGAGACAGGGATGCTGGTGAGTGCTTTTTAAATTTTTTCTTTTCTTAAAAACAGGCATGAAGTGACATACCTAGGGTATATGGTGAGATTTTAAAAACATAAAGCCTTGCAAATTACCCATAACGGCTACATGGAGTGACAACAGCAACCGTGAACACAGAATTAAGTTTAAAGCAAAACTCCCTCTTAGAACCTGTTAACCCACTGTAGACAGAACTGGTCTTGACGGTTTCCTCCCTCCCAGAGAGTGATTCGGCCCTGAGGGGGCTCCAAGACACCCACCCGAGGATAAAGCCAGGGAGCTGGGCACCGAGGAAGAGGCTGGGGTCCAAGGGCGCACAGCTGCACCTTCTGCGGGACACCTGAGAAGAAAGGGGTGCCGAGGGCGCTTTGGGGACGGGGCAGCTGGCGCCAACAGCCAGGCGCGGGTCGACTCCTCACCTCGGGACTGGGACGCGGCGGCTCCTCCCCGCCCTCCGGCCGCGGCGACTCCAGCAGCGCGGGAGCCACGGCCTCGCCGGCAGGCTCTTTACTCTGTGGATCCTCCATGCCGGCTGTCACGCCAGAGGAGAGTTGCTGGAGCCGGACACTTGCTAACTCTCACTCTGCAGAGCCCGAAAGCCTCGCCTTTCTCCGTTGAAAAATTACCGGGCTCGCGTTCCCGCGGCGGCGGCCACACAAACTCCAGCGGCCACCTCCCACTTCCGGGAGCGTGTGGCGTCCACACGCCGGGCAGGCGCAGTGAGCCGGCGTGCGCGGAACGCCAGCGCCGCAGTCCACAGGGGGAGGGAGGACGAACAAGAGGGAGGCGCGCCGGTGAGAAGACGGGGCGTGGCCGGCCGTAGGAGGAGCTAGCGCGGGTTGAAGTTGCGCAAGGATCTAGTCCAGTCACTGGAGGGTAGCACCGGCACGTGTGTTCCCGTCAGTGTTTCCTGAGAAGGAAAAAAGTAGGGTGAGTGGGAAGATATCATAGAGAAAGATGTTTTCGACCATAAAAAATAATAAAACAATTCACATTTTCCATAAGGAGTTTCCTAAAACTTCCACTCTGGGCAAGAAAAGAAAATGGGTCGGGACTTAGTGTCCCACTATAAACAATTAGAAAACGGAACAAAATATAGGAGACACCTATTCAGACATTGGACAACGGACAGCTGTGGACTGTTTTACCTGAGAGAAAAGAAATAAAAGGAGCCGTATATCATCCTGCCCTTTTGCCCAGAGGCGATTTCCAGTCTGTGGTGCGATGAAAGGAAATCATATGGAAACCTAGGATCTCCTGCGTTGAAAAGACAGAGATTGGAGTTGACGAAATTGGGGTAGGCCAAGTCGGTTGGAATTTGTAGGGCAGAATTCTGGAGAGGAGGGAATTACACGGAAAAAGAGCTTCAGAAATCTGCTTAGGAGTACCTTGAATCTTTAACTGAATAAAAAACGTGAAACTCCACAAGGCCAGGAAAGAACAATTACTGGGGAGCAGTACACCAAACAATGGTGAGAGGTCACACAGAACTGGGAATCATTTGAGCTCCCAGCAACCAGAGTGAAGAGATTATTGAATACCATGGAACACGCAATAGAAACCTCAGATGTGAAACTGCCATTGCAAAATTATCATTGAGACAGTGAAAGAGATCGGACCTAACCAACTCCATCTTGCTTTTAACCTCCAGGCTATCCTTATTCATTCCTAGGCGTAGGCCAAACTAACACTGGGAGGAACTTAGTGTATAGCTTATAGTTTAAAACAAAGGTGATAGCCCTTTCTCAAAATAAACCCTCTTCTTGAGACTAGACTGCTTTTGTAAGACTAGTAAATTAGCCGAAAGATTAGAAATTATGATTTAGGACTCATGCAGCTGAAGGCTACAAGATTCTAACCCTCTCCAAATTGCTCCTGGGGATAATATCACTATTGTAAAATCTAAGATCAGTGCTTGAGATATTTTGCAGGCCCTGCACTTGATGGATCAGCTGGCACCTCCCAGATTGATAAACTGACTCACCTGATCTTGGATAAACTAGCTCATCTGATTTTGTGTCCCCCACGGGAGGAACTGACTCAGTGCAAGAGGACAGCATCGACTCCCTATGATTTCATCTCCTACCCAACCAGTCACCACTCCCATCTCACTGGCTTCTCACCCACCCAATTATCCTTAAAAACTCTGATCCCCAAATGCTCAGGGAGACTGATTTGATTAATAAAACTCAGGTCTCCTGCACTGCCAGCTGTGCATGAATTGCTCTTTATTGCAATTCCCCTGTCTTGATAAATCGACTCTGTCTAGGCAGTAGGCAAGATGAACCTTTTGGGTGGTTACGAAAGTGTCATGCCTTAGTGAGATATAATAACCGTAGACTGCAGGACCCAGAACATAAACTACTGTAGATTCTTCAAAAGCGTTAAAACAAGCCCTGAAAGGATCAAACTGCTCTGTAAGTAACCTAATTACCTGTAAGAACAAATTCTAAAACTCTCTGAAAGACTACAGTAAAATCCAGGATTCAACAACATTAAATTCAAAATGTGAGACATCCAGTCAAAAATTGAAAGACACGCAGCACTTGGGGATGCTGAGGCGGGAGGATTGCTTGAGCCCAGGAGTTTGAGGCTGCAGTGACCTATGATTGCACCACCACAACCCAGCCTGGGTGACAGGGTAAGACTCTGTCTCAAAAGAGAGAGAGAGAGAGACCAAGTGGTAAGAAAATATCTCACGAAGTTCATAGAAACAAACCCCAAAATGATAAAAATGATGGAATTAACAGACAAGGATTTTAAACACCTGTTATGAATATGCTCAAAGATTTAAAGGAAGACATGATAGGAGAGAAACTGGAAAGATTTTTGAAAAATCAAATTTCTGGATGGAGGTGAAAAATATTTGAAATAAAAATTTCTTTGGATGGGATTGCTAGCACATTAAGCAATGCAGAGAAAAAGGTAAATAAATTCAAAGATATAGCAACAGAAACAATACAAAATGACACACACACACACAGAAAAAAGATGAATACAGCTTCAGTAACCACTTAAAGAGGCTTAATACTTCAGGACCACTTGAAGAGGCTTAATACTATTGACCTAAAAGGTAGAAGCTGAGGCAAAATTAATATAACTAGAGAGTTTATTTGGTCCAAGTTTGAGGATTGCAACCCAGGAGCATAGAATTGAAGTTGTGCTGAATCCATCTACTCAGAAGATATGCCAGTTTGGAAGTTAAGTGAACACTTAGTAACCAATCATAATTGTCTTAAGTCTTGCCCATTCTAGATTATTTGCTTTGTTAAATAGGCAATTGAGATAGGGCATAATTCCAATAACAATAATCTTTGATGGGGTTAAGTAGCCCTTTCTAACCATACATACCTCCATCTCAGCTTCTATCTCAAGAAATAACTCTTTTGACTTTGTTTCTTTGACTTCTAGAACTAGTGCAGCAGCATCAAGAAATTAGACCTGCCATAAATAAAAAGACCCAGAAGAAGATACTCTAATAAGTAGTGAGGCTTTTGTCCATGAAGCCTATGATGAGCAGCTGTGCTGGGGAAACTCCAAGAAGTTTCTCTAAGGAAATTGGATTGTGAGACACAGTTAAAGAATGTCCCTTCTGAAAAATCCTAGCTAGGTGAAAATAGTCGAAGTCAGTCAAAAAATAGTAAAAAAAAAAAAAAAAAAAAAAATACAAGCTAGATGAAAATAGCTACATGAAAATTACTATCGTGCAGTAACTTTTTTGTCTTTAGACTCTGGTTTGAGCTATTAAAGGTTGAACAAAGTGAAACATGCATGAAATAACCGAAAAGGAAGATGAGGCAAAATTAATATAAGTAGAGTTTATCTGGGCCAAGTTTGAGGATTGCAATTGTAGATTCAAGTTGCCCTGGGTATACTCAGATCAGTAGAAGCTACAAGTGAATTTTTAAAGGAAAGAGGCAGTTGCTGGGTTGTTTATCAAGAATTTACTGTAAGGCCAGGCGTGATGGCCCACACCTGTAATCCCAGCAGTTTGCCAGGCTGAGGTGCGAGGACCACTTAAGCTCAGGACCAACCTGGCCACATGGTGAAACCTCATCTCTACAGAAGGAAGGAAGGAAGGGAAGGAGGGAGGGAGGGAAGGAAAGAAAAAGAAAGACAGGCAATCAACAAAAGAAATAAGTAAAATGCTTATAGTATGGAGAAAAGTAAAACAGGAAAAAGGAATGGGAGGGTGCCCAGGTATGGAGGGGGTTACAATTTTAAATAGAATCGTTAGGGAAGACCTCTCTAATGATGTGCCATTTGTGTAAAGACTTGAAGAGGCAAGGGAGTAAACTGAGTATATATGGGAGAAGAGAAGTTTAGGCAGAGTAAACAAGTGAAAAGATCCTGAGCTGGGAGTGTACCCAAAATGTTTAAGAAATATCACTGTGTTCAGTACTTTCTTATGACTGTGTGACATCAGTATGCAGGAGACCTAAATGTTTTTATTTATTTATTTATTTATTTATTTATTTTTTGAGACAGAGTCTCGCTCTGTAGCCCAGGCTGGAGTGCAATGGCGCTATCTTGGCTCACTGCAACCTCAGCCTCCTGGGTTCAAGAGATTCTCATGCCTCAGCCTCCCAAGTAGCTGGGATTACAGGCGCCTGCCACCACACCTGGGTAATTTTTGTATTTTTAGTAGAGGTGGGATTTCACCATGTTGGCCAAGCGAAACTCTCAAACTCCTGATCTCAGGTGACCTACTCGCCTTGGCCTCCCAAAGTGCTGGGATTACAGGCATGAGCCACCTTGCCTGGCCGATGTTTTTAAATGTTGACTCTGCTGTAACTTGCCACATAACACCAAAGGGGAAATCCCAATGACTTTAGCACCTCCTGTTTAAAATAAAATGTGTGCCATAGTTGAACAGTTAAAGAGAAAGCTTCCCTGAGTATTTCAGCTATGCCACAGTCTAAAAGAGAAGTTCGAGAATTGGTTATTCTCTATTCACCCCAGTGGAAAAATGTACCTACCTTTCCTCTAGCTTCAGTGTCCTGGGATTAGTCAGCTGTCAGTGAAGATCAATGTATTGTTAGACAGCAGGGTTAGTAAATTACTCTAGGCTGCACTAAATATGTGACTTTCACATAGCAAAATGCCTTTTGTTTCTAAGCCGTCTCCCATTGCTGCCTGATGCCACGTGTTAGATAATTCCATATGTTTAGGTCTGTATTTGAGCAACCTGCTCTGTTCTCTTGGTCTCTGGTATCTGTTCTTATACCCTTCCCACACTGCTTTCTATTACTCAGCTCTGCAATATGTCTTCATATCTTATAAAACAAGTTCCTCCTCTTTACTCTTCTTTTTCAATACTGACTTAGCTATTTGTGGATATTTAATCTTTCATGTATACTTTAGGACAAATTTTTTGCTCTTCAAAAAATCCAATCCAATCCAATCCAAAAAATTCATTAAGATTGAATTCACTCGATTGATTTGAGGAGAAATGACATATTAATTTATCCTCTTGTAATATAGAACTGCTAATTCAGATTGTCTTTTATGACGATCTTTAACATTTCACAATTTTCTCCATAGATATCTTGTACATTCGTAACCAAGAATTCCTAGATACATTATGGGTTTTTTCCCATTATGAATGGTAAATTATTTTATACCATTACATAAAATATTATTGATTTTTAAGTTAAATAAACAAAAACAAAGAAATAAAAGACAACCAGATTAGAAACAAACAAAGAGCCAGGCGCAGTGGCTCACACCTGTAATCCCAGTGCTTTGGGAGGCTGAGGAGGGTGGATCACCTGAGGTTAGGAGTTCGAGACCAGCCTGGCCAACATGGTGAAACCCTGTCTCTACTAAAAATACAAAAATTAGCCAGGCTTGGTGGTGCACACCTGGAGTCCAAGCTACTCGGGAGGCTAAGGCAGGAGAATCGCTTGAACCTGGGAGGTGGTGGTTGCAGTGATGCTAGATAGTGCCAGTGCACTCCAGCCTGGGTGACAGAGAGACACTCCATCTCAAAAATGAATAAATAAATGAATTAATTAAATAAACATAATACATTGGCCCTATCACCCAGCAATTCCAGTCCTAGGTATTCACTCAGGAAGAGTGAAAGTGAATGTCCAGGTGGTGGCTTGGACGTGGATATTTCCAGCAGCATTTTTCAAAATAACTGATAAATGAAATTAACTCAAATCTCCATCAACAAGTGAATGGATAACCAGAATGTGATGTATCCCTGTAATGGCATAATACTCCTCAATATATAATAATAAGCCTTTTTTTTTTTTTTCCAGAAACAAAACCTCATTCTGTCACACAGGCTGGAATGCAATGGCAGGATGGTGGCTGCCTTGACCTCTGGGACTCAGGTGATCCTCCCACCTCAGCCACTCAAGTAGCTGGGACTACAGGTACATGCCACCATGTCCAGCTAATTTTTGTATTTTTTGTAGAGACAGGGTTTCACCATGTTGCCCAGGGTGGTCTTGCACTCCTGAGCTCAAATGATCCACCTGGCCCAGCCTCCCAAAGTGCTAGGATTACAGGTGTGAGCTACCGTGCCCAGTCAATAATAAACTATTGATACATGCAATAGTATGGATGAATTTGGAAAAATCTTGAGTGAAAGAAGCCAGATGCAAAAGAAGACATACTCTAATTCCACTTATATGAAGTTCAAGAATAGGCCAAACTAATCTATGATAATAGAAATTCACAATAGTGACTGCTTCAGCTTGGGATTAGGGGTTGAGGATTAACTTGAATGGTACACAAGGGAAGTTTCCAGGTCCTGGAAATATTCTATGTGTTAATTGGGATAGTGATTATGTGATGTATATATTTATCAAAACACATTGAATTATGCATGTAAGATCTACGCATTTCACTCTATGTAACCTTGCTTTTGATGAAAAAGAAATTAAAATTTTGAAGACAAAAAATTGGTTTTTAATTTCTTTCTTTTTCTTTTTCTTCTTCTTCTTTTTTTTTTTTTTTTTTTGAGATGGAGTCTTGCTCTGTTGCCCAGGCTGGAGTGCAGTGGCACAATCTCGGCTCACTGCAACCTCCTCCTCCCAGGTTCAAGCTATTCTCCCACCTCAGCCTCCCAAGTAACTGGGATTACAGGTGTGCACCACCATGCCCAGCTAATTTTTGTATTTTTAGTAGATACAGGGTTTCACCATGTTGGCCAGGCTGGTCTCAAACTCCTGATGGTTTTTAATTTCTAAACATTCTTTTTTTATTAATCCCCAGAACATTCTGGATAATTTCTAAACTTTCTTGTAAATTTTAATAGTTTTATTATTCTGTTGCTTTTTTTCTAAAATTATCAAATTCTGCAAATAATCAGTTTTAGCCCTGCCCTTCCTTATACCCCTTATATCTCTTTCTTTTCTTATTGCATTGGCCAGGAGTCTTTGTAATATATTAATAGTAATGGTGCTGTGCTGATTTCATGGGAAATGTGTATAAAGCTTTTCTATTTAGTTTAATGGTTTCTGCAAGTTACAAAGTCTTTTCCTTCAGTCATTTAAAAACATTATTTTCTTCCTGTATCCTATGTTTATTTGAAAAGTGTAATGTTGATATGATTCTTGCTCGTCTATGGATAATCTGTTCTTTCTCTCTGGAGTCTGCAAATTTTCTTTTTGTCATTGATGTTCTTAAATTTCATTGTAATAGATCTAGGTGAGGATTCTCCTTTTTTTCTATAATAAAAAACATAATTTTTTGTATTTTTAGTAGAGATGGGGTTTCACCATGTTGGCTAGGCTGGTCTTGAACTCCTGACCTCAGGTGATCCACCTGCCTTGGCATCCCAAAGTGCTGGGATTACAGGCGTGAACCACCATGCCGGCAACCTCATTTTAATTTAATCACTTCTTTAAAGACCTAATCTCCTGCCAACTGAAGAATGACAAGGTTCATAAGTATAGAAAAGAGAGCTTTATTTCTCATAAAGGGTTGGGGTTATGCATCCTTGCAGGCTGCCATTCTGATAGGCTGGGAAGTGTAGCCTCCAGCCAGAAGCCAGAAATAGGCACCTTAAGGGAAGGAAGCATAAGACAGGAATGTATGCTGAGCATAGTGGCCAAATATACATATTTAATAAGTAATAGGAGGAATCATTAATGTTTATGAAAGGAGAAGCATGCATGTGCACTTGAGCTTCATACCTCTTCATGGGTCACATGTACACAAATGGCAGCATTAGCATAATCTGAGTGTGGAGTTTTCAGCCTTCTGACATCAGAAGGTGAAGCAGAGGACCGAAAATCCTCTGTGCATTCTCTATAGACTGGCCAGAGCATCTCCATCATCAACGGTCTCTGATAAGGAAGGTATGCATTGTGAAACTGGCGAGCTGTCATGTCGAAACTGTAAAGAGGGAAGGGAAGTCTCGTCATGGCCTCAGACAATTGGCTAATAGTGATAATAGAGTAAGTCATCGGCTCTTGTCTTCCACAGCTGATTCCTGTTTACTTCTTAGGAAAGATTCTGGTTAAAGGTTAATAAGGAAGGGGCAGACTGAGGCATGTCTGACCTCCTGTCCTGAGATGACCTGGAACTCTGTTTTAAGGTTTCTCTGGGGTCTTCTTGGCTGGAATGGGGTCCATTCAGAAGTTTGGGGGGTTTAGGAATTTTTTTTTATTTTTATTTTATTTTTTTTTGAGACAGAGCCTCACTTTGTCACCCAGGCTGGAGTGCAGTTGCACAATCTTGGCTCACAGCAACCTTCACCTCCCGGGTTCAAACAATTCTCCTGCCTCTGCCTCCTGAGTAGCTGGGATTACAGGTGTGTACCACCAAGCCTAGGTAATTTTTTTTGTATTTTTAGTAGAGGTAGGTTTGGCCATGTTGCCCAGGCTGGTCTCAAATGCCTGACCTCAGGTGATCCGCCTGCCTTGGCCTCCGAAAGTGCTAAGATCACAGGTGTGAGCTGCCACACGTGGCCTTAGGGGATTTAGGATTTTATTTTTATTTCTCACTCTAAATATGGGTACATTCTGAGGTACTGGGGGTTAGGTCTTCAACACATAAATTTAGGGGGACACAACTCACCCCATTACATTTGGCATTTACATTCTATTGCAGAGCTATCATTTCACATTTGATTTAGTTTATTTCTCATGTTTTGGCTTATTACCTCGCTGGCTTAGTTTCAACAGCCCCTTATCATAACTTCTCATAGCTTCTGTGGTTCACTATCATAAATCCCTTGCCAACATCCCAACCTTTTTCCCTGTGAAAACCCGCCATGATCATAAATCTATTTTCCTTCTTCATGCTTTCTCTGAGTTCTGAGAGAGGCCTTAGAGATCATACAATGGCCAGATCAGTGATGTGAAGAATTAATGACCACCTGCTCCACCTGGGTGCTAATCCTCCTTGGCAGCCGTCATATTTCTCTCCTTGTCTTGTCTTCCCTCTCTCCACAACTTCTGCAGCAAACCTTCTTTGCTCTCACCTCCAACCTTCCATCTCCTTTCCCATGTACTCTCACCAGACAACCTTGCCTCCTGCTTCACAAAGAAAACAGTTTTAGCTTTTTACTGCCAAGTCTACATGCTCACATCTGGTCGTGTCTTTGTTTATTATGTTGATTTTTGTTCATCATACATTTCTTACATTAATTTTGATGTACTAAGAGATTGATGCCTGTAATCCTAGCACTTTGGGAGGCCGAGGCGGGAGGATCGCTAAAGGCCAGGGGTTTCGGACCAGCCTGGCCAAGATGGCGAAATTCCTTCTCTACTAAAAATACAAAAATTAGCTGGCATGGTGGAGCATGCTTGTAATCCCAGCTACTTGGGAGACTGAGGCACAAGAATCGCTTGAACCTGGGAGGCAGACGTTGCAGTGAGCTGAGATCGCACCCCTGCACTCCAGCCTGGGCGACAGAGCAAGATGCTGTCTCAAAAAAAAAATTACACTAAAGTGTTTATCTTAATTACTGATTTTGGGGGGATGCCTCCTTAAATTTTGTGCCTAAAGTGAGTGCCTCCGACGCCTCACCTGAGTCCTAGCCCCGCCCCACCTGAGTCCTAGCCCCGCCCCTTTCAGCCACTCCTCCCTCCCACCTTCATTTTCTGGTTTGATACCACCACTCGCTCCCTCAATTCCCCTCCTCTCCTACCTTCCCAGCAATCTTGAATTTTGTATTATCCAATCTCTGTTCTGTATCTTCAGTGTTTTCCTCATCAGTAGACCTTTCCCTTTGGCATTTAAATGAGCTTGACTCAAAATTTTCCAACTTAAATAGCCCTCCAGCCAAACAAAACACCTCCTTCAACCTCAGAATTCCTATGGCTGCCGCACTATCTTTTCTCCCGCCCCCTTTGGTGCTAAACTTCTTGAAAGAATTGTCGCTTTTTTCACACATCTACCCACTATTCAACCTACCCTAATTTCTCTTCCACCCCCATGGTCCACTGACATCTACTTCTCCACTGAGGTCACTAGTTATCCCCGTGTGGTTGAACCCAGTAGCCTTTTATCAAAGCTCATCTGACTTGATCCTTCAACAGCATCCAGCGTTGCTAACTTTCTTTGTTTGTTTTTGTTTTTTGAGACGGAGTCTTGCTCTGTCGCCCAGGCTGGAGTGCAGTGGCGCTATCTCGGCTCACTGCAAGCTCCGCCTCCCGGGTTCACGCTATTCTCCTGCCTCAGCCTCCCAAGTAGCTCGGACTACAGGCGCCCACCACCACGCCTGGCTAATTTTTTGTATTTTTTAGTAGAGACGGGGTTTCACCTAGTTAGCCAGGATGGTCTCCATCTCCTGACCTCGTGAACCGCCCACCTCAGCCTCCCAAAGTGCTTGGGTTACAGGCGTGAGCCACCACGCCCGGCTGACTATTCTTTATTTACTGCAACACTCTTTTCCTTTGGTCTCCATGACAGCACACTCGCCTGCTTCCTTCCTTTTTCTCTGGCCATTTCTTCTCAATCTCCCTGATCAGTTCCCCCTCTTATATCCAATCATTTAATTCCGGAATTCCTTCAGGACTTGGATCTTAGGCCCTGTTCATAACTTTTATATTCTTTTCAAAGTATAGATTCTTGCTCTAGGTATTCTATGCATTCATCTAGCTTTATTTACCATCCAGTAGCCAATGACTCCAAAACCTGTTTCTACCCACGATCTTAACTCAGAGCACCAGAGCCACATAACGACTTGCCTATTCACAAACACCACAAACTTGACATATCCAAGGTGAAATCATCATCTTCCTCCCCAAACCAGCCACTTCTCTAGTGTTTCTGTTTTTCTTTTTTCTTTTTGTTTTTTTTTGTTTGTTTGTTTGAGGCAGGATGTCCCTCTGTCGCCCAGGCTGGAAGTGCAGTAGCGCAATGATTGCTCAAGTGACCCTCCTACCTCAGCCTCCCGACTAGCTGGGACTACAACCGCTCACCACCACACCCGGCTGATTTTTGTATTTTTTAGTAGAGGCAGGGTTTTGCCATATTGCCCAGGCTGGTCTCCAGCTCCTGGACTGAAGCAATCCTCCCACTTCGATCTCCCAAGGTATTGGGATTACAGGCGTGAACCACCATGCCCAGAATGGTGTTTCTTTTCTCAGTAAATAGCTCTACAATCCACGCAGTTGATTGGGCCAAAAATATGGGCATCACTTTTGACTTTTTTAAATCTTTTCCTTCCTTAATGCCTTCAGGATGATCTGGGTTATATTTTTGTCTCCTGATTTAGCACAAACTACCTTTTTTCTCTTTCCATTCTTCTTTTAGTACCTCCACACACCATGCCGGTTCCCATTTCAGAACTTTTGTTAGCTAATTTCATTCATTGTTTAGGTCAGAGATTCAATTTCCCTTCCTCCAGGATTTTCCCCCCAAACTCCCAGATTTTGTTACATCTCACCCTTTGTGGAATCTGCCTCCTTTCTTGGCATGTTTTCTTTTTTTTAGGATAAAGATTTGAAAAAAAGAAGAAAAGACCAGTGGCAATGGTTCACACCTGTAATCCCAGCACTTTGGGAGGCTGAGGCGAGAGGATAACTTGAAGCCAAGAGTTTGAGACCAGCCCGGACATCATAGTGAGACTCCATCTCTACAAAAAATAAAGAGGAAAAAATACAATTAAAATTTGATTGGGAATAAAATAGGCCTTAAATATATGTGGCTTCAGTGAGGTAGAAGTTAACATATTTCTCTCTGAGGTTAATAGAAAGATGTCGAGGACTTAGGGCTTTTCTGTCTTGTAGCTTTATCATTCCTAGTATGCTGTCCTCATTCCCATGTTCCAGACACCTCCCCATTTCACACACCGTTCAGCCAATGGAAAGACAGAAACAGTAAAAGGGAGGCTATGTATTTCTCTATAACTTCTTCTCACATCCTGAAGTCATGCATATTAATTCTGCTTATATCTTGCCCTTTGGTACTTAGTTATAGGACCACACATTAGTTGCAAAATTAGACTGGTGAAAATGTTGTCTTGTTTCTGTGGACAATTACTTATGAACAATTGAAAGTCTATCACTATTGAAGAAGGGAAGATCAAATATTAGGACCACTAACAGTCTCTGCCACAATTCTGGTGACCCCACATATCCACACATACTGTTTTTCCTACACATAAAACATACTTGCCCTTTCCCTAATGGAGGCAACCCCCAAGTCTCATTCTAAGCATTACACGATTGTTTAAGAACATTTGTGTGACCTGGTACAAATCATGCCCTATCTAATCTTGATCACAAAAACAAACAGGATCCTCTGCTCTAATCACAGCACCAGAATGTGTAGCCTTGCTGACAAGCACAACCCGCTGATAGGAAGGTATACACATATCCAGACCCTTTCATTAAGAATATCATCCACCAAGGCCTGGCGTGGTGGCTCACGCTTGTAATCCTAGCACTTTGGGAGGCTGAGGTGGGCGGATCACCTGAGGTCAGGAGCTCAAGACCAGTCTGACCAACAAGGTGAAACTCCGTTTCTATTAAAAATACAAAAATTAGCTAACGTGGTGGTGCATGCCTATAATTCCAGCTACTTGAGAGACTGAGGCAGGAGAATCAGTTGAACCCAGGAGGTGAAGATTGCAGTGAGCCGAGATTACGCCACTGCACTCCAGCCTGGGTGACAGAATGAGACTCTGTCTCAAAAAAAAAAAAAAAAAAAAAAAAAAAATTCACCAAAAAAAAGAAAAGAAAAAGAAAGAAAACCAAAATGAAACAAAAAAAGAAAAGAAAAAAAAAAAACAGAAAAAAGAAAAGAAAAAACAAAAATAAAAACTTAAAAAATATGTCATCCATCAAAGTTCATTTTGCACATATTTATGTGTCTTTGTTTAAATAAACATGCTTAAGCCTGTATGTTAAAAATTTCAGATTTGTTTTGAAATTGAGTGGAAGAAACTCAATTTTTTTTGGCATAAAAAAGAAAATGGACTTTCTAGTATGAAGAATTCCAGATTTTTTTTTACCATTTGAATTATAAATGATTAATTTGAGGCTTATCATAATTTGACTCACTCAGACTGAGAAATAAGCAAGGTAAAGCAGGCCGGCGTGGTGGCTCATGCCTGTAATCCCAGTACTTTGGGAAGCCGAGGTGGGTGGATCACCTGAGGTCCAGAATTTGAGGAAAGCCTGGCCAACATAGTGAAACCCTGTCTCTACTAAAAACACAAAAATTAGCCAGGTGTGGTGAGACGTGCCTGTATATGGGAGGCTGAGGAAGGAGAATTGCTGAAACCCAGGAGACGGAGGTTGCAGTGAGCTGAGATTGCGCCACTGCACTCCAGCCTGGGCGGCCTGGGCAACCTGGGCGACCTGACCCACAGAGCCAGACTCCATCTCAAAGAAAACAAAAAAAAAAGCAAGCAAGCATTAGAAATAGATTAATTTAAAAATACGTGCAATTTCTATTTGTATGTTTGTTCAGCTTCCTAACGTCTTCTGTTGTCTCAGAAACTCATAAAGTTGTTTTGGAAAAAATTATACAATTTTTCTGATTGCAAAAGTCATGCATGTTCAATTGAGAAAATTAAGAAAATGAGGGATGTCTTCCATCAAGCTTTTTAATAGCAACAGAACCAGATATCAGGCTGTAAAATAAGTTAGTTTCTTCAAATGCCACCAGAGGGTACTCAAACGAAACATTGCTCTATCTGGAGTGCAAGAAACAGGCTTCTATGCTGTTGAAGGAGCTCACCGGCTTTCAGTTTTAGTTTAGTTTGACAACTGATAAGGAGGAATTAAAAATTCCTAGTCAGTATAACATGTATTTGAATAAATGTCCAATTTTTGAAAAGGTTCAGCAGTATCCTTTTTGGAACCTAATTACACATTCCTGTAGATAGCAAACATTTATCAAATACATATTGGTATTATGATGGGTGCCATGGATAAAATTAGAGTAAAACTTGATTCTGACATTTCAGGATTCATATTTTCTCTGGGGGAAGAGGCATATGTAAACAAATGGATTAGAATCCAATGTGTTGTGCACCACACTAAAAATCTTTTGAAGGACAGGATTAATTCTGCTAAAGGCAGATGAATCAAAAGAATGCTTCCCAGAGGAACTGGACCTTACAGAAGTAGGCAGTTTTGGACTTCCAGGCTAATGTAGTGAATTGAACATATCCCTTTAATTTTTCTCTCTCTTGAACCCCATAAAAATAGGAGTTGTTTTGTTTTGAGACCTAAACCCACAAGGACTAGAAGAATAGGAGAGGAGACAACAGCTATGACATTTTAGAAGCTGCAAAACCAGTGGATCAGTGCAAAGTGATTTAACAAACTTGTTTCTCATAACAATATGAGAAAACAAAATCCCAAGCTGCCAGGGGGAAAGCTGAGAACAAACCACACTTATACCGCAAAATCTTCAAAGGTTGTTAACAACAATTTACTGTATATTTCGAAATATCTAACAGTGAAATTGAAATGTTCCTAACACAAAGAAATGACAGATCCTTCAGGTGATGGGTATCCCAGTTATCCTGATTGGATCATTACACATTGTATCCTTGTAACAAAATATGACATATACCCAATAAATGTGTACAACTCTTATATGTCCATAATAAAACAGGAGATCTAACACAGGACAGAGGCAGAGAGAATCCCCAAGATGATGGAGGAAGATCGCAGCATGACAGCTGTGCTCCAGGGGACAGTTGTGAGGATCGGAGCAGCGCAATTCAAGAGACAGGCACGTTGAATGCTGTTACCACCAAGATGTTGAATGCTATTGCATACTCTATTTAACAGGTGAACAGAAAGTCCAGTGAATCTAGTCAGATTTTGATGTGTGATTACTTTGCCTTTTTTTTTTTTTTTTTGAGACGGAGTCTTCCTGTCACTCAGGCTGGACTGCAGTGGCACAATCTCGGCTCACTGCAACCTCCACCTCCCAGGTTCAAGCGATCCTTGTGCCTCAGCCTCCTGTGTAGCTGGGATTACAGGTGTGCATACCCATACCTGGCTAATTTTTGTATTTTCAGTAGAGATGAGATTTCTGTGTTGGCCACGCTGGTCTCGAAATCCTGGCCTCCAGTGATCTCCCACCTTGGCCTCCCAAAGTTTTGGGATTGCAGGCACAAGCTACCACACCCAGCTGCTTACTTTCTCTTGATCAAAACTTGAGGAAGTTCCACTTTCCCCTCCAAGTCCTGCTGCTATATCAGTTGAAGATACTCATTCACCCCACAGAAGTATTGTGCTTTGAATTATGCAAGAGCTGGAGATAAAACGTGGTAAGCTAAGAAAGAGAAAACACACTGTAACTCACTGTGTCTAACCATATATCTTTCTTTTTTTTTTTTTTTTTGAGACGGAGTCTCACTCTGTCACCCAGGCTGGAGTGCAGTGACATGATCTCGGCTCACTGCAACCTCCAACTCCCGGGTTCAAGCGATTCTCCTGACTCAGCCTCCTGAGTAGCTGGGATTACAGGTGCACACCACCACGCCCAGCTAATTTTTGTGTTTTTAGTAGAGATGGGGTTTCACCATGTTGGCCAGGCTGGTCTCGATCTCCTGACCTTGTGATCCACCTGCCTCGGACTCACAAAGTGCTGGGATTACAGGCGTAAGCCATTGTGCCGGGCCTATATGTCTTCTTGATATTTGGTAATCCACGCCATAGTTCTGTCTGATGCCCTTACATGCCTACATTTCCTAGGACACACATACAGCTTTGCCCACCAATTTCCAAAGGTTTCCCATCAGCAATCAAGCAAGATGGAGCCAGGCTGTGACTTAGAGACTGTTCAGATTACCTGGGAGACTTCATCAAATAGAGACGATTTTGTCCCTCCTCATACAGCTAAGTTTGTGTTTGCATCTTAATTTTCAAAACTAAACAATATGATAGCTAGGCGCATATCCCTACATGAAAAATAGATTTTGAAAAGGCAATAAAAAAGAGACAAGTGGGGGCTCCTAATGCACTAAGTTCTATTTCTCAGTGGGGATGATAGATGCAAAAAGCATTTCATTAATAGTAGTATGTTACTTATATGTTGTTAAAAGTTCATTTGTGTATATAATACATTTTACCATTTGTAAAAGTACAGAAGAGAAAAACATTATTTGCAAAAAATTATAAGCCTCTATTTTGCTCTAAATAATATAATTATAAACTTGAATGTTTTATTAAACTATGGCAAAATATAATAATGAGGAGGAAGTTTCCAGGCAGAGGAGGCGGGGGTATACTTCAGGAAATTCGCAGAAAGGGGAGGAGGCTTGAAGGTACCTGCCATGGTACTCGTGGGACCAATAATCAAAGATGCAATGGAAGGCAATAGCCTGTTCCCAGAAAACATTCCTAGTGCGAGAGCAAGCAAGATTAATGGCACGTCTTGGCAAATTTTTGAATTAAAATGATAAAAGATTACAGAATTATCCAGGTGTAAAAATACTAGAACTCTTTTTTCTTTTCTTTTCTTTTTTTTTTTTTTTTGACACAAGGTCCCACTCTGTCACCCAGGCTGGAGTGCAGTGGCACAATCACAACTCACTGCAGCCTCAACCTCTCAGGGCCAAGCGATCCTCCCACCTCGGCCTCCTGAGTAGTTGGGACTACAGGTGTGTGCCACAAGCCCGGCTAATTTCTGTAATTTTTTAGAGATGGGGTTTCATCATGTTGCCCAGGCTGGTCTCAAGCTCCTGGGCTCAAGTGATCTGCCTGCCTCGGCCTTTCAAAATCCTGGGATTACAGACATAGCCATCACACCCAGCAAAAACTAGAACTCTTAAAACAGCAAAAATTAGATAGGCCTCAAATTTATCTGAAATACTAAATTCCAGAAGCCAATAAACAACATTTACAACATTTTGAGGGAAAAAGTTTACACTCTAAGAATTTTATTGTCAACCAAGGTATCTGTCGTTTGTGAGGTAAACAAAAATTCTTAGCTATGCAAGGGCCCATTAAAAAATGTTTGAATAAGTACTCTAGGCAATTGAAAATTATTACATTTAAAATGGAGATTTCATGATGGAATTTTGTAGGGTTTTATTGAAGGCATTTCTTTGGTCATTGTCAAAATCACAAAGCTCAATATTATAGAAACCATATGACAATAGCCCTTAAATTTTAGTGTGTGTGAGAATCCCGAGGAACTCCATAATAATGTAGATTCCTGGGGTCCTTATTTCAGGATTTGACTTTATAGATCTGGGTAGCCTCAGAATCTTCATTTGTACCTCACATTGCAGGGATTCTGAGTAGGTATTAAGAATAACCATATTTTAATGGAAATAGGACAAGATTAAACTGCTAAGTTTCAGTCTTAGTGACAAAACCACTGATATTAAGAAAAGAAAGGGAAATTTCAAGAATATTTAAATTCTGTAATCAGAAGAAGCACTGTGCATCTAAAACATGATGATATTTTCAACTTACGATGGATGTGTGAGGTCATAACCCCACAGTAAGTTGAGGAGTATCTGTACCTTATCAAATGCCAGCACACAGGCTGGAGCATTCATTACCCATTCCTGTCTGAATCAACTATCATTATGGTACTCCTTAAACAATGACTTTAACTTTTTTTTTTTTTTTTTTTTTTTGACACAGAGTCTCACTTTGTTGTCCAGGCTGGAGTGCAATGGCACAATCTCGGCTCACTGCAACCTCCACCTCCCGGGTCCAAGTGATTCTCCTGTCTCAGCCTCCAGAGTAGCAGGATTACAGGCACCTGCCACCAAGCCCAGTTAATTTTTGTATTTTTAGTAGATATGGGGTTTCACCATGTTGGCCAGGCTGGTCTCAAACTCCTGACCTCAGGTGATCCACCTGCCTCAGCCTCCCAAAATGCTGGTATTAGAAGCGTGAGCCACCACGCCCAGCCTTAAATGATGATTTTTTCTATTTCCATAATTCCTTCTGTAGTTGACATTCTACTACAAAGAGATGCTTTCCTATTTAATTTACATATATATATATATATATGTCAGTATGGACTCATGGCTTCCTATTTTATTTGAGGAAATGTAATCCATTTCTATCATTTTTTTAGGGGAGGGGGATGACACAGATTAACCTAGATTTGGCCAAGGGAGTTTCTTCAAGCTGCTTCCTATGTCCTTTTGACATGTTCCCATTATTTTTTTTTTTTTAGCATTTTCTTACATTCTTGTGCAACAAACTGTTTCAAGCTCATTCTGTCTTTCCCTTGTCCTGGCCCAGGAATTTGCCAGTTCTCTAAGGAGTCCTGGGTCTTTTATTGAAAAAATTTTTTTTTTTTTGAGGTGGAGTCTCACTCTGTCACCCGGGTTGGAGTGCAGTGGCACAATCTTGGCTCACTGCAACCTCAGCCTCCTGGATTCAAGCGATTCTCCTGCCTGTGCCTCCCCAGTAGCTGGGATTACAGGTGTGTGCCACCACTCTTGGCTAATTTTTTAAAAAATTTTTAATAGAGTCAGGGTTTTGCCATGTTGGGTTGGCCAGTCTGGTCTTGAACTCCCGACTTCAAATGATCCACCCGCCTCGGCCTCCCAAAGTGCTGGGATTTCAGGCGTGAGCCACTGCGCCTGGCCTAGTGAAGAATATACTCATTGCTACAGTAGGGTCATTGCTTCTGAGACCTCTCATTAACGGAGATGGAAGACACACACATACACATACTCTATATAAATATTTCCATCTTTATGTATCTTTGCCTATATAAATATGAGTTCACACTGATATCATCAGTTTCAACCCCACACCTCAAGGTTTTTCTCAGCCTTTTATATTTGTAATCTCTTCCTCCACAGTAAAATATCTGCCTTTAATTTTTCCCAATGTAGTTATTTACTTGCATATTTCAATATTCCTATCATTTTATCTCAGTCTCCACGGTCTCTGCTGTCTCCTTGCACAGCCATCTTATTTCCGTTTAAATCTCTGCAGGATCTATGACTTGTTATGTTTATTGAGAGGAAATAACCTTCTCAAAATAATCCAGAGGATGCTCACCTGCTAAAAATTTAGCTCTCCACTGGGAGTGGTAGATGTAATGCCTGTAATCCCAGCCTTTGGGAGGCTCATGCCTGTAATCCCAGCACTTTGGGAGGCCAAGGCAGGTGGATCACTTGAGGCCACGAGTTCGAGACCAGCCTGGCCAATATGATGAAACCCCACCTCTACTAAAAAATTACAAAATTTATCCAGGTGTGGTGGCATACTACAGTAATCCCAGCTACTTGGGACGCTGAGACATGAGAATCACTTTAGCCCGTGATAAGGAGGTTGCAGTGAGCCAAGATCATGCCCCTGCACTCCAGCCTGGGGGACAGAGTGAGACTGTCTCAAAAAAAATAAATAAATAAATAAATAAAAACTTAGCTCTCATTTAACCTCCTAGAGATGTGACTTTCAGCTACAAAATGTGTGATCACACTATTATAAAACATTGAATTAATTTTTCATTCTACAAAATATGTTCATTGAAAAAAATTGGAATTTGTTTACTGACATAAATGAACTCACCAGACTTGTGTTCAGCAATTGTTCATTATATGATTATGTAGAATATTTTATTAGTCAGAAAACACCGGGCTCTCTGGTGTTTTGCTTTCTCTTTCAGCCTGCTCAGTGTAAAATGTATTTTTAGCAGATCCAAACACAAACACAATAGGAAAACTGGTTATATGATACACTTATTAAGTGCTTTCATGATAAAGAAATAATATTATTGCAATTTTAACACCCGTTTGCTGATCAGATCCTTAAAACAGTTCTGTGAGGGTGTGAACGGTGAGGGACGCCTGTAATCCTAGCACTTTGGGGGCCAAGGTGCAAGGATTGCTTGAGGCCAGGAGTTCAAGACCAGTAAGGGCAGCATAGCAAGACCCCATCTCTACAAAAAATTAAACAATTAGTCAAGTGTGGTGGCAGCACCTGTAGTCCCAGCTAACCAGGAGGCTGAGGTGGGAGGATCCCTTTAGCCCAGGAAGTTGAAGCTGCAGTGAGCTATGATCGCACCACTGCACTCCAGCATGTGTGACAAAGCAAGTCCCTGTCTCTAAAAACAGCATACAAAACAAAAACAGTTCTGTGAGTTGTCACGGCAGTTAGGTACTGTGGATCCCACTTTGTGGAATAAGAAAGTGAGGCTGCAAGGAATCCGTGACTATCAGTCCAGGCTTTTAAGAGCTGGGAATTGACTGGTCCAATTAGAACTACATTCCCTATTCCAATTCCATCAAACTTTTCAACTTTCAATAGAAAAGACAGTGCAAAGAAAGAGGCTGAATTTATACAACAACAACAAAAATTATGTCTCTCCCAGTCCATGAAAATATTTCAGGTTTAAAAAGCAATAAGCTGGCCAGGTGCCATGGCTCACACCTGTAATCCCAACACTTTGGGAAACCGAGACAGCTGGATCATTTGAGGTTAGGAGTTCCAGACTAGTCTGGCCAATATGGCAAAACCACATCTCTACTAAAAATACAAAAGTTAGCCAGGCATGGTGGTGCGTGCCTGTAGTCTCAGCTACTCAGGAGGCTGAGGCAGAAGGATTGATTGAGCCTGGGAGGTGGAGGTTGCAGTTAGCGGAGATCGTGCCACTGCATTCCAGCCTGGGTGACAGAGTGAAACTGTCTTGAAAAATAAAGTAAAATAAAATAAGCCTTTTTCTGTAAAAAGTCAGCCCTGGAGGAATGGTTCCAAGCGTGTGGACAGCACCACTCAGTTTCCCTACTATACCTGTGGAAGGAAATGATAGTTGCTGTATTTCTAAATAGGTTGACTATTAACATTGCTGCATTCTCCTTCCCAAGAAACACCATGGCCTGATACACTCACTGCGGCCCCATGTGGGGCAAAATTGCTGCCATCCATATCTTTTTTTTTTTTTTTTGAGACAGTATCTCACTCTGTCACCCAGGCTGGAGTGCAGTGGTGCAATCACAGCTCACCGCAGCCTCAATTTCCTGGGCTCAAGCGATCCTCCTACCTCAGGCTCTGGAGTAGCTGGGCATGAGCCACCACATCTGGCTGGTTTTTGCTTTGTTCTATTTTTGTTTGTTTTGTAGAGACGGGGGTCTCTCTATGTTGCTCAGGCTGGTCTCGAACTCCTGGCCTTAAACAATCCACCTGCCTCGACCTCACAAAGTGCTGGGATTACAAGCGTGAGCTATTGTGCCCAGCCTTGCCACCCATATCTTTGCTTCCTGTGGCTGAGTTTCAAAGCATCATGAACCTGAAATAAGAGGTCACAAGTTCACTGCTCGGCTTAAGCTGAATGGCAGCTAATCCATTCCAAATAGATGAAAATCTCTTCTACTCTGAAAGTAAGCTAGAAAAGATATCCCACAATATCAAATTCATTAAAGCTCTCTGTGAAAGAAGGATAATGGGTGATCCTTTTGTTTTGGTTCCACTTGCTTATTTCAAACTACCCACATGTTGTGTTTTCTGTTCACAATAGTTAACAATGGCTAACATTTATTGAGCACTGTTCTAAGTGCTCTTCACATATAAAAGATGTAAAAATGAGGCTCCTTCTTTCCCAGTTTGGCTGAGGCATGAGGATAATAGATACTAAATACCAAAGTGAGTTTTCACACAGACCACCCCAGAGGGCTTATAAAGTAGGATTTAGTCAAAAACTAGTTACACAATTTTGGACTACTTCCACTAAGTCAAATACAGTCCTGGCCCGGACACAGTGGCTCACGCCTGTAATCCCAGCACTTCGGGAGGCTGAGGGAGGCAGATCACCTGAGGTCAGGAGTTCAAGACCAGCCTGGCCAACATGGTGAAACCCTTTCTCTACTAAAAATACAAAAATCAGTCAGGCGTAGCGCATGCCTGTAATCCCAGCTACTCAGGAGGATGAGGCAGGAGAATTGCTTGAACCTGGGCGGCGGAGGCTGCAGTGAGCCAAGATCATGCCACTGCACTCCAGCCTGGGCAAAGGAGCGAGACTCCATCTCAAACAAACAAAAACAAAAAAGAAATACAGTCCTGCAGTGAATAATGACTTTTCAGTCAATGACACACTGCACATACGTTGATGGTCCCAAGAGATTATAATATTGTAGCTTTAGTATACCTTTTTTAATATTCAGATATACTTAGATATACAAATACTAATAGTATGGAAATTGCTCACAGTTTTCAGTGCAATCGCATGCTGTGCACGTTCATAGCCTGAGAGCAATAGGCTGTCCCACATGGCCTAGGTGTGTTGTAGGCTAGATCATCTATGTTTGTGTGCGTGCCCTCTATGATGTTCGCACAATGATGAGATCATGTAACAATGCATTTCTCAGAAGTATCCCTGTCATTAAGTGATACATGGCTATATATTAAAAAGTTGAAACTGAGGGAAAAAAATTGAAGAAACTGTGTCTAGAAAGAGGTGCTGTATGGGTCCTTTATCACATGCAGCAATGGGGACTGGTAGGGATGCCTCCTCTTCATGTCAGGTCAAGAGAGACTTTACTAGGACCGAGTAGAGCTTGGTTTGTGTCCCCTGGGAGGTGGAAGCACAGTAGACTACAGTCTGACTTGCATCCAGAGAATCTAGAGGTCAAGAGAGAAGGGCCGTCTGGAAAAGACATTAACAGGGTGAAGGAGAGTTCCTTCTGCACTGAGGTCAGCTTGCACTCCCAAAGTATGTCAGGACAAAAAATTCAAGTGTGGACCATGAGGGAGAGGAGGATGGCTTGGAGCTTGTTTAAACTCTGGTCAAGGGACGCCTGGAAGAACAGGGGTCTTCAACAGAGATTCTGTGCACGGTGGATAGCTACACACACACATGCATGCACGCACGCACACACACACACACACACACACACACACACACACACGCGGCTGAGAGAAAAGCAACCAGGAGCAAATACATTGCCCTCAACATGGGAAGCACAGTTGAAAGTCACGGTGAAATCTGAAGCACCAGGAAGAAAAGGTCACCTTTAACCATTTGCCAAACCCAGAAAGTGAGAACATAGCCTACAAGAGTGTCACTTAAGGTGAAGGTTTCTGGCCACACCCTAACCTTTTCTGTCCTAACCCAACCTAACCCACTTCAATTGATGAGAAACTATGGTTATCAAATTGGGACTGCAGGGGTAAGGTGACCATCTAGAAGAGAATCATACCCCCTAAACCTGGCTCCGTAGCAAAAGACCCCAGCTAGGGGGAACTTTCCCTAAAACTGGAAGCTTTTATTATTACATGGGATGTGACATTCTAAATCTAGAAATGAGAGTGTGTTTTGCAACTTAATGTGGTTGTAGAACTTTTTATTACCTAAGGATGGTCAGAAGCATTAGAGAACCACCTGATTTCACATTTAGGAGCAGGAAAAGAGTTTCTCCTGCTGAAGAAATTTTAAATAAACAATGAGAAACAAAATAAAGGTGGTTTCTTATCATGGCCCATGAATATTGCTTATACAACCTTTTGGTCATGTATGAATTATTGTATTTAATCCCCACAGAAACCCAGTGAGGTAGGTCCATTGTTATCTTCATTTCACAGATGAGGAAATAAAACACAGAGAACTTCAGCAACTTGCCTAAGGCCACACAGACAATAAATGGTAAAGCTGGGATTTGACTACAAGGCTTAAATGCATCATAATACAGTAAGAATATTTTAAAATATATTTCCTGTCTTTGTTCTAGGTTCCAGAGAATCTCCTCCCTACTCGATACTTGTTTTGTGATGCAAACGCCCCTATTTGCATGATCATAATAGTGTGAAATTAGGTGATTCTTTATTAACCTTAAAGCAACCAATCAACCATTAGCAGTGGATGCTCACAACAGCTCTGAGTGATACAGAGAACAGATACAATTATTATTATTCCCCTTATACAGAAAAGGGGGATTTCCCCTTTCAGGAAAACTGAACGCAGAGAGAGAATTAATTCAGGGGATGTTGACAAAGGTGTGGGGTATGCTAGAAGAGCAAAAGAGAGAAGAGGGGTGTTACCCAGAGGGTAGAAGCTGCAGCAGTCCCCGGGCTGGAGCTGCTGAATGTCTGGAGACGTCCCCACTGCTGGGGAGCGGAAGCCAATCCTGTGTCTCCGCTGGAGCCTCAGATGGTTCTCGGGCCCCCTGTTGTATACAGCCACTGGTACCGCTGCCGCTGGAGCCAGAAGTAGGATGGCTTCTCCCTGTCTCGCACCTGCTCATCTTCCCCTGGAGTTAGGGAACATAGGCAATGACACAAAGGAAGGCAGAGAAGGGTGGGAGTTTGGCAGAGAACCAGCAGACACTGTGGCTTGGAGGCAAATGGAGATTTGTTGATAACTAGAGTTAGGGGCAGTCAGGACTAGAAGCCAGGCGTGAAGTTCAGGAGGCCCCAAGGCCACTTTCACTTCAGATACTAACTGCAAGTTCAGGGATCCTCAAGACCACCCACAGATTTGACAATCTGTTGGAAGGACTCACAGAACTCACTGAAAGCTGTTATACTCACAGTTGTGGCTTATCACAGTGAAAGAATGCAAATTTAAATCAGCTGAGGGGGCGGGGCGTGGTGGCTCACACCTGTAATCCCAGCACTTTGGGAGGCCAAGGCAGGCAGATCACCTGAGGTCAGGAGTTCGAGACCAGCCTGGCCAAAATGGTGAAACTTCATCTCTACAAAAACACAAAAAAATTAGCCAGGTGTGCTGGTGGTGGCACATGCTTGTAATTCTAGCTACTTGGGAGGCTGAGGCAGGAGAATTGCTTGAACCTGGGAGGCAGAGGTTACAGTGAGCTGAGATTGCGCCACTGCACTCCAGCCTGGGCGACAAGAGTGAAACTCTGTCTCTAAATAAATAAATAAACTGAGGGAAGAGGCATATGGGGAAGAGTCCAGGAGAGCTCCACGTGCAAAGCTTCCAGTTGTTCTTTCCCAGTGGAGAACTAACTCAGCAGTGATGTGTGAGGATATGCATGAATTGCCACCCAGAGAAGCTCACCTGAGCCTCAATGTCCACAGTTTTTACTGGGGTTCTGTCACATCGACATGGTCAGTTTCCAGCCCTTCCGGAGGCTGAGCTGGAGCTGTGTGGCCCAAAGCCTGCATTATCGATTACATTGTTAGCATAGGTTATGGAGCTTGTTCCAAAGTCCTCAGGTAAACATTCTTATCAAGCAGGATATTCCAGTGGTTTAGAGATTATCTCCCAGGAGCTGAGGGCAAAGGCCAGACCCCTGTATGGGCAAAGTTAATCCTCTCCTGCATATGAGGTCTTCCCCCTCTCAACTTGGTGGTACTTTCAATGCTCTCAAGCTCCTTATTTGATCCTCAAAGCCGCATTATAGCATAGCCAAGGGATGCAAAAAGACAACTAAAAAAAATTCTATCAACTTTGCAGGGCATACAATATTAAGTAATTTCAAGTATAAAGTGTATTTTCAATTAGCATATGAGTTCACTTTTATATAATGTGTAGTAATATTTAAAATATATAGAAACATTTAGTTTTTTTCCCACTTAACAATTGATACATACTATTCATTTAAATCAGGTTGGGCACAGTGGCTTATGCCTGTAATCCCAGCACTTTGGGAGGCTGAGGCAGGTGGATCATTTGAGGTCGGGAGTTCAATACCAGCCTGGCCAACATGGCAAAACCCCATCTCTACTAAAAATACAAAAATTAGCCAAGCATGGTGGCACATGCCTGTAATCCCAGCTACTCAGGAGGCTGAGGCATGATCACTTGAACCCGGGAGGTGGAAGTTGCGGTGAGCCGAGATGGCGCCACTGCACTCCAGCTAACAGTGACAGTCCATCCAGAATAATTAATTAATTAATTAAGTAGCAAAAACATGCTTTATAAACAAATTAATTCAAGAAGAATATATATGATATTTAGCCTTAGGATCAAACATATATTAAAAACTGGTTTAAAATTTAAAATTGCATACTACTGTATAAACAGATTGCCTTTAGCACATTAAATAGGAAATTCACTTACTATAATTTCCATGTTTTGTTTCTAAGTTATCAATTCAGAGGAAATATTTCAAGCTTCTAAATACAGGTATTTCTGTGCAAACAACGTATTTCAGGTGCTAATGTTTACTTTTGATAAATAAGAAGTCAAATTAAATTTAATAGGCACCATATTTTCTCTCTTAATATATTTTGAAGTACAAGAAGTATTTTGTTGTGCTAAATTACACTTTTGTTGAGATGAATACAACATACAAACTGCAAATATCTCCTTGAAATAAATTTGCATAATTATTATCATTTTAATAATCCTCAGCAAGTTGTTGGATTTTGACATCTGTATGCTTCTTACCTTTAACGAATGATGTTGATATGAATTTTAAAACAAGAAAGTGAGAATAAAATAACTTTATATGTATGGTTGGAGTATTTTTTAAGCTTCTATAACAAAAATACCATAAAATGCATGGCTTAAAGATCATAAGGTTTATTTATCTCTTATTTAATGTCTGTCGGTGAGTGGTTTCATTGAGGGTGAGATCTGTTCCGCATGTATTCTGAGAGCCAGTTGTTCTGCCATCCCATGAGACAGAATGACTAGAAAAAAGAAACCATGTTGCTTCTTAAGTTTTTTGTGACAAGGTCCCCTTTGACAGTCTGGTGAAGCTTATGGACTATCTCAGAATAATTTTTTTCTTTTTATCATTATTATTATTATTTAATACAGATAAGGTCTTGCTATGTTGACCAGGCTGGTCTCAAACTCCTGGCCTCAAGTCATCCTCCCATGTCGGCCTCCCATAGTGCTTGGATTACAGGTGAGAGCCACCATGCCTAGCCTCAGAATAATTTTTTCAAAGATATAAAAGAAAATGTATAGGATTATAAAAGATAGCAATTATATTGAAATATATTCATCACAATGCTTATAAAGCAAATGTGTGAATTACTAATATATTTGCTTCTTTATTAATACATTAAATAGAAAGATCTAGTAGGGTCAAATTGTCTCGTATCACAATTTCAAACTGGTGAAGAGCACAAATAATATTTTGAGATATCTTCAGCTGAAATGTGAAATAAAAATACCTTTCTATTGGTCACAAAGTTACCTGTACTCTTAATACTGTGGTTACTTTCCTGTATTCATAATTGAAAAACACAATTTCAGTTAGAGTTAAATTGAAATGAAGACTTTTTTTCCCTGATTTAACTTCATTAACCCACATGGTTTATATCCCCAAATTCCTTGAGTATTCATAAAACCCTGATTAACAGCTCCTGGGCTGGGCACGGTGGCTCATGCCTGTAATCCCAGCACTTTGGAAGGCTGAGGCAGGCAGATCACTTGAGGTCGGGAGTTTGAGGCCATCCTGGCCAATGTGGCAAAACCCTGTCTCTACTAAAAATACAAAAATTAGCTGGCCGTGGTGGTGCGAGCCTATAATCCCACCTACTTGGGAAGCTGAGGCAGGAGAATCTCTTGAACCCAGGAGGTGGAGGTTGCGGTGAGCTGAGATCAAATCACTGCACTCCAGCCTGGGTGAAAGAGCGAGACTCCATCTAAAAAAAAAAAAAAATAACAAAAAAACAAAACAAAAAAACTGACCTAGGGCTATGAATTAATCTACATGATCAAAGTCAAGCAGCAAACATAGCCATTTTCTGATTCAAGAAAGGGAAAAAATGAAAATCTGTAACAATTTGGGGGGAAGTAAAGGCCAAGTTTTGGGGAGTGTTTTAAGGAAGTAAGACCAAAAAAGAATTTTTTTTTTTTTTGAGATGGAGTCTCACTTTGTTGCCCAGGCTGGAGTGCAGTAGAGTGATCTCGGCTCACTGCCACCTCCACCTCCCGGGTTCAAGTGAATCTCCTGCCTCAGCCTCCCCAGTAGCTGGGATTACAGGCGTGTGCCACCACGCCTGGCTAATTTTTGTATTTGTAGTAGAGATGGGGTTTCACCATGTTGGACAGACTGATCTTGAAGTCTTGAGCTCAAGTGATCCACCTGCCAGCTTCAGCCTCCCAAAGTGTTGGGATCATAGGCGTGAGCCACTGAGCCCGGCTGAAATCAAAATTTCGTGCATTATTTCCTCTCACAATTCACTGATGAAAACTTAGCTGCATGGCCACACCTAGCTGTAAAAAAGGCTGGGGTAGGCAGGGTGTGATGGCTCATACCTATATTCACAGCACTTTGGATGCCTGAGGTGGGACGATCACTTGAGAACAGGAGTTCAAGACCAGCTAGGGCAAAAACCACATATCTGCAAAAAAATCTAACAACCAGCCAGGCGTGGTGGTGTGTGCCTGTAGTCCCAGCTGCTTGGGAGGCTGATGTGGAGGGATCGTTTAAGCCAGTAGGTTGAGGCTTCAGTGAGCCATGATTGCACCACTGCACTCTAGCTTGGGTGAAAAAGCAAGACCCTGTCAGAAGAAGGAGAAGGAGAAGGAGGGGGAGAAGGAGAACAAGGGGGAAGAGAAGGGGTTGGGGAGGGTGAAGGGGGAGGGGAGGTGAAGGGGAAAGGGAGGAGGGAGGAGGGAGGAAAAGAAGGAGGAGGAGGAGAAGAAGAAGACTGGGAAATACAATTTTTAGCTGGCTCACCATTCTCTAATGAAGAAGGGGAAAATGGATGTGGGGTGACAACAAGCAGCCTGCCATGCTCCATGGTAGTCAGAGACAACATGGTGGGCTGTTGTGCTCAGCTGGTGCTAACTCAATAGAGTGACCGTGTCATCAGCCTTTTTATCTGATCCCCCAATTGCCCCATATGGTTAGTTGGTACATACTCAAAGGCTCTCAGGTGAGAGACATTTGTCAAGATCACCTCTAAAACTAGAGAGTGAAAGAGTTGCCATGATACCCTCTTAAAATCCCAGGTATCCACATACTTCTGAGAAATGTTGCCCTCAACCAAACAGAAAGGCACGAGACCCTGGAGACAATATGTCCTAGCACTGACCCCTAGGGGACACACCACGTTCTTCTCTCCACCTGTTCTGCAGCCCAGCTCTCCCCTCACTGCACCGTTTAGGGGCAGGAACGCGGATCTGTAGGGGTCAGAGGCCAGGGCATTTGTTTCCACTGTCACGGGGGTGAGGTCTCTGTGTTTGTGATTCAGACATTTGGGGGATTTGCTTTCTCTTCCATAACGCTGGCCCAAAACTGCATCTGTTTGGGGGTTGCTGCATCCCAGGAAGCAGGGTGGTGGAGAAACCACGGATAGGTGGGTGGTGGCGAAACCACGGATAGGTGGTTGGTGGCAGATGGGGGAGTACTGGCAAGTTCCCAAGTGCAGAGGTAGCGATGCCTGCATCAGCAACCACTATCTCGTGCCAGCATCAGCCATGGTGAGCATTGTGGTCTTGTGTCCAATGCCCACTGCACTGGTGTCCTCACTGACTGACTTCTGCTCCTGCCTGCCACCAAAGCTTTGACTTTAAGCCTGCTTCTCCCATCTGCTCAGCACGAGCCGGAGCTCCTGAATAGCCTTCTGCTAAATTTCTTCCTTCCAAAGTTATTGGAGTTGGATTCTGTTGCTCACAAATAAGATTCCTGACAGATAACAGTTTGAGGGGATTAGAGACACTCCAATCTAGCTCTCAGGAGGAAGCGTATTCCTTCTTTTTCCTTGGATTTGTCTTATTACATTGAGCTGTTCACGAGGCTGTGGCTTGCGCTGGGCTTAGAGGAAAGGGAGTCTAAGACGCCGTTCATCCCACTTTTACTGGTGCAGCTCCTTGAGCCTATCTCTATCCAGGCGAAATGAATCCTTCACATCATTTACCCCAGCTCACAACTCTCTGGAGGCTTAGAGCGAAAGCCTAATCATAGCAATGACAGCCAGCTTTGTCTGCTCTCATTCTCCCTCGCACCACCCCCCTCCCCACGTTTGGAAAGGATTTAAGTGATTAGGAGCCTGGCTCTCCCAGACGCTTCTTTCCATCTGAGCTCCACAGATCACTTTATCACCTTTCACCAAACTGGTAGACTGTGCGTTATACAAGAAGACAATCTGAGTCCATTTTGTGGAGTGCTTGGGGCCAGAAAGTGCTGGCTACACAAGTCTGGAATTAGTATTTATAGAGCATAAATCAACAGAAATTATAGACATGGAATATTCTGAGAGAAAATAAATAAAAGCTAGTATGGGCTTTTGTGGAGGAGGATTAACAAGACGCGGTTCAAGGCTGGGAATGCCAGAAAAAGACTGGGGACAGATCCAGTTATGAACATGGAAATCCATGAAACTGCCTCCCCCAATCTATGTTCAAAGGAAAAGCTCTCAGCAAATATAAAATGATTTTTAAAAAATTTTTTGCTTTGAATTTCAGAATTTGCACTTATTTATGGAGGCAAATATGTTGTATATAAACTTCTAATCCAATGTTTTTATTCTCTAAAATGACAATGAGGATGATGACGAAACACCAGTCATTTACTGGGCACTTTGTTTGTTTGTTTTTGAGAAGGAGTATTGCTCTGTCGCCCAGGCCGGAGTGCAGTGGCATAATCTTGGCTCACTGCAACCTCTACCTCCCGAGTTCAAGCAATTCTCCTGCCTCAGTCTCCCAAGTAGCTGGGACTACAGGTGTGCACAGCCACGCATGGCTAATTTTTGTATTTTTAGTAGAGATGGGATTTCACCATGTTGGCAAGGACGATCTTGATCTCCTGACCTTGTGATCCACCCGCCTTGGCCTCCCAAAGTACTGAGATTACAGGCATGAGCCATAGTGCCCAGCCTAATTTTTGTATTTTTAGTAGAGGCGGGGTTTTGCCATGTTGGTCAGGCCGGTCTTGAACTCTTGACCTTGGTGATCCGCCCACCTCGGCCTCCCAAAATGCTGGGATTACAGGCATGAACCACCGTGCCCAGCCAACTGTTTTTTTTTTTTTTTTTGGGGGGATGCAGTCTCTCTCTGTCTCCCAGGCTGGAATGCAGTGGCACGATCATGGCTCACTGCAGCCTCAACCTCCTGGGCTCAAACGAACCTACTGCCTCAGCTTCCCAAAGCGCTGGGACCACATGCATGAGCCACTATGCCTTGGGCCTGTCTGTTGGGCACTGTCAAGCACCATGCTAAGTGATTTACACATACTAGCTCATTTAATCTTCACACCTGTATATGGCTGGTGCTATAGTTTCCCTCCTTTTAAAGATGACACTGAGTCTTAGATAAGATAGCCAGCTCAACATCATATAACTAGTTAATATCTCAGGACTTAGCCTCCTTTTTTCCCAGCACTTATATGTATTTAATTACTTTCTGGAAGCGCCCAGTGGGAAAATGTTCACTCTTCTTTTGTTTCCAGCTGCCAGATTGGTATTCTCCACCCCAAATGCACATTAGAATCACCTTATCAGCCTTTAAAAATTTTTGATGCCAGGGTCATGCACTCGGTCAATTAAGTCAGAATACCATGCGTGTATTTCACTGTAGAGCAAGTTAAGCTAACTACTGGATTAGGATGGAAAAAGAAAATGAAACGGCCATTGCATTGAAACTACAATGGTAAATTCCTGGTTAGGAGAGTGGGGATTAGAGCCACTAGGGGATAAGGACTACAGAATCTGCTTTTAGCTCCAATAAGCAAGAGGTTAAGTGGAGGAAGTAATGCATTAAACAAACGCGGAGTCGCTTCTCTTTTTCATAATGTGTCTCACAAGCACTGAATTTGAAGGGAGAAAACAATGAAAATTTAGGGGTAATTCTCAAAAATAATCTCCCTGGGGACAGATAGTACACAAAAGCAAGGACATAAGACTAATAAAACCATTGCTAACATTTATCAAGAAAAAAAGAACACCATAGGAATGGGCCCTGGCATTCATATTTTATAAAGTCTTCCCGAGAGATTCTGTCGTGCAGCCAAGGTTGAGAATGATTGCCTCATCTCCTTCCTCGCAATCCAGTTTTCCTACCCTGCACATCTCCACTTTGCTATTTGGTATATGGCATACAGCATCTGCCTATGAGTTATGGGATTGCCAGACAAGCAAACGGCATGCAGCCCTGCAGAAGGGATACTGTCCTCAAGCTAGCTTGCAACGGTTTCTACAGGCGGGCAGCTGTTCGAAGTTGAAGAGATGGGATACTGGATCCCATCCCACCCATTTCATTCAGCTCATCCCTGGACATGTATTTCCTGCAGTGTTATTCCCCGTGGCTGAGCTTCTAAGAGCTCCTGCACCTGCACTTGGGGCCAGCTCAGTTATAAAATGCCTAGAAAACTTTTGGAGACTTTGCTCTTTTTCTCTGTGAATAAACTCATCATTTCAATGCCAAGCTTCTCATTGGGATTAGTTTACCAGCTTTAGACTTTTTTGTTTCTTTTTTCTTTTTTTTTTTTAGACGGAGTTTCATTCTTGTCACCCAGGCTGGAGTGAAATGGTGTGATCTCAGCTCACTGCAACCTCCACCTCTCGGGTTCAAGCAATTCTCAGACTTCCAAGTAGTTGGGATTACAGGCACCTGTCACCATGACAGGCTAATTTTTGTATTTTTAGTAGAGACGCGTTTTCACCATGTTGGCCAGGCTGGTCTTGAACTCCTGACCTCAGGTGATCCAACTACTTTGGCCTCCCACAATGCTGGGATTACAGGTGTGAGCCACTATGCCTGGCTCGGCTTTTGACTTTTAAGTGAGTCTGGTTTTTCAGCAACTTCACCTTCCTTCTTGGACTCAAATCTCAAGTCAGTGAATAAAATTCATAATGTTCCTGTTGGAGAAAGAGTTATATCTTTTTCTTTTTCTTTTTTTTTGCTAGGCAGGGTCTTGCTTTGTCACCCAGGCTTGAGTGCAGTGGCGTGATCATGGCTCAAAGCAGCCTCGCTCTTTAGCTCAATCAGTCTTCCTGAGGTAGAACAATAGGCCCTGGAAGGAAAACCCTAACTTTCCACACCTAAGTGACAAGGACCAGAGGCTACTCCCTTTGCAAACCCGTCTTTTCTGCTCGGGCAGATGGGAAATTGAAAGTACCTCTGATTGCAACCAATCAGACGTTTGCATAGGCGTGTAACTTTGAAACTTTACTTTAGCCTCTGACTGTTAGCTTTCCAAGACCAATCTCTGATTGCCAGCCAAGTCTTGGTTTGCATAGAAGAGCAACTTTGTAACTTCGCTTTACCCTCTGATTGTTAGCTTTGCGAGACCAATCAGATGTGTGCATAGGAGTGTGACCTTTGTAACTTCACTTCAGCCTCTGATCGGTTACTGTCCGTAACCAATCACACTGATTGTGAGCCACCGCTCCATTTACATGAGGTGAACACCAAGTGGCCAATGGGAAACCTCTAGGGGGTATTTGAACCCAAGAAGATTCTGCATCTGGGCCCTTGAGCTGCTGCTCCAACTGCTCCCACACTGCGAAGTGTACTTTTACTTTCAATAAATCTCTGCTTTCTTTGTTTCATTCTTTCCTTGCTTTGCTGTGCATTTTGTCCAATTCTTTGTTCAAAAATGCCATTAACCTGGACAACTTGCAGGCAAGACCCTCTATGAATAAGTACAGCTCAGCCTCCTGGGAGTACAGTCACATGCCCTATGCCCAGCTAATTTACAAAATTTTTGGTAGAGACTGGGTGTTGTTATGTTGCTCAGGCTGCTCTTGAACTCCTGGGCTCAATCAAGCAATCCTCCCATCTCAGCATACCAAAGTGTTGAGATTACAAGCATGAGCCACCACACCCAACCAAGTTCCATCTTTTAGAACAGTGGTTTTTAAAGTAGGATTTTTTTTTCACAATATTGGGGTAGCACTGTTGGCATGGGACAGTTCTGTCAAATTCTGAATATCCCAACAGATGTTTGTGTAAGAAAAACAAACTAAGCACCCTATGTATAATTATCTGCATCTAGACCTCAACTCTATTTTACATATAAACACGAAATGTGTTTTGTGTAATTTTAATATACAACAAATTTCCACACATGCAACTACAATGTGAAAAGAAGGAAGATTATACTTTGTTTTGCTTGCTTTACTGACAGCTGTTTGCCATTTTAGAGAATATCATTGCTGATTTGGGATATTTTACTTGCCAATATGAGGCACTTCCATGGTGATTCTATGACATTTAAGGGCAATCATCTGTCTAATTCTTCATGTCTTCTCTCGTGGGGTCCCTGTACTATGTCATTATTCATCACTTTCCTTTTAGTCCTTTATTTCTTAGAGCATTGTATTGATTATTTTAACAATTATGTTGTAGGTAAATGATATTAACTAAGAATTGCATTTCAGAATTGTTAAGGAGGTGTTAAGGATATTTGTTACATGGCAAACACATGAAAAGATGCTCCACCTCATATATCATCAGGGAAATGCAAATGAAAACAACGAGATATTACAACACACGTATTAGAATAGCCAAAATCTTGAACACTGACAACACCAAATGTTGGTGAGGATGTGGAGCAACTGGAATTCTTCCACAGTGTTGGTGGAAATGCAAAATGATACAGACAATTTGGAAGACAGTTTGGAGGCTTCTTACTAATGTAAACCTAATCGTACTCTTGTCATATGATCCAGCAATCATAGTTCTTGTATTTACCCAAATGAGTTGAAAACTTACGTCCACACAAAAACCTGCACGCGAATGCTTATAGCAGCTTTATTCATAAATGCCCAAACTCGGATATGACCAAGATGTCCTTCAGTAAGTGAATGTGTGAAAAAACTGTGGTACATCCAGACAATGGAAAATTTTTAGCGCTAGAAAGATATGAGCCCTCAAGCCATGAAAGGGCAGAAAGGAAACCTACAATGTATATTATTAAGTGAAAGACGCCAATCTGCAAAGGCTCTATACTGTATGATTCCAACTATATGACAGTCTGGAAAAGGCATAACTATGGAGACAGTGAAAAGGTCAGTGTTTGCCAGGGGTTGGTGGGGAGGGAGGAATGAATAGATGGATCTCAGAGGATTTTTAGGGCAGTGGAACTACTCGGTATGATACTATAATGGTGGATACATGTCAGTAGACATTGGTCATACCCATAGTATGTACAGGAGTGAACCATAAGTAAATCACAGATTTTGGGTGATAATGATGTGTCAGTGCAGCATCACCAATTGCAACAACGTACCACTCTGACTGGGGATGTTGATAATAGGGGAAGCTATGTGTAGGGGAAGCTATGTGTATGGGAAATCTCTGTACCTACATTCTACTCAGTTTTGCTGTGAACTTAAAACTGCTCTTAAAAATAAAGACTATTTTTTAAAAATTAACCATACTAGGTATTACCGAAAAATTTGCTTATAAAAAGTGAGCATGGGCCAGGCTCCGTGGCTCACGCCTGTAATCCCAGCACTTTGGGAGGCCAAGGTGGGTGGATCACAAGATCAGAAGTTTCAGACCAGCCTGGCCAACGTAGTGAAAACTGGTCTCTACAAAAAGTACAAAAAATTACCCAGTCGTGGTGGTGGGCACCTGTAATCCCAGCTACTTGGGAGGCTGAGGCAGGAGAATCGCTTGAACCTGACAGGCGGAGGTTGCAGTGAGCCAAGATCACGCCATTGCACTCTAGTCCAGGCAACAGTGTGAGACTCCATCTCAAAAGAAAAAAAAAAAAAGAAAAAAAGGAAAGATGATTGGTGCATGCCTGTTGCTATAGGGGAGGCCGAGAACTCAAGGAGGATCCCTTGAGGTCAGGAGTTCAAGGCCACAGTGCAGTCTGATGGTGCCAGTATTGAATAGTCACTGCAGTCTAGCCTGGGCAACATAGCAAGACTCTGTCTCCAAAAAAAAAGGAAGAAAAATGGTGAGCATTGGGTCTGATAGTGTTACAAGTCTTTAGAAGGAAATAAAGCCTTGCTTTTTAGGCTGGATCCAGAGGAATCCTAAACGTCAACTCTATATTTAATATAAGAACTTCAGATCGGCCGAGTGAGGTGACTCACGCCTGTAATCCCAACACTTTGGGAGGTTAAAGTGAGTGGATATCAAACCCTGTCTCTACTAAAAATACAAAAATTAGCTGGGCGTCATGGCATGTGCCTATAATTCCAGTTACGGGGGAGGCTGAGGCAGGAGAGTCACTTGAACCCAGGAGGTGGAGGTTGCAGTGAGCTGAGATTGTGCCACTGCACTCCGGCCTTGGGGACACAGCCAGACTCCATCTCAAAACAAAAGAAAAGAAATCATACTGAATGGACAAAAACTGGAAGCATTCCCTTTGAAAACTGGCACAAGACAGGGATGCCCTCTCTCATCACTCCTATTCAACATAGTGTTGGAAGTTCTGGCCAGGGCAATCAGGCAGGAGAAGGGAATAAAGGGCATTCAATTAGGAAAAGAGGAAGTCAAATTGTCCCTGTTTGCAGATTACATGATTGTATATCTAGAAAACCCCATCATCTCAGCCCCAAATCTCCTTAAGCTGAAAAACAAATTCAGCAAACTCCCAGGATACAAAATCAATGCGCAAAAATCACAAGCATTCTTATACACCAATAACAGACAAACAGAGAGCCAAATCATGAGTGAACTCCCATTCACAATTGCTTCAAAGAGAATAAAATACCTAGGAATCCGACTTACAAGGGATGTGAAAGACCTTTTCAAGGAGAACTACAAACCACTGCTCAATGAAATAAAAGAGGATACAAACAAATGGAAGAACATTCCATGCTCATGGGTAGAAAGAATCAACATCTTGAAAATGGCCATACTGCCCAAGGTAATTTATAGATTCAATGCCATCCCCATCAAGCTACCAATGACTTTCTTCACAGAATTGGAAAAAAACTACTTTAAAGATCATACGGAACCAAAAAAGAGCCCGCATTGCCAAGTCAATCCTAAGCCAAAAGAACAAAGCTGGAGGCATCACGCTACCTGACTTCAAACTATACTACAAGGCTACAGTAACCAAAACAGCATGGTACTGGTACCAAAACAGAGATATAGACCAATGGAACAGAACAGAGCCCTCAGAAATAATGCCGCATTCTCTACGACTATCTAATCTTTGACAAGCCTGATAAAAACAAGCAATGGGGAAAGGATTCCCTATTTAATAAATGGTGCTGGGAGAACTGGCTAGCCATATGTAGAAAGCTGAAACTGGATCCCTTCCTTACACCTTATACAAAAATTAACTCAAGACAGATTAGAGACTTACATGTCAGACCTAAAACCATAAAAACCCTAGAAGAAAACCTAGGCAATACCATTCAAGACATAGGCATGGGCAAGGACTTCATGTCTAAAACACCAAAAGCAATGGCAACAAAAGCCAAAATTGACAAATGGGATCTAATTAAACTAAAGAACTTCTGCACAGCAAAAGAAACTACCATCAGAGTGAACAGGCAACCTACAGAATGGGAGAAAATTTTTGCAACCTACTCATCTGACAAAGGGCTAATATCCAGACTCTACAATGAACTCAAACAAATTTACAGGAAAAAAACAAACAACCCCATCAAAAAGTGGACAAAGGATATGAACAGATACTTCTCAAAAGAAGACATTTCTGCAGCCAAAAAACACATGAAAAAATGCTCATCATCACTGGCCATCAGAGAAATGCAAATCAAAACCACAATGAGATACCATCTCACACCAGTTAGAATGCCAATCATTAAAAAGTCAGGAAACAACAGGTGCTGGAGAGGATGTGGAGAAATAGGAACACTTTTACACTGTTGGTGGGACTGTAAACTAGTTCAACCATTGTGGAAGTCAGTGTGGCGATTCCTCAGGGATCTATAACTAGAAATACCATTTGACCCAGCCATCCCATTACTGGGTATATACCCAAAGGATTATAAATCATGCTGCTATAAAGACACATGCACACTTATGTTTATTGTGGCCCTATTCACAATAGCAAAGACTTGGAACCAACCCAAATGTCCAACAATGATAGACTGGATTAAGAAAATGTGGCACATATATACCATGGAATACTATGCAGCCATAAAAAAGGATGAGTTCATGTTCTTTGTAGGGACATGGCTGAAGCTGGAAACCATCATTCTCAGCAAATATCGCAGGGACAAAAAACCAAACACCGCATATTCTCACTCATAGGTGGGAATTGAACAATGAGAACACATGGACACAGGAAGGGGAACATCACACACAGGGGACTGTTGTGGGGTGGGGGGAGGGGGGAGGGATAGCATTAGGAGATATACCTAATGCTAAATGACGAGTTAATGGGTGCAGCACACCAACATGGCACATGTATACATACGTAACAAACCCGCACGTTGTGCACATGTACCCTAAAACTTAAAGTATAATAATAAAAAGAAAAGAAAAGAAAAAAAAACCTAGAAAGGAACCATGAGGCACCACTTGAAGCTTAAATGAGGTGGTTTTATGATGTTGAGGGGTATAGAAAATCATTCCTCAAAATATGGCACCTGAGCACGCTGGGCGCTTTTGAAAGCTGAGCGGCCTCAGAAATAAGCCTCAGAATGAAGGTCCCTCTAACCTTGTCTTGTGCCTCCCCAAACCACAAGGGCAGGGACTATTCCTGGAACATCCTTATCTGACCAAGAGAGCTTACCAAAAGAAACATAAATGCTTTCTATGCCCTCCCTGGAATCTCATTATCTCAGAAAAAAAGCCTGACGAATGTGACCACACCTGACAGACATTTTCCCGAGATAATGTCTGCCTCTCAGGCCCATTCAGATTCCAAAGAGAATCACTTACAATTTCATTTCGGTCTCTGTGGTCCATTCATTCTCCCTAATCATGACTTACTGCCTCTCAAAAGAGAGAACTTAAAACTGGGCAACTGAGTGATACTCTGTCTCAAAAAAACAAAAAAGAACTTAAGATAAACTTCAGTGTATAAAATGTCCATGTGTTTCCCAAACAGTGCCTTCTCTGAAGTACAAAGTTTCAAAAGTTATATAATTATATTCTATACTATACATACGATATATAATTACATATACATCCTACAGTATATTCATTGGACACATACATAGATATAAACAAAGATCAAGAATAATGCAATTGTTTGCAAATGAGCTAAGATGGAATGCTTTCCTTTCCACGTAACTGTTTTTAAGAAGCATTAACTCTGAATGCCAATATTTCCTTCTAACTCAAAAAAGAAGAGCATACTTTAAAAAATGCTCAGTAGAAGATGCACAAAACTTCACCATGAAAGCATCGTCGTCATACTGGCTTTTCTTCAATGCCTCCTCATCAGACCCTACTTTCCTAGGCCCTAAAAGGACATCCACACCCATGACTCCAGCGCCTGGCTTTCTTGGGAGGTTTCTTCTCCCGACCCTGGTGAAGCCTGATCTTGTTTTGTAGCAGTTGCCATAGGAGCAGCCCGTGTTGCAGGGCGACTCCATCCCTAAACAAATACATGCAAATAGCTGGGAAAGCAGACTTCAGCCTTAATACTTCAGACACCAAGGAATGGAAACGATCTATGTAATTTAAGTAGAATAAATGCCACTGGCCCCAAGGGAAGTGTGTGTTTATTTTTAAACACGATGCACCGCGACCCAGGCTTCCTGCACCACTGACTGAGCTTTCTGAGCCGGTACCTGCGTCTGTTGCACGGCGGGTTTAAGAACCTGAGCTGGCCAGAGGAGTTGGGGAAACAAACTAGCCCTGGTCCGGGCTTCTCTTCCTAGTGTCCTGGTCGCCTGCTCCTGAAGCGGTGAGCCACGGCCGCCGTTCGCACCCCGGGGCCGGGAGCTGCCAAAGGTGCTGGAGCTCAGACCCGCTTGCTCTGCGCCCGGCGCTCTGGCAGAACCCCAAGGCTGGGCGGACGGGTGGAGCCAGGTTCCGTGTCCGCGCTGATCGCCACCGCAGCACGCGGGATGTACCTGTCCTGCCCTTGCGCCCTGGAAGGGCGCTGGAGAGCGCACGAGGCCTGCGCTTTCCAAGGACTTGTGGGCGGACGAGGGCGCGCCAGTTCCTCAGCCCGCCTGGTTCCTTTCCAAGAGCCAGGACGACAGAGGGAGGACCCGCGCCAGCTCCAAGACGGCTCTGCAAACTGGACAGTGAAGGAAAGCATCGCCTAACCTTGAAAACAACAAACAAACAAATATGGATAAGAGCATCATAGTCCTGACTTGGTTTTGAAATACTAGTTTTCTATATTAGTATGTTATTAGTAGCCTTTTATTATTATTATGTTTAAACAGCATTAACTTTGTTCTTAATTTGGGTTTTAGTTTTTGGGGGGCAGCTTTAGGTTCGCAGAAAAACTGAGCAGAAAGTCCAGAGAGCTCCCATGCATCCTCTCTTTGCCCAGCAGTTAGGCTGTTACCATCTTGCATTAATGTAGTACGTTTGTTACAATTGACAAACCAATATGGATCCATTATTATTAATTGAATCCATGGTATACATTAAAATTCACTGTTTGTATCGTACACTTCTATGGATTTTGACAAATGCCTAAAGTCCTCTCTCCATCATTACAGTTTCATACAGAACTAGCTCCACTGAGCTAAAATTCTCCGGTTCTCCACCTATTCATCCTACTCTTTCACTCCTTCCCCAGCCTCTGGCAAACACTGATCTTTTTACTGTCTCCGTGGTTTTGCCTTTTCCAGAATGTCATACAGTTGGATTGTATGTCTGTAGCCATTTTTGACTGGCTTCTTTCATTGAGTAATATGGCCGTAATACCCCCCACATCTTTTCATGGCTGATAGCTCATTTCTTTTTAGCGCTGAGTAATATTCTGTTACCTGAATGCACCATAGTTTGCTTATCCATTCACACGCTGAAGGACATCTTGGTTGCTTCCAATTTGGCGTGATTCATGACTGGCCTTTTTTGTGTATCTGTAATTAAGAGATTACACATCAGAAGTAATCTTCACACAGTATTTATTAGCCAAACATGATAAGTAATGGCTTTCTGCAGTCAAACACACTGGACTCCAGAGTTCCTCACGTGTGGTTCTAATGCCTCCCTCCTCTGCATTCTCCCCTTGCACAGACTAGGCACACAGTGAAATATTTTTTGAAATTTAAATGTTATAAAAATGATACCCACTTCAGAACAGTTTTCCAACATGGAATATGTCCAGTGAGAAGTAAAAACTCACTTCCACACCAGCCCTATTCTTACTCTCAAGAGGTGACTACACTTTGTCATTTTTTTAAGGTGGACAGGAAGTAGGATTTATTGGTGGGCATTAGGAGGGGGCAGCACAGTAGAAGCCCTCATGAGTGCAGGGCCCACCGCTTGTCCGGAGGGTCACGATTGGGGGTATACTTGACCCCACAGTTATTGGGATAAGCTGCTTCTCAGCCATCATGTCTTCAAATTCATCCACACTGAACTTGGTAAAGTCCCACTTCTCTGAGAAGTGGATATTCTGGCGGCCAGGGAACTTAAAGTTGGCCTTGCATAGGGCCTCAATCACATGCTCCTTGTTCTGCAGCTTGGTGCAGATGGACATGATGACTTGGCCAATGTGAACCCTGGCCACAGCACCCTGGGGCTTTTCAAAGGCACCTCGAATACCTATTCAGAGCACTGAGGGTAGTGCAAGGTCAGAGACATGAACAACCATATGACTGTCTCCAAGGTCCCTTAGAGCAACCCATTTAAGAAACAGGCTGCGTACACTACCAAGGAAGCTGCTGTTTGCAGCTTTTGCACACTGGGCCCCAGGAGGAAAGGAACTCCATCAGCTCAATTGGCTGCAGCCCTTTATCATTTTTACATGTAGCCTACTATCTGTTTCTTCTTCATATACAACCATATGTGTATATTACCTTTTTATGGTAACAAAATATATATGCCAATTGGAATATGTATAAATAATTTCTTTAAAAAGCACCTTGTATTATTAAGAAAATGCGTTTGAAAATAAAATCTGATATGGTTTGGCCCTGTATCCCCACGCAAATCTCATCTTGTAGCTTCCACAATTCCCATGCATTGTGGGAGGAACCCAGTGGGAGGCAATTGAATCTTGGGGGCGGGTCTTTCCCATGCTATTCTCATGATAGTTAATAAAGTTTACCTGCACAAGCTCTCTGGACATCCACGTAAGATGTGACTTGCTCCTCCTTGCCTTCCACCATGATTGTGAGGCATCCCCAGCCACGCAGAACTGTGAGCTCTCCATTAAACCTCTTTCCTTTGTAAATTGCCCATTCTCGAGTACGTCTTTATCAGCAGTGTGAAAACAGACTAATACAGTAGATTGGTACCAGTAGAGTGGGGTGATGCTGGAAAGATACTCGAAAATGTGAAAATGACTTTAGACCTGGGTAACAGGCAGAGGATGGAACAGTTTGGAGGGCTCAGAAGAAGAAAGGAAAATGTGGGAAAGTATGGAACTTCCTAGAGACTTGTTGAATGGTTTGGACAAAAATGCTGATAGTGATATGAACAATAAGATCCAGGCTGAGGTGGCCTCAGATGGAGGTGAGGAACTTGTTGGGAACTGGACCAAAGGTGACTTTTGTTATGTTTTAGCAAAGAGACTCGGTGGCATTTTGTCCCTGCCCTAGAGACTGTGGAACCTTGAGCTTGCGAGAGATGATTTAGAGTATCCGGGGGAAGAAATTTCTAAGCAGCAAAGCATTCCAGAGGAGACTTTCGTGTTGTTAAAGGCATTCAGATTTAAAAGGGAAACAGGGCATAAAAGTTTGGAAAATTTGCAGCCTGACAATGCGATAGAAAAGAAAATCTTATTGTCTGAGGGGAAACTCAAGCCAGCTGCAGAAATTTGCATAAGTAACGAGGAGCCGAATGTTAATCTCCAAGACAATGGGGAAAATATATCCAGAGCACGTCAGAGGTTTTCACGGCAGCCCATCCCATCACAGCCCCAGAGGCCTAGCAGAAAAAGTGGTTTCATGTGCCAGGCCCAGGGTCCCTACGCTGTGTGCAGCATAGGGACTTAGTGCCTTGCGTCCCAGCCACTTCAACCATGGCTGAAAGGAGCAACAGTAGAGCTCAGGCTGTGGCTTCAGAGGGTGCAAGCGTCAAGCCTTGGCAGCTTCCATGTGGTGTTGAGCCTGCCAGTACACAGAAGTCAAGAATTGAGGTTTGGGAACCTCCTCCTAGATTTCAGAGGACGTAAGGAAACGCCTGGATGCCCAGGCAGAAGTTCGCTGCAGGTGTGGGGCTGTCATGGAGAACCTCTGCTAGGGCAGTGCAGAAGGGAGATGGGGGGTCAGAGACCCCACACACAGTCCCTACTGGGGCACTGCCTAGTGGAGCTGTGCCCAGAAGAGGGCCACCGTCCTCCAGACCCCAGGATGGTAGATCCACCAATAGCTTGCGCCATGTACCTCAAAAAGCTGCAAACACTCAATGCCAGCCTGTGAAAACAGCCGGGAGGGAGGCTGTACTCTGCTAAGCCATAGAGGCAGAGCTGCCCAAGACCATGAGAACCCACCTCTTGCATCAGCATGACCTGGATGTGAGACATGGAGTCAAAGGAGATCATTTTGGAGCTTTAAGATTTGACTCCCCTGCTGGATTTCGGACTCGCATGGGGCCTGTAGCCACTTTGTTTTGGCCAATTTCCCCCATTTGGAATGGTTGTATTTACCCAATTCCTGTACCTCCATTATGTCTAGGAAGTAACTAGCTTGCTTTTGATTTTACAGGCTCATAGGCAGAAGGGACTTGCCTTATCTGGATAAGAATTTGGACTGTGGACTTTTGAGTTAATACTGAAATGAGTTAAGACTTCGTGGGACTGTTGGGAAGGCATGATTGGTTTTGAAATGTGAAGACATGAGTTTTGGGAGGGGATAAGGGCAGAATGATATTGTTCAGCTCTGTGTCCCCACCCAAATCTCACCTTGTAGCTCCCACAATTCCCATGTGTTGTGAGAGGAACCTGATGGGAAGTAATTGAATCATGGGGTGGGTTTTTCTCCAAGCTGTTCTTGTGATACTGAGTAAGTCTCATGAGATCTGATGGCTTTAAAAACAGGAGTTCGCCTGCATAAGCTCTCTTTGCATGCTGCCATCCATGTAAGATGTGACTTGCTCCTGCATGCATTCTGCCATGATCATTAGGCATCCCCAGCCACCTGGAACTGGAGCTCTCCATTAAACCTCTTTCCTTTGTAAATTGCCCAGGACAAGTACGTCTTTATCAGCACCATGAAAATGGATTAATACAAAGTCAAATAGAATATGTGTTTTAAATTATCTTTTTGGTATCTTCAATGAGAGAGAGAGACTTTTGATTCCTTTTCTCCAAAGTACAACTCAGTTTCATGATTCCTAGGGCTTCATTAAATTAATAAGACATTGATATCACTCCTGAGAAGTGGGAGAGTTGGGAAGGTGGCTTAGGTTGTCTCAACTTCAATTGCAAATTATTAGATCAACCATTATTTGTATTCTCTCATTCTATCTTCTTCATAAAATCCCCCTATCTCAGGAAGCAGCTTGTCTCTTCTGTAACCAAAGTTCCACTCAGAATTGCTCACTTCATTTTTGTGGAATAAAACGAATATTCCCAATTTTATTTTATTTTTCTACTTATGCTTTTTTTTTGTCAGGAGAGAAAATGAGTTAAAAAAAGTTTGGTTTTGATAGCTGAACTCAAAGCTAACTAAAAAAAATTAGAAAGGGAAAAAAGATTTTTAAAAAGTTTGATTTGATTTGTGGTTTTTCCTCTTACTGTTTATGTGTCAAGGAGACTTTACATATCTAGTTATGGCAATATACTATTATTTGTATAAAGTTATATTGTATTTTCTATGTGGCTATTTATTTATTAATTTGTTATCAATATTCCGTTGAGCCTCAAAGAGGTGACACATACTGTTCTAATTGAATTCAGGTAACTTTTCTGATGATCTTATTTCAACCATGTAATTGTTTTATTAAGCTATATATATATGTGTGTGTATATAGCTTAACCAATATATATGGATGTATATGTTTTGTTGTTGTTATTTTTATTTGTTTATTTGTTTGAAATGGAGTTCTTGCTCCGTTGCCCAGGTTGGAGTGCAATGTCACGATCTTGGCTCACTGCAACCTCCACCTCCCAGGTTCCAGCAATACTCCTGTCTCAGCCTCCCAAGTAGCTGGGATTACAGGTGCCCGCCACCATGCCCAGCTAATTTTTGTATTTTTAGTACAGATGAGTTTTCACCATGTTGGCCAGGCTGGTCTCGAACTCTTGACCCCAGGTGATCCTCCCGCCTTGGCCTCCCAAAGTGCTAGGGTTACAGGCGTGAGCCACTGTGCCCGGCCTTTTTGTTTGTTTTTTGTTTTGAGACAGAGTCTTATTCTGTCTCCCAGGTTGGAGTGCAGTGGTGCTCACTGCAGCCTCAACCTCCTGGGCTCAAGCAATCCTCCCACCTCAGCCACCTGAATAGCTAAGACCACACGTGGGCTTCACTATACCTGACTAATTTTTAAATTTTTTGTAGAGATGGGGTCTCCCTATGTTGCCCAGGCTAGTCTTGAATGCTTGGGCTCAAGCAATGCTCCCACCTCGGCCTCCCAAAGTGCCGGGATTACAGGTGTGAGCCACCATGCTCAGCCACCTTAACAATCTATACAATAATCTGGTAATTTCCCTTTGGAGTTGGCAATACAATTGCAGAAAGGGGTTGGATATTAACAGAAACTATTTCAAGTAATTGGGAACAATTGGCACTTGCACATCTTCACATTTTTCATTTGCAAGGAGAGTAATAAAACCCCAAGTAATTACACTCAAATGGCCCTCCAGCTGTGTTCTTCTGCACACATCAATCACACCCTCTCAGTGTTCTATCAGTCAGATGGGCCAAATTGCCCATCTGACAATATGGCAATTTGGGAATATATCTACCAATTCTATATAACTCTTGAGAGAACATGAACAAGTAAATCTGATAAAGTTCTTTTTATGTAAATAGGATTTATTTTCACAAAGATAAATTAAGAATTCCAATAACGATAGAGAGAGCTTGTTTCTTGTGACCCATTCTGTTGGCAGTCAGAGAGAAGAGAGGTCACTTCAGTTTTCTTATGACTGGGCTGGACGGCCCCCTGATTCTACTTGCAAGGCTTAAGGGAGAGAAGCCAATTATTCATTGTTTTTTGTTTTGTTTGTTTTTTAAGACAGAGTCTTGCTCTGTCGCCCAGGCTCGAGTGCAGTGGCACGATCTCTGCTCACTGCAACCTCCGCGTCTCGGGTTCAAGTGATTCTTACACCTCAGCCTCCTGAGTAGCTGGAATTACAAGTGTGCATCACCACGTCTGGCTAATTTTTGTATTTTTAGTAGAGATGGGTTTCACCATGCTGGCCAGGCTGGTCTCGAACCCCTGACCTCAAGAGTTCCATCCACCTTGGCATCCCAAAGTGCTGGGATTACAGGCGTGAGCCACCACACCTGGCCAATCATTCATTCTTGGCAGAGCCAAAGCCCAAGTCCAGTCATCAGGGGACAAGCATGGGCAGAGGGGACAGCACATACGAGGACTTTAGCAAGCTGGGGGTTCATTTCCTCAGCTGTAAAAAAAGACATTTGCCAGATGAAAAGAATCACACAATTCAGTAACCTGGGTGTCCAAAAGTATGACAAATCTATGGTGCAACTGAGTTCTTGCTAGTGTTGGCATCTGAACTCTGTCACCTTGTTAGTTCCCATCAACACAGCTGCAGGACCTCAGTCCCCACATTAGAGTTCTCCTGGCTGTCAACAGGTGACTGGATAAACAAAATATAGTGCATACATATAAGGGAATATTATTTAGGCATGAAAAGGAAGGAAATTCTGATGCATGGTACAATGTGGATGGACATTAAGGACATTATGCCAAGTGAAATAAGCCAAACAAAGACAGACAAACACTGTACGATACTTTATAATTGTACAATATTTACAAATTACAATTGTACAAATGTTGTCTAATAATTGTACAATATTGTACAAATATTGTCTAAGGTAGTCAGATTCCTAGAGACAAAATGTAAAATCAAAGTTGTCGGGGCTGGGGTAAGGGGAGAATTGAAAATTATTGTTTAATGAGTGCAGAGTTTCAGTTTGGGATGATGAAAAAGCTCTGGACATAGATGGTGGTGATGACTGCACAACAATGTAAATGTACTTAATGCTGCTGAATTGTACATTGTAAAATTATTAAAATGGCGTATTTTATGTTATGTATATTTTACCACAATAAAAATAAAATGGTTGCTATTCAAGATTTTTTTTTTTTAATAAAAATTATCTTAGTTGTTCCAGGGACTCTCCAGAATTGTCTCACATTTGCTCAGAAACAAATTCACTCATGTTCATTAATTTTGGCATTGCATTTAAAATTTTTTTTTTATTTTTGAGACAGAGTCTTGCTCTGTCACCCAGGCTAGAGTGTAGTGGCATGATCTCGGCTCACTATAACCTCTGCTTCCCAGGTTCTAGCAATTCTCCTGCCTCAGCCTCCCAAGTAGCTGAGATTACAAGTGTGTGCCACCACGCCCAGCTAATTTTTGTATTTTTTAGTAAAGACAGGGTTTCACCACATTGGCCAAGCTGGTCTCAAATTCCTGACCTCGAGTGATCTGCCTGGCTTGGCCTCCCAAAGTGCTGGGATTACAAGTATGAGCCACTGAGCCTGGCCAACTTTCTTATATGAGTAAGTCCTCTACTTAGAAGTGTTTGAGAGAGGAGTCACTTATTCACTGCCATAGCTACCAGTGTCTCTTCTCTAACACACAGAAGGCTACTTCCTTACTTGCTACATTCTCCATGCTGCAAACGTTCTCATACACAGAATGGCACAGGTTTCCGTTTGGTCCTCCTCCCCGCTGCATGGTCAAGCTGTGTGTCCACAGAAAAATGACAAAGCCTCCCTCTCCCTGGGCTCTATGCCCCAATATGAACCCTAAAGCAGTATGCTTATGTCTTGAGGCTCCTCAATTAACATTTAGAGCAGCTTCTGTCTCTAACTCATTGTCTTGGTCTGCTTTCTGTTGCTATCACAGAATACCACAGACTGGATAATTTATAAACAATAGAAGCTTATTTAGCTCACAGTTCTGCAGACTTGGAAGTCCAGGAGCAAGGCACTAGTGTCTAGTGAGGCTTCTTGCTGTGTCATAACATGGCAAAAGGCAAGAGCCTGCCACCTCAAGTCTCTTTTCTTCTTATAAAGCCACTAGTCTCATCATGGGGTCCCTGTCTTAATGACTTTGTCTAATTCTAATTACCTCCCAAAGGCCCCACCTCCAATCAACATATGAAGCTGGAGATTAGGTTTCCAGTACACGGAATCTGGGGGGCACATGCAAACCATAGCACCCATTTAACCACAGAGGCTCAAAACTCTTCCCAGAACCTCCATTGTCTTAACTTCTCTGGACTTTGGCACAGAAAACTCTGCCCAATGCATACTTTAGCTAAAACATAGCAGCAAACATGGCAGTTTATTCAAATAGAAATTTGGAGTAAGGATAAAGATGGCTAGATCCTCATTCCAAAACCTTAATTAGACTCAGCCAAGATAAACTGATCACGATTCTAAAATCTCGTATTCTTCCAGGAAGCTTCAGTTCACAGTAAGTACTGACAGTGCTTTTTCTATTTCTTGTACAAATAACTAGCTGATATAGCTAATACAGCTATTGTTATTTATTAATGCCCCTCTGGGCAGTTCAGAACAATCTGTTAGAATATGCCGGACATCCAGGTGGTCAAGGAGTCATCTTTGGGGTGATGAGATACAAGAGGGTGGAGCACAGGAGGCGCTGGATACTCTGGGAGCAGGGCAGCTGGAGGAGGTGTAAATGTTTCCGCTACACGCTTCAGGCTTTCTTTTGTAAAGACCTGTGAATTTTGTCCCCCAAAAATACATATTCAAGACCTAACCACTCGTACATGTGAATGTGGTTTTATTTGGAAACAGGGTCTTTGCAGATATAATCAAGTTGAGATGGGGTCCTACTGGATTTAGGTGGGCTCTAAATCCATTGGTGTCTTAATAAGAGAAAGGAGAGTGAAATTTGGATACAGAGACAACAGGCACACAGAGGGGAAGGTCATGAGATGCCAGGTAGAATTTGGAGTGATACAAATATAAGCTAAAGAATGCCAAGGGCTAGGCGTGGTGACACACGCCTGCAGTCCCAGCTACTCAAGAGGCTGAGATGGGCAGATGGCTTGAGTGCAGGAGTTTGAGATCAGCCTGGGCAACGTGGCAAAACCCTGTCTTTACAAAAAATACCATATATATATGTGTGTGTGTGTGTATATATATATATATATAATGTATAGCCAGACGTGGTGGTGCATGCCTGTAATCCCAGCTACTTGGGGGCTGAGGCAGGAGGATTGCTTGTGCCCAAGGAGGAGGCTGCAGTGAGCCAAGATCATGCCACTGCACTCCATCCTGGGCAACAGAGGGAGACCCCATCTCAAACAAACAAACAAGAATGAATACCAAGGGTTGCCAGCAGCCACTAGAAGCTGGGAGGTCATCCTGGGACAGCCTCAGCATCCCCCAAAATAATCTGCCAACACCTCAATTTCAGACTTCCATCCTCCTAAACTGAGAATACATTTCTATTGTTCTGAGCCACCCAGTTTGTGGTCATTTTCTATGGAAGACCTAGAAAACTGACGTTAAAAACCCATGGGAGAAGATTTTCTCAGAACAAGGATCTAGAAAAGCTTTTCTGTGGCTTGCCATTATTTCACACACGATGTGAGTTTAGTAACTAATCAAGTTTTCTTTTCTGCTTGGGCGACCACACAGTTTTGCATAGATGTGGACCCAATTATAGGACATTAGGGAATAAATGTGTGTGTTCATCTCTTTTCTCTTCCTCTGTTTTTAAAGTACCAGTATATATTTCTGTGTTACTATATTCATTTATGTTCATATGCTGTCACAAACTCTTTTATTCTTTAGACTGAGGAGAGGGGGAAAAAGTAGTAACTGGATAAACCTGTTTTTCCCTTCCTTCCCAGGGAAAAGAGCTGAAATGTGATTAGCCCAGATTATTAGCTCTGAAATAAGCCATGCTACTTTTTCAACTGATACGACCTTGTCATTTCAGAGTTCAGAGTTCAACCTTCTCATTTCAAAATTGAGAAAATGGAAGCCTAAGGTCACATGATTAAAAACTAGTACAGGTCACCATCTGTGTCCCTGGTCATTCAAAACACTTTTATCAACTGAGTACCAGGTGCAGAGATAGAAAGACAGTGCTACTTGGAATTTCATACAGCTTTACAAATAATGAAGCCAACTGAAATGATTTATCTTGACTATTACTAATAAACATTTATTCTTTAATAAAATCAAGCTATATTCACCTACATTTTTATCAGCAGATTCCCAAAGCAAAAAACTTTTGGGTTATTCTACCTTTTGTTAATTACAAAGTTCAATATTTCTAGCAGAAGACTTCTTTTTTCCAGAAAAGGAGGGCTAGGTTATTTGGATTGCCTTTAAAAATTGAAAAGCTGATAAAAGTTGACGAGTGGGGACTCAATGTCCACTTTTAGGATAAAGCCTGTTTTCTGAATAATATATTGAACGGGGTTAGGGGAGATCCAAGCTACATTTTCCCTGAGGGAACTGGGGGCAACACCCAGTTGGCCAAGGTTGTTAGTCTTGTGGAGTGAGGGAGACAGAAGTCCAGCACAGGAGGACAGGTCCGAAAGTGTCCCTATAGCCCTTAACCACAGGTGCAACCCCCACAGCATGAGAGTTAAGCAGAACTAAACATGCTCTTCTGCCTCATAACCGCAAGAGACTAGAAAACGTAAACAGGAGAAAAAAAGAAAAGGAAAAAAATCCTTAGAAATATTGGCCACAGACCAGCTCTCACATATATTTGCATTCTGAGCACACAGAATCTAAGGGAGCCAGAGAGCCTCAAGCGTTAATTTGGTTTGAGATGGTTCCCAGGCAGCAGCGTGTCTAAGCACCCGACAGTAGCACATGCGCAGCCTCCCAGGGGAAAGCATATTCCTCCGGAGCCTCAGGAAACCCTCATGTGTAACTTTCAAGAGCAGTGTCAAACATGTAGTTAAAGAGACTCACACTCACATGAAAGCAAAAGCACTTGAGGGAGAACCAGCAGAAACAACAGATAATAGAAAAAGGCCACATGGACTTCAGGGATCAGAATTTTCAGACGCAGATGATAAACCCATTCTGCTTACCAGGTTTAAATAAGTAAATGACAAACCTGAAAATATTTTCAGAAAAGAAGAAACTATAAAAATAACATATAATTATATTCCAAATCATAATTTCATAAATGATACAATTTCAAAGTTACATAAACATGACTTGAATGTGTATGACCGGATGAATGTGATCTGAACATCACCTGTCTAGAGGGTCCCCGAGGATCAAGGGCAGATAATGAAAAGGGAAGTGGAAGAAAGATTTTTCTCAGATAGAATTTCTAGCCATGTAGGTTTCTTCGTTTTATTCCCTCCCCAAATCTAGTCCTCCTTCTGCAGTATTATTATTTTTTTTTGAGATGGGGTCTCAATGTGTAGCCCAGACTGAAGTGCAGTCTGCAATCGCTTGATGCAGGAAATTCAAGCGATTTTGCTGCATCAGCCTTTTGTATAGCTCGGACTACAGGCACAAGCCACCACGCCCGGCTAATTTTTGTATTTTTAGTGGAGACAGGGTTTCACCATGTTGGCCAGGCTGGTCTCGAACTTCTGACCTCAGGTGATCCACCTGCCTCGGCCTCTCAAAGTGCTAGGATTACAGGCGTGAGCCACCACTCCCATCCCTTCTCCTATAGTCTTTACGACTAAGAGTCATCCTTGCCTCTCTTTCACCTCCCACATCCAGTTACCAATTCCTGCTGATTTCACTTTGTAAACATTTCTCAGATAACTTCCCTCTTCCTTATCCTGTTCTCATTGCCATGTTGGGGTCTCATTCAATTCACTACCTGGACTATTGCATTAGCCTCAGGACTGATGTCCCACATAGCTGCCAAAATGATTTATAAGAGATATATATCTGGTGGTGTTATTTCCAAGCTTTCATTCAGTTCCACAAATACTTATTTAGTACCATTTAGATGCTAGGCACCATTTTAAGTATTGAAGACCCATTAGTGAGCAAGACAGACCAGGTTCCTGCACTGAGGGAGCTTAAACTCTCATAGGAATAAATAATTCAAAGCCATGCTTGAATGCCCCTTCTAAGCCCTGACCTCCATGACTTCTATGATGGTTCCTGTATGTACCCCTCCAACCATCAGAGCCCAGTGTTTCCTGCCTCATGCTTTATGTTCAAACAGCGTTCGTTGTTTTGTGGTTCACCTTAGGTATCATTTTCCCCCTGAAAACCTTCATGAGCTGTGCATTGGCCTCAGTGTCCCTTCTCTGTGCTCCCATAGCACCCTATGTATAACTTTATCATAGCAATTTCCCCCTGCCTTTTGTTGTTGCTGTTATTGTTTTTTGTTTTGTTTTGTTTTTTGAAATAGAGTCTCACTCTGTCACCCAGGCTGGAGTGCCGTGGCATGATCTCAGCTCACTGCAACCTCCGTCCCCCAGGTTCAAGCAATTCTCCTGCCTTAGCCTCCCGAGTAGCTGGGATTGTAAGCATGCACCACCATGCCCAGCTAATTTTTGTATTTTTAGTAGAGATGGGGTTTCACCATGTTGGCCAGGCTGATTTTGAACTCCTGACCTCATGTGATCCACCTGCCTCAGCCTCCCAAAGTGCTAGGAATACAGGCATGAGCCACCGTGCCCAGCCTGTTGTTTTTGAGACAGAGTCTCACCCCGCCTCCCAGGCTAGAGTGCAGTGGTGCAGTCATGGCTTTCTGCAGCCAAGAATTCTGGAGCTCAAGTGATCCTCCCACCTCAGCCTCCCAAGGAGCGGGACTACAGGTGCGTGTCACTACACCCTGCTAATTATTTATATTTCTTGTAGAGATGGGGTCTTGCCATGTTGCCCAGGGTGGTCTCAAATTCCTGGGCTCAAGCTATCTTCCCGCCTTGGCATCTCAAAGTGCTGGGGTTACAGGCATAAGCCACTGTGCCTGGCTAAACACATTTTATTAAAATTAAATGTATATGTGTTTGTCTCTTTCACAAGGCTGCACGATCTTTGAGGAAGGAGACTTTGTCTTAATCATTTCTGTACTTCCAAAGCTCCATGCAATGGAGGTACGAAAGACAGAAATCGGGATTAGTAGGTGAAAAAGAGTTGGCTGTGATACTGGTTTTGCACGCATAGGCTGAGGGAGTAGGAGGCATAGGAAGCCTTCCCTAGGCGGGACAGTGGAAAGTCATGAGGAAGGCTGATTCAAAAAGAAAGAGCTTGCTCATGAGTGATTCTGGCACATTCTCAACATTTGTTTGCTTCTGAGTATGACTATGAGAAGGCTGTGACTGTAAAACAAGAGGCTGTTTGCTTTAAAGAGACAAAGCTCTGCAAATGACAAGAGTAAACCCCTTTATTGTCCCATTGACTCTTGTCATTTGCCTCCAGGTCTCCTGGTCTCTGTGAAAGTTATGGGGACAGGGGATGTAAATGCTTTCATATGGCCATAGAGAAATATGACACCCACAAAAGTTAAGGATGAGGTGCTCCTGTCCAGGTTTACATTTTTTCTTACCTTAAACTATTACTAAAACCATTTGGCTGTCAGGCTCCTTAGCAAGTAATTAAGAAGAATTAGGTAATTCACTAGAAGCAGCAGAGACTCAACGGTAATTACACTCAATGCCTAAATGGAGAGACATTTGCAGTAAAATACGTTATAATTTTAGTGAATGAAGGAAACAGGCAAAGTGTCTAACCACACATGCTGGTTAGGCCGTTAACCAAACAAAATCCATTCTCCCTTAGCAGGGTGACATTGAATGCCAGAAATGAACTGAATCAAATAAGCATCAACAACACAACTAAAGGCCATGTGCTGTGGCTCACGCTTGTAATCCCAGCACTTTGGGAGGCTGAGGCGGGTGGATCACTGGAGGTCAAGAGTTTGAGACCAGCCTGGCCAACATGGTGAAACCTCTTCCCTACTAAAAATACAAAAATTAGCTGGGCGTGGTGGTGGGCGCCTGTAATCCCAGCTACTCGGGAGGCTGAGGCAGGAGAATCGCTTGAACCCTGGAAGGCAGAGGATGCAGTGAGCTGAGATCACGCCACTGCACTCCAGCCTGGACGACTGAGTGAGACTCTGTCTCAAAATAAATAAATAAATAAATAAATAAATGGCCAAAGTGGCTCAACAGTCTGGAGAACACTATGGGATAGACATACGACCTGGTTACTTGGCTTGCGAGTGTCAGGGAAGAGAACTACCTCACCTTCCTATCTCAGGTTCAATGTTCAGGGCTTAGATCTCTATAACAAAAGAAACAAGAGAAAAGAAATCAAAAAAAGCATACAAATTGAGTATAAGTTTTACGTGACACGGGAGCCTTCATAAGGAAATGAAGCCCTGAAGAAGTGGGTAAGCCCGTGTATTTTCATGCTAAGTTTGATGAAGATGAGGATGGCCGTGGAAAAGTATGATTGGACACAGCCGTATGATCTAATGGCAGTAAACTGGAGAGAAACGTAGCCAGGCCTGTTTGTTCAGGTTCTCCTCTGGGTCCCTGTGTCGTCGGAGGTTAGGATGTTCCTTTCCTCCAGGTATAGGGAGGGCACCTCTGGAATGAGGGTCTTATGACCTGCTTTAGGGCAACATCAAAAAAATCCTTCCTAAGTTTATGACCTGCTTCAAGGAAGAAGGGTAGGGGGAAAGGTGACAGCCACCTTCTTGTTTTGCCATTTTCTCAAGTTCTTTCAGCCTAAAATATTTTGGGATAGTGTGTCCTGAACCCCATTAGCAGTCACTGAACCCTGTAAATGAAGCAGGAGCCCAATCCTGGCAAGCCAATGTAACAGCTAAAAAGTAGAAAGGGACAGCAGTGACCCTGGACTTCATGCTGAGCACCTGGCCTTGGGTCCCTTCGATTCTCCTGAGCCTCAGAACATGATGAAATCCACGGAGAAGAGTGGTCCCAGGCCAAACTATCAAGGGGCTGCAGAGGCTGGAAAGAGAGAAGTTGGCAGGCTTAATATTCCACTAACTTCCATGAGTGATGTAGAGATTTATTCTAGGAAATGAACATATACATTTTCTCATTAAAAACACCAAAACTTGGCCGGGCACAGTGGCTCACGCCTGTAATTCCAGCACTCTGGGAGACCAAGACAGGCTGATCACTTGAGGTCAGGAGTTCAAGGCCAGCCTGGGCAACATGGTGAAACCCCGTCTCCACCGAAAAATACAAAAATTAGCCGGGCGTGGTGGTGTGTCCCTGTAGTCCCAGCTACTTGGGAAGCTGAGGCAGGAGAATCGCTTGAACCCGGGAGATGGAGGTTGCAGCTAGCCGAGATTGTGCCACTGCACTCCAGCCTAGGCAACAAAGCAAGACTCCGTCTCAAAAAAGAAAAAAACAAACAAAAAAAAACACTAAAATTCTATCATTCTGGGATGATAGACTTTGAAACGACTGTTTCTTCCTCAATACATTTATTCTGCTTATTAGTGACTAAGAACATTTTTAATCGCAAATGAAGGCCAAGCACGATCGCTCATGCCTGTAATCCCAGTAACTTGGGAGGCTGAGGCAGGAGGATTGCTTCAGCCTAGGAGTTTGAGGCTGCAGTGAGGTATGATTGCACCACTGTACTCCAGCCTGAGCGACAGAGTAAGAACCTCTTAAAAAAATAATAAAAAAAAACCCACAAAACTGATGGCACCTTTTGGCCTAGCTAAAGTAGATTTGTCTATAATCCCCTCTATCACACAAGAATATAAAGAGAATTTTATCTCTAGAGTCAGTCTCACACTCCTTGATTTTGTGAGATTTTTATTCGTTTTGAGTCTCACACTCCTTGATTTTGTGGGATTTTTATTCGTTTTGAGTATTCTTTGTTTTTCAGGCTCACGTTACCCAAATGCACTCCGGACCCTCAGATAGCCCCTGTCGTTCCAGTTTTATGTCTGGGACTTTCCTGTCATTGATGTGGGGAAAGAAAGTTCAGGAAAACTTTCCTCTAACGTTAAAAGTGCTTTGAAATTGAGAGCATAGTCCCAGAACACCATCTTGCTTTCTGGCCAAACCTGTTCAGTGGTGATGTTTCCCACCCTTCACTAACAGCCAGGCTGGGTGATGACAGCCAGGGGAAGCGGGTGGGAGGAGGGACAAACAGAAATGAGGGAGGAGGGGAAGAAGAGAATAGTGGGCTTTGTTCTCTCCTCTCACCTCTCCAAGCCAGGGGAGCTGCAAGTAAAGATCAGCATCTTTTAACACCCCAGCAAACCTGGAACCAAGCTCATAACAAGGCACCAACTCAACACACTTTTTTTTTTTTTTTTTTTTTGAGACAGAGTCTCACTCTGTGATCCAAGCTGGAGTGCAGTGGCATGATCTTGGCTCGCTGCAACCTCTGCTCCAGGGTTCAAGTGATTCTCTACCTCAGCCTCCCGAGTAGCTGAAATTAGAGGCACCCACTACCACGCCTGGCTAATTTTTGTATTTTTGGTGGAGAAGGGGTTTCACCATGTTGGCCGGGCTAATCTTGAACTTCTGACCTCAAGTGATCCACCTGCCTTGGCCTCCCAAAGTGCTGAGATTACAGGCATGAGCCACTGCACTTGACCTCAACACACATTTATTTAGGGCTTATTATATGCCAGGCTCTGTTGTTGTATAAAGTATCTCCCCAGTGAGAGGAACAAATTGTGGAAACAATTTAAGTATCATTCAAGAACTATATAATGAATATTGGACAACTACAGAATTTTTTTAAAAAACAGAATTGTTTTTAAAAGATGAGCTGGAACCCTCTGTATTGACAGGAAAAGGTATCCAAGATGCATAGTCGAAGGGAAAAAGTTTACAGAACAATGTGCATACTATGAACACTGTTTTGATTGTTTTTAAAGTATAAATAATGATCAGCGGTGGATTTATGGTGGAGCTAATGAAATTTAAGGCTCAGAAGCTCTCACTTGCATAAATTTCTTCGAAGACCTTGAACTTAATTTGATATTTTAAAAACCTAAATCATTCCGTGATATTTACATACATGACAAACATTATGGCCAACCTGGGTTATCACGGACAGTTGGAGTATACTATTTTTTTTTTTTTTTTGAGACAGAGTCTCACTCTGTTGCCCAGGCTGGAGTGCAGTGGCGTGATCTCGGCTCACTGCAAGCCCCGCCTCCCGGTTCAAGTGATTCTCCTGTCTCAGCCTCCCGAGTAGCTGGGATTACAGGTGCCCACCACCACTCCCAGCTAATTTTAGTATTTTTAGTAGACATGGCGTTTCACCACGTTGTCCAGGCTGGTCTCAAACTCCTGACCGCCTTGGCCTCCCAAAGCGCTGAGATTATAGGCCTGAGTCACCGTGCCCACTCACTTTATACTTTTTTATTATCCAAAAAAAAAAAAAAAAAACCACCTTCTCGTGATACTCCTTTACAGTCATCACTTCCCTCACCCGTAACCCCTGGCAATCCAACCTGTTTCCTAAGTCTTATCTCTGAGTGAGATAACGTGTGGGCTTCGTAAACAGAAATCTATTCTTCAAATAGTGGATATTATTATTACTCCTGTTACTGGAAAGCGGTCCTGATCCAGATCCCAAGAGAGGGTTCTTGGACCTCACAAAAGAAAGAATTCAGGGTGAATCCATAGAGTAAAATGAAAGCAAATTTACTAAGAAAGTAAAGGAATAAAAGAATGGCTACTCCACAGGCAGAGCAGCCCTGAGGGCTGCTGGTTGGCTATTTTTGGGGTTATTTCTTGATTATATGCTAAACAAGGGGCAGATTATTCATGAGTTTTCTGGGAAAGAGGTGGTCAATTCCCGGAACTGAGGGTTCCTCCCCTTTATAGACCATATAGGGTAACTTCCTGATGTTGTCATGGCATTTGTAAACTGTCAGGGTGCTGGTGGGAGTGTCTTTTAGTATGAGAATTAATTATAATTAGCATATAATAACAGAGAGGACAACTAGAGGTCACTTAGAGGTCACTTTTGTCACTGTCTTGGTTTTGGTGGGATTTTGGCAGGGTTCTTTCCCACATCCTTTTATCAGCAAGGTCTTTGTGACCTGTACCTTGTGCCAACCTCCTATCTCATCCTGTGACTTAGAACGCCTAGCCTCCTGGGAATGCAGCCTAGTAGGTCTCAGCCTTGGTTTACCCAGGCCCTATTCAAGGTGGAGTTGCTCTAGTTCAAACACCTCTGACATTCCTATATCCGAGCCAACCTACAGGACAACCTCTATCATCATTTTCCTCTAACTTCTATTTTTCCCAGTTTTCCTACCTCTCTCTCATTGTGCTCATTTTTCAGTAATAAACAAAGACCAAAAAATTACATATATGTGTTTCTACGACAAAGATTTTGTTTCTTGCTAGAGATAAAAAATTCTCTAGCACAATAAATGTGTCTAAAATCTATTTAAAACTTAAGACACAGAAAAATAGCTAGAAAAATCCATAAAACCAAAGGCAATGCTTTTTCTTTCAGCAGATTATGGTGTTTTTTTTTTTGGCATATGTTTTCCTGAAGGGGTGATCTTTGGTGCCCAGAGAAACATAGAGCCTATTTATTGATTGTTGTCTAAAATTGACTTTTTGGGTCAATTGTATTTTCTTAAACATCTTAATATTGTTGTTTCGCATTATAATCAAAATGCTACATTCAGCCAGCACTTCAGACCAATTAGTAGGCTATAAACTATTTGGTCATCATAGAACCAATGCATTAATTGTCTGTAATTAACCTCATTCATAAGAATGGAATATGAAAAAAGTATAATTTTACTACAGCTTGTATCAGTTCAAATTAGGTTCAGGTTGATACAACACTTGGTTGCTTTCTCTTGCAAAGGGATTTTGTAAGTAGGCAGTTTGGTGTGAGTGTGGCAAGGTACCCCAAATTCATTAAGGACTCAATCTCCTTCAGGCTGTCAGATCTATAGTCTCTAGCGTGTGGTCCTTATACTCATGGTCTAAGGTGTCTGGTGCTCCAGTAATCTCTTCCAGGGTTCAGGCTGGCAGCAAAAGAGAAAGAATAAACACAGAACAGTTTCAGAGCCTTGCTCTATCACCCAGGCTGGAGTGCAATAGCACAATCTTGGCTCACTGCAGCCTCTGCCTTCTGGGTTAGAGCAGTTCTCACGCCTCTGCCTCCTGAGTAGTTGGAATTACAAGTGCCCACCACCATGCCCAGCTAATTTTTGTATTTTTAGTAGAGACGGGGTTTCACCATGTTGCCCAGGCTGGTCTCGACCTCCTGACCTCAGGAGATCCGCGTACCTCGGCCTCCCAAAGTGCTGGGATTACAGGCATGAGCCACCACTCCCTGCCAGAACACTTCCTTTATAAGACTTCTCAGAAGACTATGCAGTATTTTGACTTACATTTCTATGACAAGTACTTAGATACCTGACTGAGTCAACTTCAAATGATACTAGGAAATGTCATCTTTTAACTGGACAGCAATGCACCAACCAAAAATTGGAGATATATTACTGCAGAAAAAAGAGAGACTAAATAGGGAAAAGAAATTTGTATTTCTTGCCACTGTCTTAACATAAATAATATCACAATGATTGAAAGATGCTACAGCTCTTTCATAACACTGAATTCTGTTAAAAGATAAAGCAGATAAAAATCTGATTTAAAAATATAAAACCCTTTTCAATCCGTATGGGATATCATCAGAATTTCAAAAATAAAGTTTCAACTGGGCGAGGTGGCTCACGCCTGTAATCCCAGCACTTTGGGAGGCCGAGACGGGCGGATCATGAGGTCAGGAGATCGAGACCATCCTGGCTAACACGGTGAAGCCCCATCTCTACTGAAAATACAAAAAATTAGCCAGGCATGGTGGTGGGTGCCTGTAGTCCCAGCTACTCGGGAGGCTGAGGCAGGAGAATGGCATGAACCTGGGAGGCTGAGCTTGCAGTGAGCCGAGATCGTTCCACTGCACTCCAGCCTGGGCGACAGAGCGAGACTCCGTCTCAAAAAAAAAAAAAAAAAACAAACAACAACAACAACAAAAATATATATATACTTTGATAGAAGAAATAAGGCTGAGTTAGTGTTTGACATATCAGTAAGGTGACTATCATTTACAATAATGTATGGTATATTTTTAAATCGCTAGAAGAGAATCATTCGAATGTCTCCCCTATGAAGAAATCACAACTATTTAAGGTGATAGAGATCCCAATTACACTGATTCGGTCTTTACAAACCATGTGAATGTATTAAATTGTGACACGTCCCTGAAAATACGTACATCTATTATGCATTAATTAAAAAATCATAAAATAATAGCTAGAAATAAATAAACAATTCATTGTATCACCAATGCATGGTTGGGCTGCATTTTAAGAGTATTTGCGTGGAGGGATGAAGACTATTTAGGGAGCAACCATTGTTCCTCATCTGAGCTATTACACTTGCTGAGCTCTAGATGGTGCATGCCAGACCTGTGCCTGACTGTGGAATTCAGTGCTAAAGAACAGCAAGAAGCAGGAAGTAGTGTCAGAGGCCTTGGAACCAGAGGGACTCTATCTTTAATAGAGGCTGGGTAAAATGAGGCTGAGACCTGCTGGGCTGCATTCCCAGGAGGTTAGGAATTCTTAGTCACAGGGTGAGATAGGAGGTCAGCACAGGACCAAGTCACAAAGACCCTGCTGATAAAACAGGATACAGTAAAGAAGCCGGCCCAAACCCGCCAAAACCAAACCAAGATGGTGATGAAAGTAACCTCTGGTTGTCTTCAGTGCTGATTATACGCTAATAAAAATGCATTCGAATGCTAAAAGACCCTCCACCAGCACCACGGCAGTTTACAAATGCCATAGCAACATCCGGAAATAACCCTATATGGTCTAAAAGGGGAGGGACCTTAGTTCTGGGAAATCCTCACCCCTTTTCTGGAAAACTCCTGAATAATCTACCCTTTGTTTAGCATATGATCAAGAAATAACCGTAAAAATAGCCAACCTGCAGCCCCGAGAGCTTTCCTTCTCTAATAAACTTGCTTTCACTGTATTCTGTGGGCTCTCCCTGAATTCTTTTTTGCTGGAGATCCAAGAACCCTCTTGAGGGGTCTGGATCAGGACCCCTTTCTGGTAAAAGCCTCCTATCTCCAAAAGTATTTCCATTTGTGCTGAGGAATAAGTTAGATAAATTCTTCAGCTTTTAATATACTCACAATACAAGAAGTCTCAATATAATGATGAAAGAAAATCCACAAGGCAGTATGTGATTTTTTTCTCGGCCAATCAAATGTTACAAACAGTAAGTATTATAAGTGATGGCATGTGGTTCCAGTGACGAGGAGGTAATGGCTAAGCTGTAACTAAAGGAAGAAAAAGTCTGAGAAAGAATGGGTAAGAAAATCTAGATTGCCGATTTAGGACTTAACGTTCATCAAACGCTGCTATGCAGCAGGCGGTTTACTAGGCGCTTGGCATAATATATGAGAGAAAGATCATCTCGTTTTCAGATGAGGAAGCTGAAGCTCACATAAGTAATTTCCCACTGTTGAACAGCCAGCTAGTAGAGGAAGCAGAAGTTGTCTTCAATACTGTTCCAAAATCTATGCTCTTTCTGCTATAGAATTCTACCTGGGGAGTTGCATAAACACATTGTAATCCAAGCCTCACCAGCTGGGAGGTTCTGGATGAGGTCACATTTACATGCAGATTTCACCAGTTCAATGAAACTATCACTCACTCATCGAAGAATTCTAATTTATTTATTTATTTATTTTTGAGATGAAGTCTCACTCTGTCACCCAGGCTGGAGTGCAGTGGTGCGATCTTGGCTCACCGCAACCTCCGCCTCCCACGTTCAAGTGATTCTCCTGCCTCAGCCTCCCAAGTAGCTGGGATTACAGTATTACAGGTGCTCGCCACTGCACTGGGCTAATTTTTTTTTTCTTTTTCAGTAGAGACGGGGTTTTACTATGTTGGCCAGGCTGGTCTTGAACTCCTGACCTCAGGTAATCCGCCCGCCACTGCTGCTTCCCTACACTGGTCTCTACCACCTGACAACACTGGGCCACCACTGCCCTTGACTGCTCCCTGTGGGCTTTAGTGCACAGCCTGTCTGCCATAATTCTTTCAATCCTGACAGTGCAGCAGTTTCTTTTAAGACAACTGCTTCTCCCTTTCTATATTATGTCAGCTGGTTTGGGGCCACGAGGGGGGCAGTGATTCCATGGCATAGCAAAGTTGATTGGTACATCAGCTGATTGAGTACTATGTGTGTTTCATTCATTCAAATATTTATCAGGGGCCTCTGTGTGAGGAGGAGGTGAACAAGACCTATGAACCTGGTTTTTACACAGAGACAGTTAGCTATTGTTTTAATGAGAGGAGGCAGACAATGAGCATAATAATTGCTAATTGTGGTAAATGCTATTAGGAAAATAAACAGAGGGCTGTGATAGGAAATAATGGCAGGCAGTAGGGAAGAGGTGGTAAGGATTGTTTGCATGGAAAACACTGGAACATCAAATAAGATAGCGATTTCTTTTTGCAAACACAGCTTTGTTGGTTGGTTTAAACTCCCCAGGACAATCACTCATACCAGGAGAGCTGAGCAGATTATAAAATAAAAAAGCAGCTCTGAGGCCTTACCCGGCCCCATTATTTTCCTCTAATGTTCATGCACGGTTACAGAATCTGCCTCATCCTACCAACCTCCTTCATCTCTGCAGATCAGTGGTTCTGAAACCTGACTGAGGTGGGGCGCAGTGGTTCATGCCTGTAATCCCAGCACATTGGGAGGCTGAGGCCAGTGGATCATTTGAGCCCAGGAGTTCACGACCAGCCTGGCCAACATGGCAAAAATCCTCCATGTCTGCTAAAATACAAAACAAAAATAAAAATAAAAAATAAAAATAGCCAGGCATAGTGGTGCGAGCCAGCAGTCCCAGCTACTCAGAAGGCTGAGGCACAAGAATTGCTTGAACTTGGGAGGAGGAGATGGCAGTGAGGTGAGAATATGCCACTGCATTCCAGCCTGGGAAACAGAGTGAGACTGTTAAAAAAGAAAAGAAAAGAAAAGAAAAGAAATCTGACTGAGTAATCAGAATCCCTGGGAGATGTTTAAAAAATTTAGGTGCTTGGGCCCTGCCTCTAGAGATTAGAGTTAGTGGATTTTGGACGAGTCTTAGGCATGAATATGTTTGGAAGGTTCCCAGGTGATTCTAATATGTACATTGAGTTATGAATCACTTCTGGATAGCAGTGATTGTCAAACTGGAGCATGCATCAGAATTTTCTAGAGGGATTTGCTATTGTTCTGCTCACTGGTTTCCCTAATCTTGCCCTAAGGAAATGGCCTGGTTGCCTCGCTAAGCCTACTGGCAGGCTCCTGATTTTGTTATCTGTGGTTTTCATACTTAGTGCAGGGCTTCTTCATCTTTAATGGGCATAAGAATCTCCTGGGAATCTTGTTAAAATGCAGATTCTGGGTGGTCGCCAGAGGCTGTGGGACTAAGAAATGGGGGTTGTTTAATGGGTATAGAGTTTCATTTCTGCAAGATGAAAAGAGTTCTGGAGATAGGTTATACAATCATGTGAATGCACTTAACACTCCTGAACTGTACACTTAAAGAAGGTAAATCGTACGCTATGTGTATTACATTTTACTATGATGTTTTAAACATGCAGATTCAGTAGGTTTGGGGCTAGGCATGAGTTTCTGAAGTTTTTGTAACGGCCCAGTGATGCCCATGCTGTTGTCCCAGGGACCACACTTGAAGTAGTGAGGGTATAAGGTGCACCAGGACTACCTGGGGGAACTTGATTTAATGAAGATTCTCCATCCCCATCTCAGAGATCTTGATTCAACATGTCTGAGCTCTGAGGAGTAGGTGCTCTGAATTTACTTTGAGAAACAATCTTCTCTGGGTTTCACCTCCAAGGTCAGATAGGGAGATACATCATTTACAGATGGGAACTGATTCTGACATTTAACTTCTTTTTCAACAATCCAAGTTTCTCGTGTTTAGTGCTCTATGGAGCCAGTGGCCCACTCTTGTTCAGCGAGCTAGAAATGGAAAAAATTATCCATTGGAAAAGGAAGTAGGTGTCAGAATCGAATCACCCAGTGCCCACTTTTGCAGGCTGTGGGTTTAGAGTTGCCCTGGAGCTCCTGGAATACCATATCTCCCAGCAGACCAACCTCAGGGGTCCACAGTGTGCCATACCTCACCAGGTATCCCCCAGACCCCTGTGCTGTTACCAACCCACACCCAACACCATCTCCAATTCATAGCAAGACCCAATAACCAGCCAATCTAAACCTACTCCCGGCAAGTCTCAGAGCCCCAGAGTCACTCAAAGACACACAAAGTACTCTTTATATGCACCTGCTACATGACCGGACCTCAGCCCTCTCATCTCATTTGCCAACAACTGTGAGGCATTTACTGTTATCACCATTTTATGGGTGAGAAAACAGGGGCTCTGCTAAGATAGGTAACATTTCCCAAGTCATAGAGCCTGTGGGTGACAGAGCCAGGAATTGAAAGTAGCTTTTTCTGGCAAGAATGCTCAGGCTCTTTACACCGTGGAGACCTGTTTCCACGGGCCAGGAATCTGGGCCAACAGTGGATTGCAGCCAGGAGCACTGATTAGCATTTGAGCTATGGCCTGGATGCCAGGAAAGGGTCCCACATTCAAAGTCGCATCTCTGGTGCTCACTGTCCCCAGCGAGAAGCTCTTGTAGGAGGATCTCTATGTGGAATAATTTGCATTAAGGGATAAACGAGGCTTAGCCTTCCTAACAAGTAATGAAGTTTTTAAAACAGAAACTTGAGCCCATGGTTACTAGAATGTGAGGGAAATCCATGGGCCTGTGTGTGGGGGATGGGGTGTTCAGGGGTGTCAAGGGACTCTCCTCTTACATAAGATCTTTGAAACAGAAAGGGATCCTATTTTGCTTCTCTTTTTCTTTGTTTCAGGACAGGTTTCCACAAAGCAAGTATAAACATGGTTTAATATAAATTCCCACAGTCAGTTTACAAATTTCTTTTTCATTTAACACCCTCCCTCACCTTGTTCTAAGTAGGAATTGAAGAAGAGATTGTTGGAACACAGATCTATGTATTTATACAGCATTTACTGGGCACCTTTTTACCAGATTCTGAGCTCAAGCTTCAAAGCTTGAAATATAAAAATCAAAATAAAATGCTTGGCTCCAAAAAACTCAGTCTCTGGTGGATATATACAGTTGACCCTTGATCAACGCAGGTTTGAATGTGAGTCAAAACCTATTTATATGTGGATTTTTTTTCCAATGAAATTTACACTGAAGGTTCGTCATGGTGGCTCATGCCTGTAATCCCAGCACTTTGGGAGGCCGAGGGGGGCAGATCACTTGAGGTCAGGAGTTTGAGACCAGCCTGGCCAACATGGTGAAACCCCGTCTCTACTAAAAACACAAAAAGTAGCCAGGCATAGTGGCATGTGCCTGTAATCCCAGCTACTCGGGAGGCAGAGGCTCGAGAATCATCTGAACCTGGGAGGTGGAGGTTGCAGTGAGCCAAGACTGCACCACTGCACTCCAGCCTAGGTGACAGAGAGAGACTCTCTAAAAAAAAAAAAAAAAAAAAAAAGTAAACTGAGTGTGCCTGTCTCTCCTGCTCCCCCTTCCTTCCACCTCTTCCACCTCTTCTACCTCTGCTACCCACCCACCCCCAACCCCTCCTCTTCCTCCTCTTCTGCAGCCTACTCAACTTGAAGACAACAAAGATAAAGACCTTTAGGATGATCTCCTTCCACTTAATGACTAGTAAACACATTTGCTCTTCCTTATGATTTTCTTAGTAACATTTTCTTTTCTCTAGCTAGCTTACTTTATTGTAAAAATATAGTATGTAATACATGTAACATGCAAAATATGTGTTGATCAACTGTGGATGCCATCAGTAAGGCTTCTGGTCAATGGGATGCGATTGCTAGTTACGTTTTGGAGGAGTTAAGTTATATGCAGATTTTTGACTGTGCAGGGGGTCGACGCCCCTAACCCTTGAGTTTTTCAAGGGTCAGCTGGAATTGTCTTGGGTGCTGAGGTAGCTCGCAAGAGGAAACAGTAAAATACCAGGAAGAGACATTTTAGCTGAGACTTGAAGTCTTCCTGGAAAGGGGTCCCAATCAGACCCCAAGAGAAGGTTCTTGGATCTCACACAAGAAAGAATTCAGGGTGAGTCCATAGAGTAAAATGAAAGCAAGTTTATTAAAAAAGTAAAGGAGTAAAGAATGGCTCTTCCACAGACAGAGCAGCAGCTTGAGCTACTCAACCAAGGATACTTACATACTGCTTGACTGTATGCTGAACAAGGGGTGGCTCATTCATGAGTTTTCTGGCAAAGAGGTGGGCAATTCCTGGAAATGAGGATTCCTCCCCTTTTTAGACCAGGGTAACTTCCTAATGTTGCCATGGCATTTGTAAGCTGTCTGTGCACTGGTGGTAACGTCTTGTAGCATATTGATTCATTATAATTACTGTATTATGAGCAGTGAGGACAACCAGAGGTCAGTTTGTTTGCCATCTTGGTTTTGGCAGATTTTGGCTGGCGTCTTTACCACATGCTGTTTTATCAGCAAGGTCTTCGTGACCTATATCTTGTGCCGACCTCCTGTCTCATGGTATGACTTAGAATGCCTAACCGCCTGGGAATGCAGCCCCGTAGGTCTCAGCCTTATTTTACCCAGCCCATGTTCAAGGTGGCACAGCTCTGGTTGGAATGCCTCTGACCTAAGGATGGCAAATCTAAGAGTTTACTAGGCCAGCAGGCAGGGGCAAGAACCTTCTGGGAGGAAGGTCAGGGAAGGGCACTTGAAAGCCCACGGCAAATGGTTTTCTATGGAGCTAGGGGCTGCATGAGGAGGCTGCAGGGTGCAGAACCAGACCAGCAGGCAGTGTCAGATTGAACCCCTAGCGAGGCTTTAGCAATAAATAAAAGTATAATCATACAGAGGTATTAGCAGAGGTGAGCAGACTGGGTGAGACTAAGGCCCCTCAGATGGCCAGGCAACACTCTGGGTCTGGAACAGTGAGGACCCGAAGGGGAAGGGAGCCTGCTGGGGTCACGTAAGACCCTGGGGTTTGCTTTCACTTAACCCTCATATTACACCTCGTAGCAGCTGATCCTCCAATGTGGGATCTGAGACTCAACAGCAATGCCAAAGAAACACCGAAGGAATATATCAACAAGGAACTGCCAGAATTTGAGTCTGAAGAATAATGATGACTTAACAACAAGTAGAAAGACTACAATTTAGGTTTTAAAAGTATTAATGCACCTGAAGTAATATTGGAGTAAGTTAAAGGTTTTGGTGGTGTTTTTTTTAACCCCCTCTCTAAATAGCTTTGCTGGCTATTTCTGAAAGTGCTAATAATGACACTAAGGGGTGTTAACTCAGCACATAATACATGCTGCGTGTTTGCCAAGTGCCGTGCTCACCCCTTTTTGGGCAGGAACTCCCGGCACCGCTCCTTTCAGCTTCCTTTCAGCTCTGCCAAAGATTCTGTCTCAGCAGCTTTGGATGGAGTTTTCGGGCTTCCTGGCAGCATCCGCGGGACCATGAGGTCAGGGTGGCCTGATTCCTGTTTGCCCAAACACAGGAGAGCACTGTATTTTTTTCAACCTGTTTTTTTAACTGTTGCTGTAGAGAGTAGGAATTGACTTCCACCCACCCTTCCCTGCCGCGCACCCACACACGCAGCACAGCAACAGTCACATGACATTTGCAAAAGAGTCTTTAAGTCATTTGACCCTCAGAAGATTACTTGTGTCATGGAGAAAGGCCTTTGCTCCAGATGAAATCACAGAGTGTTGGAACTGGACTACATCTTAGATTCCACTTTGTGCTTGAGAAAACTCAGGCCCAAATGGGTTAAGTAACTTGGATCTGGTCAGCCAGCTAGTTAGTGGCAAAGCTGAACTCATGAATCAAATGTAACTTTCAGCCAAGGCTTTCCCGTTATACCTCCTCTTAACTTCCTATCAAGCCATTTAAAAGAGAAGTGACTGGAGAAACAAAATAAGGGCAATAGAGCGAAACACTTAATAATCAATCACCCTGATCCCTTGATAAGTGGTATAGGTCAAATTCCTCTGAAATGTTTCATAGGGAAAGTTTCTATTGAACCATACTAGTTTGGTCAGGTATTTCTTCTTTGATTCCGCAACCATCTCTAAAGAAATGCCCAGAGAGAAGCAAAACTTCAGTCCAAAAAGGCAGAAGCCTCTTGCCAATCTGAGCATTTAAGGCTCCAAAAATTGTGTCAGATAATAGATGTTAAGAGCACTTACACTCCAGAAGTTTGGGAATCTGTATATACTTAAAAATTTTTTTTAATGGGGTTTTGCCCTGTTACCCAGGCTGGAATGCAGTGCCATGATCATAGCTCACTGCAGCCTTGACTTCCCAGGCTCAAGCGACCCTCCTGCCTCAGTGTCCCAAGTAGCTGGGATTACAGGTGTGTGCCGCCACGCCGGTTAATTTCTATTTTTTTTTTTTTTTTTTTTTTTTTGCAGAGATAGATTCTTGTTATGTTGCCCAGGCTGGTCTTGAACCCCTGGCCTCAAGTGATCCTACAACCTTAGCCTCCCAAAGTGCTGGGATTACAGATGTGAGCCACCATGCCTGGCCTGCATATACTTTTAAAATATTAATCTTTCTGGCTGGGTGCGGTGGCTCACGCCTGTAATCCCAGCACTTTGGGAGGCAGAGGTGGACAGAAGGCCTGAGGTCAGGAGTTTGAGACCAGCCTGACCAACATGGAAAAAAACCTGTCTCCACTAAAAATACAAAAAAGTAGCTGGGCGTGGTAGCGCATGCCTGTAACTCCAGCTACTAGGGAGGCTGAGGCAGGAGAATCGCTTGAGCCTGGGAGGCAGAGGTTGTCGTGAGCCGAGATCATGCCATTGCACTCCAGCCTGGACAACAAGAGCAAAACTCCACCTCAAAAAAAAAAAAAATTTTTTTTGATATTTCCAGAAAACTGGAACCACATCATGGAGAATACATTTTTGTATTTTACATACCTGCTGCACAAAATTCATCTCCTCGATTTTAATCTAAAATCCATGTAGCAAACTGTCCTTTACTAAAATGACTTTGCTCTGAATCAAAACCAACTGATGCCAAGGAGCTTGAAGCCTCACTTGGGAAGGAAGTGATCCTTTAAAAACCAGGTCCTGGATTTGGGATGAAAGGAAGTGGAAGAAATGCGGAACCACGGCCGCTATGGTTGCTGTTTGCGGTGGTCTAGGGAGGAAGAAGTTGACACACCTGGTAACGGCTGCTGTCAGCCTTACACATTCCGGGACTCACACGGTGCTTTGGAGAAGAGGTTGTTCACAATATAAACAGGTATCCAGCAACGAGGACCTGGTCTTTGTGGGAAGAAACAGAAAGAAATCACGAAAGCAATTAAGAGAGCTCAAATAATGGGGTTTATGTCAGTTACATACAAGGATCCTGCATATCTCAAGGACCCTAAAGGTTGTAACATCAGATATCGGGAATAAATTCTATCACCTTACTACTAATAAACTTATTTTACAGTAAAAAAAACAAAAAAACAAAAAAACCAGGTCTTCTGTAAACAGAGTATGCTAAAACTGTAAAAGAAGGCTACTGCGTTAAGTCTTTACATTTCGTACTCTATTCTGCCACATTCCAAAAAAAGGATTTCACGCCATCAGGAGGCATGTTCCATAATCAAAGAAAATGTAACTATTTGCCTTTTGAAAATTATGATGATATGATTTTATATATGCTGGCTTGCTAACACCACCAGAATTAGTTTTAGTTTCTTAATTTGTCTGAATTATGGTACAGCATAATGAGCTAGTTTTTTGTTTGTTTGTACTATGATGTATATCATCTAAGAAAGAATGTCTCAACTACTATTCAAACTCATTTATTCCACTTCCAGGAATTCCTCCTAAAGAAATATTTCAAAAGAGAAAAAATGCAAACCATGCAGAGATGTTTATAACCAACTTTATTTATGATAGCAAAAAGCAAGGATGAGTAACAAGTAGATAATGGTTAAACAAACTATGACAGCAACTCAGAGTAATATGCAACTGTTACAAGTGATACATAGAAAAACATAACAGAAGCAATTACGTGTCACTAAATGTCTCATAATTGTATACTTTAGAGTTTACGAATTGTTTTTGTATTATCTTACTTCACTTGATTTTCATAACAGCCCTGTGAAACAAAAGCAATTATCTCCATTTGCTGATAAGAAAATAGATGAGTGGAGGTGAAGTGGTTTGTCTGGGGTCACTCATGAAATATTCAACATGTTGACCGCAACGATCTAAAACCATAGGCACATAGATCAAGATTGGAAATAACATAACAAGTTGCAACTAGTTACTCCTTTAAAGCGGTGTTCTTCTCCATGAGTACATGTGTATGTGCTTTTTGTAAAACTTCTTTAAACACTGAATAGGTCTAAGATGATTTATCCTAATCACTGAAGTTCTTCAGCTTTCTTATGAAACATCAAAATCTTGAGATTACCTATGATATAAGTTCTCCTTGCTTTTGAAGATACACATAAATCTTATTATTTCAGGGCCTGCATTCCCATGCAGAAAGGAAGATTTTCAGGGTGGCCAAATGGCAAGTGGCTTTTACATCTGGCCTGCCCACTGTATCCCCAATTCCAACGCTGCTTTGGCCACAAAGGAGCCCTCTCCACTCAATCGAGCTGGAGGCATTCACTTGTAGACCCACTAAAGAGAGACCTCTCTGAAAATTAAGGCCTTGGAGTCCTTCGCAGCTGGATGTTCCCAGAGATGCTTTCAGGACAAGTGTCCTGCAGTAGCCAGAATGATTTGATGAGTATATGTGATAAAGCTCTCGGCTTGGGCTCCTGTTTTGTTGTGACAAATCTACCCTCATCGATACGTTGCTCCCCCTGTGATATGGTCTGGTTGTGTTCCCACCCAAATCTCATCTTGAACTGTAGCTCTCGTAATCCCCATGTGTTGTGGGAGAAACTCAGTGGGAGGTAATTAAATCATGGGGGTGGGTTTTTCTCATGCTGTTCTCGTGATAGTGAATACGTCTCACGAGATCCGATGGTTTTATGAAAGGCCGTTCCCCGCACACGCACTTGCTATTTTGCCCACCACCGTGTAAGACACACCTTTGCTCCTCCTTTGCCTTCTGCCATGATTGTGAGGCCTCCCCAGCCATGTGGAACTGTGAGTCCATGAAAGACATACCCAGTCTCCAGTATGTCTTTATTAGCAGTGTGAGAATGGACTAATACACTGTTTCTCATTTTTCTCTTTGAGGCTCAATGTCTTTTTTTTTTTTTTTTTGAGATGGAGTCTTGCTCTGTCTGTCACCCAGGCTGGAGGGCAGTGGTGTGATCTCAGCTCACTGCAACCTCTGCCTTATGGGTTCAAGCAATTCTCCTGCCTCAGTCTCCCTAGTAGCTGGGATTATAGGTGCATGCCACCACACCTGGCTAATTATTTTTGTATTTCTAGTAGAGACGGGGTTTTACCATGTTGGCCAGGCTGTTCTCGAACTCCTGACCTCAGGTGACCCACTCGCCTTGGCCTCCCAAAGTACTGAGATTACAGGCATGAGCCACCGTGCCCAGCCCTCAATGTCTTTTCTAGGACACAAGCATCCCCCATGGGGAACACTCACTCTAATTCAAACACCTCTAAAGCTGGAACAATCAGAGCAGAAGGCAGCGCTCTGTTCCTTCTTGTCAACACAGAAACACGTTCATCCGGATAATACCTTCTCCATGACAGCATGAACAATTTCTGTTTGAAAATGATCTTTAGGCCGGGCGTGGTGGCTCACGCCTGTAATCCCAGCACTTTGGGAGGCCGAGGGGGGCGGATCATCTGAGGTTGGGAGTTCAAGACCAGCCTGACCAACATGGGGAAACCCTGTGTCTACTAAAAATACAAAAAAATTAGCTGGGCATGGTGGCCCATACTTTTAATCCCAGCTACTCAGGAGGCTGAGGTAGGAGAATCACTTGAATCCGGGAGGCGGAGGTTGCTGTGAGCGGAGATCACACCATTGCACTCCAGCCTGGGCAATAAGAACGAAACTCAGTTAAAAAAAAAAAAAAAAAGAAAGAAAATGATCTTTAAAGTATTACTGCCTGGCTACAACTTGATTGTAAACACAAATATAAACAGAGGAACTGAAACTTGGAAGCAATATTCACTTAGAAATTGGCATCCAGGGGACACTGTGTGTGTGTATGTGTGTGTGTGTGTCTGTGTGTGTCTTTTAAAATTCTCAGGTCTTACAGACTGAGAATCTGTCAAGGACCCCAGTTTGAAAAACATTGCTCTAACCTCACAGCCTTTTGGCTACAGCCCTCTTTCTTTCTTTCCTTTCAGAATCAAGCGTTGTAAAGAACTGGCTGGGCATGGTGGCTCACGCCTGCAATCCCAGCACTTTCGGAGACTGAGACCAGCCTAGTCAACGTGGTGAAATCCCGTGTAACACAAAAATTAGCCAGGCTTGGTGGCACATGCCACCTACTCAGGAGGCTGAGACAGGAGAATAGCTTGAACCTGGGAGGCGGAGGTTGCAGTGAGCCGAGGTCACACCACAACACTACAGCTTGGGTGACAGAGTGAGACTCCGTTTAAAAAAAAAAAAAAAAGAATTGTCCCCACACATGATCTCTACTTCTTACTCTGAAGCATTCTGGCTTTAGCTCCTGCTGTTCCACTGAAATGGTCCATCCAGCTACTCCTTTTGAGAAATTGATGGGCACAGTTCAGTACTTGTTTACAGCATTATTGTGTAGCTTTTTGACCCTTTGGCCTTTCTCTATTTTTCTCTTGTCTTCACGTCCCAGTAGGTGGACCCCTCGACCATCTGCCCCATAGCTCCTCAGACCTCACATTTCATGTACACCATCCCGGAGTAAGTCCTCAGCTGATGACAGATGGGAAGTAGCGATACATACTGGAACTTCCCCACCCTCAAGTGGGACAGCTCACAGGTCCATGTTCCTCACTATTTCCAAGATTTCCCCAGAAATTAAACTCCAATTGCCTACAGGGGTAACTTGGTAACAACCATTTGTTTGGTTTCTTCTCTTTTCTATCTGACGTCCTCATTTCCCCACTACACTCTCTTGGGATCATTTCCCAAATAAACTGCTTACATTCAAATTATTCTTTCAAGATCTGCTATTGGGGGAAGTGTTAAATTCTTTCTGGGAATTCTTTCTTCTGAATTTTTTTCCGATAATTCGCTACTCCCTTGGTATGCCCAACCAGAAGGACCTGGGTGATACAGCATGTGAGGGCCAACTCTAAGGGGTCAGAGCATCACAGAGAAGGTTGGAAGGATGGATCTGAGGGAAATGGGCTGTAGATGATGGACATATTGGGCCAGTGTCTCTAGAGGCAGACATGCTACTTCTTTGGTAGAATTATGTGTGGCCATTGGTCTGCGTGTGCCCCTAGGATTTATTCGCTCTGCATGCATTTTCTGATTTTTCTATAATAGCTACATTTTGCTTTTGCAATAGTAAATAACATTATAGCCAGTCACAGTGGCTCACATCTGTGATCCCAGCACTTTGGGAGGCCGAGGTGGATCACTTGAGTCTAGGAGTTCAAGACCAGCCTGGGCAACATAGACTCCCATCTCTACAAAGAAATAAAAAAATTAGCCAAGCATGGTGGTGTGTGCCTGTAGGCCCAGCTACTCGGGAGGCTGAGGCAGGAGAATTGCTTGAGCCCAAGGGCTCAAGGCTGGAGTGAGCCATAATCTCACCACTGTACTCCAGCATGGGTGACAGAGCAATACCCTGTCCTCCCCAAAAAAATAAGTAAAAAAGAAAAGAAAAAACAGAAAGAAAAAAACGAAAGAAGAAATATATATAAAGATAAAAATCATACTTTTAAATGAAGTCAGTCTTCTTCTTCTTCTTTTTTTTTTTTTTTTGAGACCAAGTTTCCCTCTTATTGCCCAGGCTAGAGTGCACAGGCGTGATCCTGGCTCACTGCAAACTCTGTCTCCTGGGTTCACGCAACTCTCCTGCCTCAGTCTCCTGAGTAGCTGGGATTACAGGCGCCCGCCACCATGCCCAGCTAATTTTTGTATTTTTAGTAGAGATAGGGTTTCACGATGTTGCCCAGGCTTGTCTTGAACTCCTGAACTCAGGTGATCCGCTCACCTCGGCCTCCCAAAGCACTGGGATTACAGGTGTGAGCCACTGTGTCTGGCCAGGATTTTGCTTTTTAGACATTGTGGTTCATTTTTCTATACATGGGTGCACGTTACACAATCTCCATAGCAGATTTTTCTCTTTTAGTAATGTAATGATCTCCCACTAGGTATGTGGCAAAATACTGGAACACGAGGGAAAATCAGAGCATTGCTAACATTTGTCTGGACCAAATAAGCACATTTGATTTTTTTTAAGCTATGTAAAACATACATAGCATAAAATTGTCTGTTTTAACCGTTTCTAGGTGTATAGTTGACTGGCATTAAGTACATTAATATCGTTTTGCAACCATCACCACCAGCCATGTCCAAAATTTTGCAGGAACAGAAAACCAAATACCACATATTCTCACTTATAAGTGGGAGCTAAATGAATTTTCCCAGACTGAAAATCTGTACCCATTAAACAATTGCTCCCCATCGCAACATGCTACTTTCTGTCTCTATGAATTTGACTCCCCTGGTTATCTCATGTAAGTGGAAGTATACAGTATTTGTTCTTTCGTGTCTGGCTTATTTAACTTAGCATAACGTCTTCCAGGTTCATCTATGTTGTAGAATGTGTAAAAATTTTTATTTCTTTTAAGGGCTGAATAATATTCCATAGTGTGCATACGTCACGTTTTCCTATCCATGAACAGCTAGGTTGTTTCCATCTTTTGGCTATCATGCATAATGCTGCTATAAACTTTGGTGTACGAATAGCTGAGTCCATGTGCATATGATTTTTAGTAGCCATCCAATTTCTACACATTCAGCATACGTGATGGGTATTTATTTATTTACTATTATTTTTAAATTTTTTAAAAAGTCTTGCTCTGTTGCCCAGGCTGGAGTGCAGCGGCATGATCTCTGCTCACTGCAACCTCCTCCTCCCAGGTTCAAGCGATTCTCCTGCCTCAGCTTCCTGAGTAGCTGAAACTACATGTGTGTGCCACCACCCCTGGCTAATTTTTATATGTTTATTAGAGACGGGGTTTCACTATGTTGGCCAGGCTGGTCTCGAACTCCCGACCTCAAGTGATCTGCCCACCTCAGCCTCCCAACATGCTGGAATTACAGGCGTGAGCTACCGTGCCCGGCCTCAGCATGTGTGATGCATGTTCAAACCATATTGATGGGCCTGGTGTGGTGGCTCACGCCTGTAATCCCAGCACTTTGGGAGGCTGAGACGGGCAGATCACGAGGTCAGGAGATCGAGACCATCCTGGCTAACATGGTGAAACCCCGTCTCTACTAAAAATACAAAAAAATTAGCTGGGCGTGGTGGCGGGCGCCTGTAGTCCCAGCTACTCGGGAGGCTGAGGCGGGCGAATGGTGTGAACCCGGGAGTCGGAGCTTGCAGTGAACCGAGATCACACCACTGCACTCCATCCTGGGCAACAGAGCCAGACTCTGTCTATACATAAATAAATAAATAAATAAATAGATAGATAAATAAACAGACCATATTGAGTGGCTGTCCTTTGAGAGGTTAGAGCTCAAAAGACTTTACAAAGAAACTACATAGATGAAATATTCATTATGTTTTTGAACTACAGATAGAAAACAGGTGTAAACAAGAATAGAGGTTTAACACAAAAGAAATAAAGGCATAGCTTAATGACAAGATATAAAAATCAAGCACCACAAGCACTGTAAAACATCCTGTATTTCTCCTTTTGTTTTTTGTTTTTTTTTTGAGGCGGAGTCTGTGTTGCCCAGGCTGGAGTGCAGTGGCGCAATCTCTGCTCACTGCAAGCTCCGCCTCCCGGGTTGGTGCTATTCTCCTGCCTCAGCCTCCCGAATAGCTGGGACCACAGGCGCCCGCAACCACGCCCAGCTAATTTTTTTTTTGTATTTTAGTAGAGACGGGGTTTCACCATGTTAGCCAGGATGGTCTCAATCTCCTGACCCTGTGATCCGTCCACCTCGGCCTCCCAAAGTGCTGGGATTATAGGCGTGAGCCACCGCGCCCGGCCCATGTTTCTCCTTTTCTGGATACTTGTCTTGGTTTCCTGAAATTGAACATAAGGAGATTAAAACTTAAGAGGCAAGGGGTAGAGTGATCTTAGAATGATATTTAACTTTTATGAAAATTATTTAACACTGACTTAAACTCTTCAAATGCATTCTGTGGGTTTAAGTAAACTATTAATATTCTTACTTAAAAGTGGACTTAAAATATTGTGACAGGTTGTCACTATATTGCCCAGGTTGGTCTTGAACTCCTGGGCTCAAGTAATCCTCCTGCCTCAGCCTCCTAAGTAGCTGGGATAGATTTTATTTATTAAAATTTTTAAAATCTATTTATGAGTTTACATAGTTGCTATCACTTGACATCTAGGAGCTTTGAGAGACATTTTGTTTTGGCTCCAAATACTGTCAGATTTTTTTTTTTCACAACTGTTTTTTTTTTTTTGAGGCGGAGTTTTGCTCTTGTTGCTCAGGCTGGAGTGCAATGGGGTGGTCTTGGCTCACTGCAACCTCCGCCTCCCGGGTTTAAGCAATTCTCCTCCCTCAGCCTCCCAAGTAACTGGGATTACAGGTGGCCGTGACCTCACCTGGCTAAATTTTTTTGTACTTTTAGCAGAGACGGGGTTTCACCATGTTGGCAAGGCTGGTCTCGAACTCCTGACCTCAGGTGATCAGCCCGCCTTGGCCTCTCAAAGTGCTGGGATTACAGGTGTGAGCCACTGCACCCGACCGGGTTTTTTTTTCTTTTATAAACACAGCAAGCACATTCACCTTGTCAAGGAACGAGACAAGACAAATAGATGGCCATCTGAAGCATCAGCCCATCTAACCCCAAAAGGTGATTCTTATTTGAAAATCATACAAATAAGTTGTGTAGCAGAGCAACTATGTAGCTCAAGCCGGCTTAACCGTGAGCAGCTGGAGCTACTCCTAGTGGCTGCAGCCTGGAACTGTTGCTAGGTAACCATTTTGAAATGGCCATCAAGCCACTACTAACTGCCATCTTCCTTTTCTCCTGTTTCTAAGAACAGAAATCTTAATTCCTAAATCCAGTATAACATCAACGAGGAAGGGTGGCGGGGGAGAGAGATGGAGAGATATTAGTGCGTATTTGTGAAAATACTTAAACAACATGCCATTCATAAATAACTATTTGGTCAATATTTTCATTGTTTTAGACCCTGATATGGTTTGGCTGTGCTCCCACTCAAATCTCAACTTGAATTGTATCTCCCAGAATTCCCACGTGATGTGGGAGGGACCCAGGGAGAGGTAATTGAATCATGGGGGCCGGTCTTTCCCATGCTATTCTGTGATAGTGAATAAATCTCACCAGATCTGATCGGTTAATCAGGGGTTTCCACTTTTGCTTCTTCCTCATTTACTCTTGCTGCTGCCATGTAAGAAGTGCCATTTGCCTCCCGCCATGATTCTGAGGCCTCCCCAGCCATGTGGAACTGTAAGTCCGATTAAACCTCTTTTTCTTCCCAGTCTCTGATATGTCTTTGTCAGCAGCGTGAAACAGGCTAATACAGTAAATTGGTACCAGTAGAGTGGGGCATTGCTGAAAAGATACCCAAAAATATGGAAGCAACTTTGGAACTGGGTAACAGGCAGAGAATGGAACAGTTTGGAGGGCTCAGAAGAAGACAGGAAAATGTGGGAAAGTTTGGAACTTCCTAGAGATTTGTAGAGTGGCTTTGACGAAAACGCTGATAGTGATATGAACAATAAGGTCCAGGCTGAGGTGGTCTCAGATGGAGATAAGGAACTTGTTGGGAACTGGAGTAAAGGTGACTCTTGTTATGTTTTAGCAAAGAAACTGGCGGCATTTTGCCTCTGCCCTAGAGATTTGTGGAACTTTGAACTTGAAAGTGATGATTTAGGGTACCAGGTGGAGAAAAGTTCCAAGAAGCAAAGCATTCAAGAGGTGACTTGGGTGCTGTGAAAAGCATTCAGTTGCCCGGGCGCAGTGGCTCACGCCTGTAGTCTCAGCACTTTGGGAGGCTGAGGCGGGTGGATCATGAGGTCAGGAGATAGAGACCATCCTGGCTAATACAGTGAAACCCCATCTCGACTAAAAATACAGAAAAATTAGCTGGGCGTGGTGGTGGGTGCCTGTCGTCCCAGCTACTGGGGAGGCTGAGGTGGGAGAATGGCGTGAACCTGGGAGGCGGAGCTTGCAGTGAGCCCAGATTGTGCCACTGCACTCCAGCCTGGGCCACAGAGCGAGACTCTATCTCCAAAAGAGAAAAAAAAAGCATTCGGTTTTAAAAGGGAAACAGAGCATAGAAATTTCGAAAATGTGCAGCCTGACAATGCAATAGAAAAGAAAACCCCATTTTCTGGGGAGAAATTCAAGCCAGCTGCAGAAATTTGCATAAGTAGCAAGGAGCCTGGTGTTAATCCCCAAGACCATGGGGGAAATGTCTCCAGGCCATGTCAGAGACCTTCATGGCAGCCCCTCCCATCACAGGCCCGGAGGCCCAGAAGGAAAAAGTGATTCTGTGGGGTGGGCCGAGGGCACTCTGCTGTGTGCAGCCTAGGGACTTGGTTGGTGCCCTGTGTCCCAGCTGCTCCAGCAGTGACTGAAAGGGGCCAACATAGAACTCATGTTGTGGCTTCAGAGGGTGGAAGCCCCAAGCCTTGGCAGCTTCTACACGGTATTGAGCCTGTTGGTGGACAGAAGTCAAGAATTGAGGTTTGGGAACCTCCGCCTAGATTTCAGAGGATGTATGGAAACATCTGGATGCCCAGGCAGAAGTTTGCTGCAGGCCAGGTCCCTCATGGAGAACCTCTGCTAGGGCAGTGCTGAAGGGAAATATGGGGTTGGAGCCCCCACACAGAGTCTCTATTGGGGTACTGCCTAGTGGAGCTGTGAGAAGAGGGCCACCGTCCTCCAGACCCCAGGATGGTAGGTCCACTGACAGCTTGCACCATGTGCCTGGAAAACAGGCACAGACACTCAATGCCAGCCCATGAAAACAGCTGGGAGGGAGTCTGCACCCTGCAAAGCCAAAGGAGTGGAGCTGCCCAAGACCATGGGAACCCACCTCTTGCATCAGCGTGACCTGGATGTGAGACCTGGAGTCAAAGGAGATCCTTTTGCAGCTCTAAGATTTGACTGCCCTGCTGGATTTCAGACACGCATGAGCTATGTAACCCCTTTGTTTTGGCCAATTTCTCCCATTTGGATTGGCTGTATTTACCCGGTACATATACTCCAATTGTATCTAGGAAGTAATTAGCTTGCTTTTGATTTTACAGGCTCATAGGCGGAAAGGACTTGCCTTGTCTGGATGAGACTTTGGACTGTGTACTTTTGGGTTAATGCTGAAATGAATTCAGACTTTGGGGGACTGCTGGGAACACATGATTGGTATTTAAATGTGAGGACATGAGATATGGAGGGGCCAGGAGCAGAATAATATGGTTTGGCTGCCCCCCTACCCAAATCTCAACTTGAATTGAATCTCCCAGAATTCCCATATGCTGTGGGAGGGAACCAGGCGGAGGTAATTGAATCACGGGGGCCAGTCTTTACTGTGCTATCCTTGTGAAAGTGAGTAAGTCTCAGGAGATCTGATGGGTTTATCAGGGGTTTCCACTTTTTCTTTCTCCTCATTTTCTCTTACTACTGTCACTTAATAAGTGCCTTTTGCCTTCTGCCATGATTCTGAGGCCTCCCCAGCCATGTGGAACTGTAAGTCCAATTGAACCTCTTTTTCTTCCCAGTCTCGGGTGTGTCTTTGTCAGCAACGTGAAAACGGACTAATTCAAACCCCATACTTAACACCTTCCAAACCAAAGCAATTTGTGTTCCTTTACATTTTAATAGGTCATACTTCTTGGCATTTCTCCCAAAATTCAGTAAGTGTGTAATTTTTATGTAAAGGAAACAAAAGCTAAATTTATACTGTTGTTTGAAAGCTCATTAAAAAAATCTCTTTTGTAAAGATGATGAGTTAACAAAAATTATGCTACTTATTATCAATTATTATTCCATGTAAGGGCATAATCTTTTTGTGAGGGAGAGTCTGCTTCGTGCCCTGCTTTTATTGACTAGAATTAGGTGCTTAAGGGTACCTTAGGGTATCCCACAAGGAGAGTTTTATCATGAACAGTTGTGTAGCCTCATTTTTTAAGGGATGCTGGTGTTGTTGGAGAGTTAAAAGGCAGGGAGAAGAAGATGTAACTAAAATTTATATTAGTTAGGATTAGATTGATCTGTGAGTGACAGAAAACCCCAAATCAGAGTGGGTTAAACAAGGTAGAAGCTTACTTTTTGTTGCACATAGATTCAGCTGGCATAATGGCACCACCATCCTGAGAAGACAGGCGTCTTCCGTCTTCTTGTTCCATCGTATTCAGCCCTTGCTTTTCACTCCATGTAGTCCAAGATGGATGTTCCTTCCATGTCAGGCACCTGTCCCTGTATTAGTCTATTTTCTGATTGCTGTAAAGAATCACCCGGCTGGGTGCGGTGGCTCATGCCTGTAATCCCAGCACCGTTGGAGGCTGAGATGGGCAGATCATCTGAGGTCAGGAGTTCGAGACCAGCCTGGCCAACATGGCAAAACCCCTCCTCTACTAAAAATACAAAAATTAGTGGGGCATGTTGGCGCGTGCTTGTAATCCCAGCCACTCAGGAGGCTGAGGCAGGAGAACTGCTTGAACCTGGGAGGTGGAGGTTGCAGTGAGCTGAGATTTTACCATTGCACTCCAGCCTGGGGGACAGAGCAATCTAAAAAAAAAAAAAAAAAAAAAAGAGGAAGAAGAAATACCCAAGACTGCGTAATTTATAAAGGAAAGAAGTTTAATTGACTCACTGTTCTGCATGGCTAGGGAGGCCTCAAGAAACTTAACAATCATAGCAGAAGGCGGAGGAGAAGCAAATACCTTCTTCACAAGCAGCAGGAAAGAGAGAGAGTGAGGGAGTAATTGCCAAACACTTATAAAACCATCAGATCTTGTTAGAACTCACTATCATGAGAACAGCATGGGGGAATCCACCACCATGATCCAATCACCTCCCACCAGGTCCCTACCTTGACATGTGGGGATTACAATTCAAGATGAGATTTGGGTGGGCACACAGAGCCGAGCCCTATCAGTTCTCCTTCTATCCAGTAGGAAAGGAAGAGATGAGGAGAAAGGCACCTCTCCTTTACAGACACTTGGTGGAAATCTCATATTCCACTTCTGACTACAGCAGCGTTTATGGACAATTTCTTTTGCCTTTAGTCTATCAGACTCTACTCATTTCCAGAGTTACTTAGGTTGACATCTTTTCCCTCCACTCTTCAGTGAGGTGGTTTCATACTTTTGTAAAACAGTTAGATCGTTTTACTGCATTCCACGTTCTATCCTGGGATCTTTTGACCTCATGAATGATTAGTAAATGTGCATTCATTCGGGTTTACTCTTGGTGCTATCAAATTGTATGAGTTTTGTCATATATCATTTTAAATATTAATAAAGGATGGCATTTACATATTATTTTAATGAGTTATATTTAATACTTTAATATTTTAATATCAATTTCATATAAATAACGACAAATAATTTGCCCATGGTCACATAGCTATTAAGTGGCAGAGCTAGGATTCAAACTTAGATGAGTGAGTTTGCAAAACCCCCTTTCCTTTCACCACGCCATTTTCTTCTTTCAACAATCTTAAACTCTCAATCAGCTCATATTTTAGGGACAACTTTAGGTTTGTTATTATTATTATTATTATTTTGAGATCAAATCTCACTCTGTGGTCCAGGCTGGAGTGCAGTGATGTGATCTCGGCTCACTGCAACCTCCACCTCCCGGGTTCAAGCAATTCTCCTGCATCAGCCTCCTCAGTAGCTGGGATTACAGGCACCCGCCATCACGCCTCGCTAATTTTTGTATTTTTAGTAGAGATGGGGTTTCACTGTGTTGGTCAGGCTGGTCTTGAACTCATGACTTCAGGTGATCTGCCCACCTTGGCCTCCCAAAGTGCTGGGATTTCAGGCGTGAGCCATCGTGCCTGGCCCATATGTTAATAAAAGTTATTTTTTAGGGCAGTTTCGGGTTCATAGCAAAATTGAGTAGAAAGTACAGAGAGTTCCCATGTACCCCTTTTCCCCACACATGCCACAACCTTCCGTGCTATCAACATCCAACACCGCAATAATACTACATTTATCACAATCAATGAACTTACATTGAGATGTCATTATGACTACAATTTACTCTTGATATTGCACAACTTATGGGTTTTTGTTTTGTTTTTTATTAGTAGTAGAGATGGGATTTCACCATGTTACCCAGGCTGGTCTTGAACTCCTGGACTCAAGCAATCTGCCTGCCTCAGCCTTCCAAAGTGCTGGGTTTACGGATGTGAGCCACTGCACTCAGCCCGATCTATGAGTTTTGACAAATATATAATGACACACATCCACTATTGTCCAGACATCAGGTCAGATTGGAACGTGGACATGGGTTTGTTTTTAAATTACCAACTGTCACTGGATGACAAGAGCATGCTGATGATTGATTTGATCACAGCTCAATGAAGAGGCACCGACTAGTCAGAGGTGTGTAATCTATATCCTAACAGATATAAATTACAGTTGACTAATGGTCACATGTAAATCCTGTCCCACCATACATGTTTCTTTCCCCTTGCTGTATTAATATCTTGGATGAGTCAGCACCTATAAACTGATACTTTTTTCATCCATCTATCCACCTATCCATCCATCCCTCCCTCCCTCCCTCCATTCATCCCTCTCTCCCTCCCTCCCTCCATCCCTCTCTCCCTCCCTCCCTCCATCCATCCATCACCACCTGGCTACCCAGCTGTGCCCTCTCACCTCACAATGTCTAATGAAGTTGCTAAGACTTCTCCCCTTACTTCTGTTAGTGATGGCTGGCTGCTGCGGAGGCTGAAAAAAGATGGAGCTGATGCAGCAGCAAAGGAAGTGGCAAAGGAAGGAAATGAGCTTTGTGTCAAAAGTACCAAGAAGAAAAAAACCAACCCTTTCATAGAAATTCAGCTAAAATTAAGGTCAGGCCCAGTGGTTCATGCCTGTAATCCCAGCACTTTGGGAGGCTGAGGTGGGCAGACCACTTGAGGCCAGGAGGTCTTAAGTAAATGGATGATTGACGGTCAGAGCCAGACTTCTCACTGTTGGTGGAAGGGAAAGAGGCTAGAATGATCCATGAGGTAATGGAATAGAGTTGGGACATCCCTATGAATGCATATTTAACTTGATATCACTATAAATGGTCACACACAGCAATGTTTATGGATATATGTAAATATATGGGTTAGTGTATGCACATATATTTCCTTTCTCTTTCAGCTGAGAAGCAAAGACTTCCCCACAGCAACAACCATATCTACCACCTAGATCTTGATATTTAGTACCATTTTTCAATAAAAGGAACCAGGGCTTCTTGGAGAAATGGCTGATTCTACTAGCGGAGGAGAAAATATACAAGATGTCTGAAATATCCTGTAGAGCCAGAAATTGAGTAAGTGCTCAAACACACACACACACACACACACACACACACACACACACACACACAAAGGAGTATGTCATAGGTACAGAGAAGTCAACTGAAAGAGCTTGCAGCATGGCCAAAGCTGGAAAAAAAAGCAAGAAAGCAAGAGAAAGACAGAGAGAGACGGGGAGAGGAAAGAAGGAAGGAAGGAAGGAAGGAAAAGAAGGGAATTAGATTATAACTCAAAACATTAAAAAAAAATCCTTGGGTCCACGTTGATATAAATAAATGACTAAATAAGAACTTCCAATAATTTATATAAATCCTCTGTCTTAAAGAGATGGGCTGTAAGTCCCTCCTCCTTAAGTGTGGGCCATGCATAGCAACTTCCTTCCAAAGAGCACAGAACAGAAGTGTTGGGGGGGGAGCGGGGTCACTTTACAGCAGAGAAGCCTGACTAACACAATCTCAGCCAGGTGATCAAGGTAAAAGCAGCAGTGATAATCCATCTTGATAGTATGTACCCTTGGCATGATGTGATGAAAATGGCATTCTGCCTCTGTGGTCTTGCTCCCACCAACACTTAACTCCAGTCTAATGGGAAACACATTAGACAAATGTCAATGAGGGATATGCTACAAAATACCTGTCCAATATTCCTCAAAACTGTCAGGCTCACAAAAAAGAAAGTCTGAGAATCTGTCACAGCCAAGAAGAACCTAAGGAGATGGATGACTAGAATGTCATGTTGTATCTGGGAGGGATTCCAGAACACAAAAAGGACAACAGGTAAAAAATAAGGCAATAAAAATTAAGTATAGATGTCAGTTAATCATAACATACCAATATTCATATAGCATTACATTAATTGTAACAAATGGATCATGCCAATGTAGGAGGTTAATAATAGGGGAACTTGAGTATGGCATATATGGAAACTCTGTACTGTCTTCCCAATTTTTCTGTAAACCTAAAACTGCTCTAAGGTATAGCGCTTTTTTTTTTTTTTAGGTGGAGTCTCGCTCTGTTGCCCAGGCTGGAGTGTAGTGGCGTGATCTCAGCTCACTGCAGCCTCCACCTCCTGGGTTCAAGCAATTCTCCTGCCTCAGCCTCCTGAGTAGCTGGAACTACAGGTGCCTGCCACCACACCCAGCTAATTTTTGGATTTTTAGTAGAGTTGGGGTTTCGCCATGTTGGCCAGGCTGGTCTCGGACTCCTGACCTCCTGTGATTTGCCTGCCTCGGCCTCCCAAAATGCTGGGATTATAGGCGTGAGCCATTGCGCCTGGCCATATACTGCTTATTTTTAATAGAATAGTATATGAAAGTACCTGGCACATTGTAAACATTCAACATGTGCATGCTGACTTCACCGACTTGTATTCTTGGCACAATTCCTCAGAGAAGTGGTGTCTTCCTTGTCCTGGGCATTCTGTGTATGGGCTAGAATAATCAGAATTTTCCCAAATCCTGTGAAGTTAGCTCCACTCTTGAACGGGAATATAGAATATGTTTTTAGAAAGAAAACAAACAGATTAAATAAAACAGAGTCTGGAACCAATATAGACTTGAACATCAAAGAGCAGAGAATGACACATAAGCACAAAGGCAAAGTTGAAACTGACTCACTTCACAGAAGATAACAAGAGATGCAGTGAACTGACTGATTAGTCATGCCGCCTGCTCTAATTGTAATTACAAAAGCCAAACTGTTTTTATGGGCAACACCCAATGAGCCAGACGAAACAGGAGGAATTATTAAAGGGAGTGTTTGAACAGGGGTGCTGAATGATGACACCAGCTTCCTTGCTTCTGAGAACGTATAGCAAATGTTGTCCCAACAGCCTGCAGCAAGGAGGGGGAAAGCAACACTTTAAAGGAGCTTAAGTCATCTAGTGACAAGGATCCAACACCACCACCAGTGAAGGAAGGGATTCAGGCAATCAGGGTTCTGGAAGCTCCCAGTGAGATGCAAAGGTTGAACTATGGAGAGGGTCAGGGTTTCTAGTCCTAGATCTCAGAGGTCAAAGTTTTTGTGCTTTTTCTTGCTCATTATGAAAAAAGGATTTCTTTTTCAGTAATTACTTCCTCATTTGTATCTATTTTTCTTTTTCTTTTTGAGACAGAGTCTTGCTTTGTCACCCAAGCGGGAGTGCAGTGGTGCAATCATGGCTCACTGCAGCCTCCACCTCCTGGGCTCAAGTAATCCTCCCACCTCAGCCTCCCAAGTAGCTGCAACTACAGGCATGTGCCACCACACCTGGCTAATTTTTGTATTTTTTGTAGAGATGGGTTGCATCCTGTTGCTCAGGCTGGTCTCGAACTCCTGGGCTCAAGTGATCCACCTGCCTCAGCCTCCCAAAGTGCTGGGATAACAGATATGAGCCACCACCTGTATCTATTTTTCTATGTTATCTTTGTTAACATTCACAATTAAGCAAGCAAGCAAACCAAATACATACCAGGTGTGAGAACTTGCTAGCAAATAAATGCAAACCATGTACCCCTGGGACTCTTCATATAGAGGGATCTGAATTGTTAAATGTAATAACTACTGTGTAACAACAGGGCTGTGTTTTACTTTAAGCTATAGGTATCAGCATGGGTAGAACTTTCAGGCATTCAAATCTGTATCCATTTTCCAGCAAGAGAGAATGATTGATGATGAAGCTTTAAGAGCTCTAAAATAAGAGTAAACATACTTCGTGTGTATTTTATTATTAAGAATTATATTGAGGCAGTTTATATTATACAAATAACCACTTTGGTTCTGCATGGCTCACATGTAATACCACAGTTGTTTTTTTCTTTTCTCAGAGTTTGTTTTGAGACAGGGTCTCACTCTGTCCCTCAGGCTGAAGTGCGGTCATGGCTCACAGCAGCCTCGACCTCCCAGGCTCAAGTGATCCTCCCACTTCAGTTTACAAGTAGCTTGAACTACAGGCATGCACCACCATGCCTGGCTAAATTTTGTGGATATGGCATCTTGCTATGTTGCCCAGGCTGGCCTCAAACTCCTGGGCTGAAGTGATCCTCATGGCCTCAGTCTCCCGAAGTGCTGGGATTACCGGCATGAGCCACTGTGCCCGGCCTAATACCAAAGTTTTGATTACGTTGACATCCTTTTCATCTTAGCCTAATTTAACTTAAATCCTAGATTCTGAAAACTAGATCCTTTTGAGAAATAGCCACAGCATTGAAGAATACAGTAAGATATTACTAACGGCAATACTGAAATTGTTTACAACATCTAGACTTACAGAGAAATCTAGAAACCATTATATTCGGGGTTCTCTGGCTTTGGGTCCTTCTTAGATTCCATTCTCAGGTCTTGCATAGGGACTTCCATGGACTGAGCCTCTTCTTCAAGGGTCTCTATCTTGGTTGCATTTTGGATGCTGCTTTAAAAAATCACAATGCCTAGGCCACTCCTCAGATCAAATAAACACACATCTTAGGCGGTGGAATCCAGGGATCACTATTTGTAAAGTTTCCAGGTGATTCCAAAGTGCAGCCAAAGTTGAGAACCACTGTCCCTATATAATGATTGTTATTATGATTATTTGTTTATATTTTGATACAGAATCTCACTCTGTCACCCAGGCTGGAGTGCAGTGGCATGATCTCGGCTCAGTGCCGACTCCACCTCCTAGGTTCAAGCTATTCTTGTGCCTCAACCTCCCCAGTAGTTGGGATTACAAGCAAGCACCACCACGCCCAGCTAATTTTTGTATTTTTAGTAGAGACAGGGTTTCACCAGGTTGACCAGGCTGGTGTCAAACTCCTGACCTCCAGTGATCGGCCTGCCTAGGCCTCCCAAAGTGCTGGGATTACAGGTGTGAGCCATGGCCCCCAGCTCCCACCGCCCCCCCCTTTTTTTTTCCTTTCGAGACGTCCACATTTTAAAAGAGAATTCTTAATGAAAAACGAGATTGCATACTGAACTTTGGGGTCATACTTTCTAGTAACATTTGAATAATTAAAAATTAAATTAGACTTTGAGAAACTCTTTCACAGACACTACACAAAGGGTTTCCCCTACATTTGCAATAGATGTGGGGTGGCACAATCCATTTTAAAACAAAATGAGGAATGAACATTAATGAAACTACTAACTGGTAAATTATTTATAGACCATATAGTTCTGCTAAAACAGTAACTTACTTTTTTTTTTTTTTTTTTTTTTTTGAGACAGAGTCTTGCTTTGTCGGCCAGGCTGGAGGGCAGTGGCATGATCTCGGCTCACTGCAACCTCCGTCTCCTGGGCTCAAGCAATTTTGCCTCAGCCTCCCAAATAGCTGGGATTACAGGTGTGTGCCACCACGTTCAGCTAATTTTTGTATTTTCATTAGAGACGGGGTTTCACGATGTTGGCTAGGCTGGTCTCGAACTCCTGACCTCCGGTAATCTGCCCGCTTCGGCCTCTCAAAGTGCTGGGATTACAGGCATGAGCCACCGCATCCAGCCGCTACTTACTTTTTTAAAAAAATTCACATTTTATTCATTCAAGTTGACTTGCTCTTTTTTCCTTATATAAATAAGTAACAAGATAATTTCATTCAGTGAGATTAGTGAGGTGACTATAGATCTTTGAAATGAATACAATAAAATGTTAATTTTGTGATCCTATTTATTCTGCTTAAGTTTCTACATGATAGGAAGCAAATGCAAATTTTGACCTATGGTCATTCCTTAATATTTCCAGCAGCAGAAAAACAAATCTATTAGAGTGCCTGAATTTTACAAGCAAATTCAACATATTTTATACAGACAAACATAATAATGTCCTGGATGTAGTTATTCATAGTCCTAGATACTTACTGAGCTCTCACTCAGCATTTCTTCATTTTATTTCTCAATTTTCTTGACACATTTTTACCTTCTGAAGGAAGAACTCTGCTTCTGTTAACCCTTTATGCAACTTTTACACACATGTGTTTAGGGTGTGGCACAATCAGATTGGGATTTTTTTTTTTTTTTGAGACAGGGTCTTGCTCTGTCACCCAGCCTGGAGTACAGTGGTGCAATCTTGATTCACCGCAATCTCTGCCTCCCGGGCCAAGTGATCCTCCCGCCTCAGCCTCCCAAGTAGCTGCGATCACAGGTGCATGCTGCCACGCCTGGCTGTTTTTTTTTGTTTGTTTGTTTGTTTTTTTTTTTGTATTATTAGTAGAGATGAGGTTTCACCATGTTGCCCAGGCTGGTCCCAAACTCCTTGCCTGAAGTGACTCACCCACTTCGGCCTCCCAGAGTGCTGGAATTATAGGCATGAGCCACCCTGCCTGGCCTCATTTGGGATTTAGAAAGACATTCTCGTCTTTCTAAAGGATGCCTGGCAGAACAAATAACTGGCGGCAGAGAGATCAGTAGGAGAGCATTAGCTTACTTTGTGAATTACTGTATCCAGATTGAGGAATGAGTTCCTGAATGAGCGCTTACAGCAACTGAATCACCTGCTGTCACAACAAACCAATTCCTCACTTGAAAAGATTTTAAATTGGGGAATTGTGAATGCTTTTAAATGAGCTATAACAAGCACAAAATATAGTTAAACGACTTTGGGGAATCAGTTGCTCAGAACTAAATATCCCAAATTCTATTCATCTGGCTCTGACGTTGACTCATGCATTGATCTTTAGGGATTTAGTTAGTCTATGCTTTAGTTTTCCCGTCTATAAAATGCAGCATTAGCATCTGTGTCATGGAGCAAAATCATTAATTATTTACATGCACTGTGAAGATGAAAAGTACAAGTAGTTAAATTCCATGAAAGTTCCCAAGGAAGAGGTTGCTAAAGATATGAGTGAAGTTCATTGTTCTAGCTAGAAGTTAGAATCTCTTTAATGTTAGTGCCTTTTTAACACTTTATTCATTGATGCAATAAATATTCATTTGTGACCTACCCTGTGCCAAGGCCAAGGTTAAAAGTCAATGATGAATAAAACAGTCAAATTTCCTTCCTCATGAGGTTATAGTCTTATAGGGGAAAAAGACAACAAACAAACATATCAGGTAGTGGTAAGTGCATGGAGGGAGGAGATAGGATATGGGTAAAGAAATAGAGAGGTAGACAAAGTAAGAGTAGGGATCCTATTGATCCCTGGTACCAATTTTCCGTGTTAGCCAGTTCTCGCATTGCTATAAAGAAATACTTGAGACTAGGGTAATTTACAAAGAAAAGAGGTTTAGTTGACTCATTCCCCAGGCTGTACAGGAAGCATGATTCTGGCATCTGCTCAGCTTCTGGGGAGATCTCAGGAAACAATCATGGTGGAAGGGGAAGAGGAAGCAGGCACCTACCTCTTACATGGCCATAGCAGGAGCAAGAGAGGGAGATGCTACACAATTTTTAAACAGCCAGATCTCACAAGAACTCACTCACTATCACAAGAAGAGCACCAAGGGGGAAATCCACCCCCATGGTTTAATCACCTCCCACCAAGCCCCACCTTGAACATGTTCAATTACAATTGAACATGAGATTTGGGTGGGGACACAGATGCAAACCATATCGCGGTGGCTAAAGCAGGTGTCTAGGGAAGGTTACAAGAAAAAGCAGGGAGAGGAGGTTCTTGCAAACATCTTAAGAGAGCTTTCTAAACAAAGGGAATCATAAATAGAATGTGTGGGGGCCTATAAGTTACAATACAAAGGCTTGGCAGCTGGGATGGAGTGACTGGGGGGCTTGTGTAAGTCAATATCAACCCGTGTGTCCTAAGAGTGAGAGTAAGATAGGCAGACTTCTTCTCCAAGTAAACAGTGATGGTCTACAGGGCAGCATAGGAATTCCAAAAATAGAGTCCATTGTTTCTTCATCAAATATTTATTAGTGCCCTTTATTTTCTCGACTTTTTTTAAGATAAAACAACAAACTCGGTTCTCAAGAAGTACACAGTTTAGAGAATATATACACAAATTCACTCTTAGTTTGGGCAAGCAAACTAAAGTTTAGATTCCAATAGGTAACACATTTTGGTTAAAAATCATAGATTCTGATTTTATTTATGTAAGGTTAACAGCAATATGTGTTTACAGGTGTGCTCTTTTTTCCCTCTCTTTTTAAATTTAAGTGACTCATGGTTGACACTGTTTCATCTCTACCCTCCTTGTTAGCACTCACCAGATTTTTCTGAAGCAAATGACAGCATTATTTCATCTGTAAAGATTTCACTAAGTAGCTCTAAAAGAGAGTCTTTGAAAGAGATCAAAATTAATAATAATTCTTCTACATCATTGCACATCTACTTAGTATTCAAATTTCCTTCACTATCTCACAATTTATTTATTTCTGTTCTTTTTATTTTCTTGTGAGTCAGAGTCTCACTCTGTTGCCCAGGAGTGCAGTGGCGAGATCTCAACTCACTGGGACTTCTGACTCCTGGTTCAAACATTTCTCGTGCTTCAGCCTCCCTAGTAGATGGGACTACAGGCACGTGCTACAACACGCGGCTAGTTTTTGCATTTTTAATTGAGATGGGGTTTCACCATGATGGCCAGGCTGGTGTCGAACTCCGGACCTCAAGCTGTCTGCCTGCCTTGGCTTCCCAAAGAGTGGGGATTACAGGCATGCACCACCATGCCTAGCCTTTTGTTTGTTTGTTTTACAATTCAGTGGATTTAAAAAATTGTGGTAAAATATACACAACGTAAGATTTACCATTGTTAAGTGTAAAGTTGAGTGACGTTAACTTCATTCATATTGTCATGCAATCATCATCACCATCCATCACCAGAGAGTCTTCATCTTCCCAAACAGAAATTCTGCACCCATTAAACAGTAGCTCTCCATTCCCCAGCCCACTCAACTCCCTCAACAGTGTGACAATCAACATTCTGCTTTCTGGCTCTGAATTTGACTTCTCTAGGTGTCTCATATTAGTGAACTCATACAATATTTGACCTTTTGTGACTGGCTTATTTCACTCAGCATCACATCTTCAAGACCCACCCACATTATAGCATATATCAGAATTTCCCTCCTTTTTATGGCTGAATAATATCCCACCGCATGAATATACTACATTTTGTTTTTATCCAGTTGTCCCATTCTTTTTTTTTTTGAGACTGAGTCTCACTCTGCCACCCAGGCTGGAGTTTAGTGGTGCTATCTCGGCTCACTGCAACCTCTGCCTCCCGAGTTAAAATGATTCTCATGCCTCAGCCTCCCCAGTAGCTGTGATTACAAGCTCATGGCACCATGCCTGGCTAATTTTTGAATTTTTAGTAGAGACGGGGTTACACCATGTTGGCCAGGCTGGTCTCGAACTCCTGACCTCAAGTGATCCACCAGCCACAGCCTCCCCAATGTCTTATTCTTTTTAATTGTTTTATTTTCATCTTCATTTGCAAATTGACTGAATTTGGGGGGACAACACTACATAAAAATACATGGTAGCAATATTTTTCAAAAAGCTAAAGAGATGAGCAATGTAATATTAAATGACCAAATTTCACCTTTTGTAAGACTTTTATAGGAGCTCTAACAATCCAAGGTTAACTACTTTAGAATAAAAATGAACTGCGGTCCACAGTTGCAGGGCCGGTCTATTGTTTTGTTCTGTGGATGTGGTGTCTCTGCTGCACACTGACGTCGTTGCAGGTCACCCAGAACACGTGAGATCAGCTCTGCATGCTCAGCGAGGCTGGTCAAAAAACAGGGCTATTATCTAGCACCATGCTTCAGTGGCCCCTAGCAAAAAGGCTCCCAGAGTGCTCCTTCCATACAGAATTTCCCGACACATCTCTAGCTAGTGTCTAAAGCCGCAAGATGCTAAATGTCTGTATCATCATTTAGTTGCTTTTAATGTGGTCTCTTGAAAGAATAGGTAAATGTCAGAGAGACCGATGTGAATAGATATGTTACATTATTAATGTCAAGCAGGGAATGAAAATCTGGAGATTCTGAATTCATTATAGCTACATTATTTACATATTGATGGGGTTAGGGATCTTGGAGTTACAGTTCTATAATATTCCCCCATATCCTTCCAATCTATTCTTTTCTTGAGACAGGGTCTTCCTCTGTAGCCCAACCTACTCTGTAAAAATACAATGCTGAGGCCAGGCGTGGTGGCTCATGCCTGTAATCCCAGCACTTTGGGAGGCTGAGGTGGGCAGATCATGAGGTCAGGAGTTCGAGACCAGCCTGGCCAACATAGTGAAACCCCGTCTCTACTAAAAATACAAAAAAATTAGCCAAGCATGGTAGCACATGCCTGTAGTCCCAGCTACTAGGGAGGCTGAAGCAGGAGAATCACTTGAACCCAGGAGGCAGAGGTTGCAGTGAGCCAAGATCACACCACTGCACTCCAACCTGCATGACAGAGCGAGACTGTGTCTCAAAAAAGAAAAAAAAAAATACTATGCTGGCCAAGTGTGGTGGCTCACAATTGTAATTCCAATATTTTGGTAGGCTGAGGCAGGTGGATTGTTCGACACCAGCCTGGACAACATGGTAAAACCCCATCTCTACAAAAAATACAAAATTTAGCCAGGCATGGTGGCGTGCACGTGTAGTCCCAGCTACTCAGGAGGCTGAGGTAGGAGAATCATGTGAGCCTGGGGAGATAAAGGCTGCAGTGAGCTGTGATGGAGCCACTGCACTCCAGCCTGGGCAACAGAGTGAGAATCTGTCTCAAAAAAGAAAAAAAAATACTATGCCAAGGTCGGCATCGGGATCATATACTGAAAACACTGTGTATAACTATCCTTAAGACACATTACATTTAAAATATTTTAATTGGATGAACAAAACTAGTAAATTGTGTCTAATTTCCCACAATTGCAAAATGTCCTTCACTGACATGAAATATAACAGATTTTTAACTATTTTAATATATTTTCTGTATTTTGTAGCTCCTGTGCACCCATACATATTCAAACCCCTTTTGTAGAAAAATTCCTTATAGACGAGAGAGGAAATATATTTTTTACTTCACACTGGAGTCTGGCCTTACCTGTTTGAAGTCTGAGTAAACCTAAACGTGGTATAAAATAAAGCTTTCTTTTTACTCATTTATTTATATTATTAAAAATTTTTTTCTATCCAAAAAGCTGAGATACAATAAAATAAAGTTTTCTAATCAAGTAAAAGTTCTATCCAAAATATGCATCAACGGAGAATCCTGGAATGTTGATCTCGAATGAAATTTAAAGGTTGTATAATTCTGTGGGTCAGAGTCTCTCTTGGGTTCATAAATTGAGAATCTGATGTAAGCTATGAATATTTTCCCTAGAAAAATGCATATTATTTTGCTGATAATTTTACCTGTTCATGGACCTTCTGATGCCCATCATCAGACTCCAAATTAAGAATGTGATGTACATCTGTAATCCCAGCACTTTGGGAGACCAAGGCAGGTGGATCACTTGAGGTCAGGAGTTTGAGACCAGCCTGGCCAATATGGTGAAACATCGTCTCTACTAAAAATACAAAAATTAGCCGGGCATGGTGGCAGGTGCCTGTAGTCCCAGCTACTCAGGAGGCTGAGGCAGGAGAATTGCTTGAACCCGGAAGGCGGAGGTTGCAGTGAGCCGAGATCGCACCACTGCACTCCAGCCTGGATGATAGAGCAAGACTCCGTCTACAAAAAAAAAGAGAACCTGATATAATTCAACTCCTTCCTTTTATAGTTGATGGAATTGACAGTCATGGTGGCTATGCAACTTGCCCATGGCCACAGAGTGAGGGAGGGTAGAGATTTCACTATAATTACAATGGGGCTTTGTCTATCACTTGATTACAAAACTCCACCTAACAGATTATCCATGTGACAGGTACCATTGCACCCGATGTACCTCCTTACCCAGTCTTTGATAATACCTCAAATTCTCACATGTGGGGTCTTCTGGTAGCATATTTGTATCAACTTGGACAAGGCATCAAGCACCATCTTCCATGCACATGCCAGGTGAAGGCAAACTAGAGTATAATATGGGTCATTAGCCCAGACTCCTGTCTCTCAGGCTCAATCCCCTTTGGTGCTCTTGGTCTCTTTACCTGCTGTTAAGCTTGACACCTACACATGTTCGCCTATTGTCCAATGATCAGCTCTACACAAAGGGATGAGGGGTAGAGAAATAGGGTGTTTATAAAGGGAGGGGTGGGGCAGAAGAGTCTGTTTAACAGGATTAAAGTTAAGCAAAAACAGCATATTCAGAACTTCATCTGCTTCAATTTTTTTTTTTTTTTTTCAGCTAGAAGTGAGAGTGCTGGAAATGTTTTGTACTGAAATACTAAGCAACCAGATTCCTGACATTGTTGAAATGTATTTAAAAATCCCCAATTTTATGAGTCTCATGCAATTAACTTGGAGAAACTGCACATGTTGAATAAGGATTGTGTTATGGCCAAGAAGGAAGCACAGAGTGTGATATTCCAGGAAAGAGGGGGATTTCCTTGTGAACATATTTGCTCTGAATCATAAATTGAGATATAGAAATATCACATTAAATATTACAAGTATTTTTGTGATTGAACAAAGTGTATGTATATTTTTGCGTGAATTTCTTTTGATATATAATTTATTCTGATAAAGATCATACCTATTATAGGAAATTTGAAAAATAAAAAAGAAAGAAAAGAAAATTGCTGTAATTCCAGTAAGCAGAACTAACAACTACTCATAATCTGATGCATATATTTTCAGGCTTTTTTCTATGAATACATATTTACACACACATTATATATATAATTACAAATAGATCTATTTTATTTATCAAAGTAAGGTCATGTTTATATGAAGGACTGTAGTTTGATCTTGTCAACAAATACTACAGCATAAGTATTTTTAAAAGTTATTAAATTTTCTTGGAAAACAGTTTTTAATAGCTACATGGATTCCATCATATATCCATGCCAACATTTATTTAATCATTTGGAAATCCAGAGTGTTTTCAGTATTCCCCTCTACATATCCTTGTATGTCGATCTTTGGGTGCATCTCTATTTCTTTAGAATTTTTTTAAAATTTTTTTTCGTAATTTTTATTTTAGTAGAGATGGGGTTTCACCACGTTGGCCAGGCTGGTCTCAAGTACTCCTGTCCTCAAGTAATCCACCCGCTTCGGCCTCCCAAAGTGCTTGGATTACAGGTGTGAGCCACTGTACCAAGCCTTTTTAGAAAACTTTTTATTTTTCTCAGCTTTTTGGCTAGCAGAAATTTCTAAAAGTAAAATAATTCCCAAGAGTAGAACATTTTCTTAGGTTTTTGCTGTATATTATTAAATGTTTATGTACCGTTCTACCAATTTGCACCTCTAGCTGCAGTATTTGTTAGTGTTACTTTTGCCTATTCTCTGGTTAATATTGGATGTTTAAAAATTGATTCCAATTTGAGAGGCTAAATATGGTATCCTATTTTAATTTGCATTAGTTTGATTACTCTTCAAAGTTAAACTATTTTAAAAATATGTTTACTAGCTATTTGCATTTGTCCTAATGCAAACTGTTTTGCCTGTTTTTGTATTATGGTACTCATCTTTCGCAAATTGATTGGTAGGAACTCCTTATATATTTTTACCATAAACCCTATGTCGTATGTATTGAAAACACTTTATCATTGTCTTTAACTTATGATGACACTTTTTTTCTCTAATAAATCATGAAATGTCACCTGTGCCCCCATGTTGCAAAGCTGTTGTAAAACTGATTTGCTTTACAAGGGGGCAGGTCTCAGCGTGTTTATCTGATGGGATGAATGGAATGAAACAGACATGTGCAGGGTTTTGGGAATCAAAGCAGAAGTTTTGAAGCTGAAGTCCTTAGGTCCTCTGGTTTCTATCAGATATTCTCATTCTAATTATAAACATACATTTTCCCAATCAACACCCCAATTTTAGTTTCAAAAATGGTTACAATAAAGGATCTGGTTGCTACTAAGCATGATACATAATTAGCATGGTTTGTGTCCTTACAGATGTGTTTCTTTTGGGACAGGGTCTCGCTCTGTCACCCAGGTTGGAGTGTAGGGGTGCAATCTCGGTTCACTGCAACCTCTGCCTCCCAGGCTCAAGCAATTCTCATGCTCAGCCTCCCGAGTAGCTGGGACTACAGGTGCCTGCCACCACACCCGGCTAACTTTTGTATTTTTTGTACAGAAGGGATTTCGCCATGTTGCCCAGTATGGGCTTGAACTCTTGAACTCAGGTGATCCACACGCCTTGGCCTCTCAAAGTGCTGGGATTACAGGCATGAGCCACCATGAATGGCCCTTATAGATGCTTTTTAGATTAACTTTGAGCAAGATTAGACGGCTGGCTGTGATCAGAAAGGCTTCTGGTACATAACTGTATTCTTACTCTATTTTCCATTGTCTTCTTTCAGCAAGGCAAGCTTGGCCTGAAGTCTCTCTCTTTCTTGCTCTTACTGTACTTCCTTGAAAGTCTACAAGAACTGCACACATGAAACCATACTGTTTCTTGGTTAGAGGACTATCCACTTCTCACCCCATCTGCTTTGATATAACAATTTCCTTTAATGGACTGTAACTTGTAAACTCACTTCCAGATAAAAATTTCTATGTTAAGATTCTTTGGGTTTTAAAGAAGAGAAACCAATTCAAAGGCACTCTAGCAAAAGCAGGAGATTTATTGTAAGTCTCGAAGGCAGGGAGAGGAGCTAGGATTCAAGAATACCAGTCAAGAAAGCAAAATGTTGGAAACTCAAGAAACGTGGCCTCTCATATTTGCCATCTTCTTTCTCGGTGGACTGGCTTTTCTCTGCTCCTAAGTCCCCTTAATAGTCTGGAGTTGCCTTCTTATGGTTCCAAATTTACCATCTGGACCCAGAGAAAGACTGGCTTTCCTTCTCTCAACCCCAAGTCCAAATTTCTTGCTGTATTTTTTTTTTTTTTTTTTTTTGAGACGGAGTCTCGCTCAGTCGTCCAGGCTGGAGTTTGATGGCGCAATCTAGGCTTACTGCAACCTCTGCCTCCTAAGTTCAAGTGATTGTCAAGTAGAGACGGGGTTTCACCGTGTTGCGCAGGCTGGTCTCAAACTCCCGCACTCAGGCAACCCACTCGCCTCGGCCTCCCAAAGTGCTGGGATTATAGGCGTGACCAAGTCCAAATTTCTAAGAAAGAGACTTTGGCCCCGTTTCAGTTAAGCACCTACCTCAGGTCTAATTATTCGAAGGCAAGGATGTGGGGTCACATGGACAAATGGCTCCTGACAGCCCACTACTGGGGGAGACAGGGAGCAGTTGAAGAGCCATTGTGAATTTACACAGATACGAAAAAGCTGTGCATCACAGCAACTGTATTTTTAAAAGCATGTCCTAGAATCTTTTGTCAGATTTAATGTTACGCATGAGGATATTTAAAAATAAACTATCCATTTTAAGAACATCATCCGTAAGAAAGTGAACACTAAAATTTAAGAGGAAACCTGAGTTTGGTTCCAGTTAAATCCAGTTGCTCTGCAGAGACACAGCCTGTAACACAGTCATGATAAGCAGCAGAGACATATGATTATGTCCTAAGCTGCTAGGATAAGGCTTCTATAATTTTTCCAAACAATTTTGGAGGATATTTTCATTTAATTGGTACAACATGTTAAACTTGCTAATAAGAACTTACTAAAATGAGCCCAACTAAGAAAAATAATAATAAATTCAGCGTTCCATACTAGAACAAAACCAAACCTGTAATACATAAACTTAATATTCCAAGTATTGTTTTGACAATATAAATTAAATGTTAACATCATTGTATTCAAGATCCACCAAGGCAATGGAACAATATTCTCTTACAGAGAAAGGGAACGGCTTCCTCAAATTGTTCTTAAATACCAGAACAGCTGCTGTAATTAGGGGACAAAGGAACCAGACAGAGGGGTCTGTTAGCTACTTCCATCAAATCAGAGAATTTTGAAACAGAGTGTATCTTGTTAACTTTATCAGAGGACCACAGCTTTGGAAGAGCACCTTAATCAATAGTGGCTAAATGCTTTATGTGTACGCTTTGAGGGAGAGAACAAAGATAGAAGTCTTCTTAAGTTGTCTCGAGTCCAGGCAGCTTAGCCAGGGCCTTACATAAATACTTGTGGGGTTAGTAATGAACTTATGACCAACGGCGATGCTTACATTATTATACACCATAGTCCCTTATGGCATTATTTCAAGGACTCTTATTTCATAGGATGACATCGAGAGTAGACTAGGTTTTCTTGTTTTGTTTTACAGAAAAGTAAACAGAAGTTGTTTTTGCTATGAGTCATTAGTATCAGAAATAAATGATAACTTTGGTTTTCCTGGGTTTATTAAATACATGGCTTCATCATGTTGATGAAAAAAGTCAAACTCTAAAATATTTGAAGAAATATTTTAATCGGATCCCAATATGAGTGACCATGGCCGGTGACACAGCCCTCAGGAAGTCCTGAGAACACGTGCCCTAGGTGTGGGGCACAGCTTGGTTTATACATTTTTGGGAGACATAAAATATCAATCAAATTCTTTTCTGTTTGTTTTTTGAGACAGAGTCTCACTCTGTTGCCCAGGCTGGAGTGCAGTGGCATGATCTCGGCTCACTGCAACCTCTGCCTCCTGGGTTCAAGCGATTCTCCTACCTCAGCCTCCAGAGTAGCTCGGATTACAGGCACGCGCTACCAGGCCTGGGTACTTTTTGTAGTTTTAATAGAGACGAGGTTTCATCATGTTGGCCAGGCTGGTCTCAAATTCCTAACCTCAAGTGATCAGCCCACCTCAGCCTCCCAAAGTGCTGGCATCACAGGCATAAGCCACCTCACCCGGCCAATCACATACATTTAAGATGTACATTGGTTCGTGTCAGAAAGGTGGGACAACTCAAAGCGGGGGTGGGGCTTCCAGGCTATAGGAAGATTTAAAATTTTTCTGGTTGACAATTTGTTGAGTATATCTAAAGACCTGGGATCAATAGAAAGGAAATGTCTGGGTTAAGATAAAGGATTTTAGTGACCAAAGTTTTTACTACGCAAGAGGAAGTCTTCAGGTAGCAGGCTTCACAGAGAATAGGTTGTAACTGTTTCTTACCGGACTTAAAAGGGTGCTAGGCTCTTTCTTAGTTGATTCGCTCCTGGATCCAGAAAAAGGCCTGGAAAAAGGGAAAAGGGGATTATTTATAGAATGCAGATTTTTCCCCACAAGAGACGACTGTGCAGGACACTTTCAAGGTATGGCAAGGAAACATATTTGGGGTTAAAATATTTTGATTTACTTCCTTGTTATGTGATGTTAGGACAGAGTCAGGTTGGAAGGCAGGCCACATTATATAGGGTTAAATATAACCTCTCTGATGAGATTTTATGGTTTGTAGGCCGTGACTCCCCAGGCCCCTAGGGTAGGAATTTGGGCAAGAGAAGAAAAAAAGTCAAAGTTTAGTCTGTCTTCAATAATAATATTAATATTAATAACAATAGTTACACTAATTTGGTAGGACTTAACATTTTTTTTTCCCTAGTTTTTTTTGAGACAGAGTCTGTCCGTTTCTTAGGCTGGAGTGCAGTGGCATGATCTTGGCTCACTGTAACCGCCACCTCCCAGGTTCAAGCAATTGTTGAGCCTCAGCCTCCTGAGTAGCTGGGATTACAGGCTTTTGCCATCATGCCTGGCTAATTTTTGTATTTTTTGTAGAGACGAGATTTCACCATGTTTGCCAGGCTGGTCTCGAACTCCTGACCTCAAGTGATTTGACCACCTTGGCCTCCCATAGTGGTTGGATTACAGGCATGAGCCACCATGCTGGGCTGGACTTTACATTTTCAATGCTACGCTTTATAGTATGTGTTAGGTCATTGTAGAGTTTTCTGAAATTTTGGAACTACGATGTTCAAAAAGGAGGGCCCAATATCCCTGGGTCGTTTATTTAAAAGGTAGGTACTAGTACATTTATTTTTAAATATGAAAAATATTTCAAAGCCTTGTGGACGGAAGCAAGGTCTTAAACCATTTATCTCACTGTGACTGCATCTCATTATAGTTCAGACTGGTAACTGAAACTCCATTCCCAGGGCTACACAGCTTATGCTGTGCACACACACCCTTGGAAGAAGGCATGGAAGACAAAAGCACCTAAACTTCACTCACCATGCCTAGGAGCATGGTTGGGTCTGTGGAGAGTGATGCATTGCTCTCCCTTTCACTGAGGCACCATACAGGCCCTGATATGGTTTGACTGTGTCCCCACCCAAATCTCATCTTGAATTTCCACACGCTATGGGAGGGACCTGGTGGGAGGTAATTGAATCATGGGGGCAGGTCTTTCCCATACTGTTCTTGTGACAGTGAAGAAGTCTCATGATATCTGATGGTTTTATAAGGGGAGTTCTCCTGCACAAGCTCTCTCTTTTTGCCTGCTGCCATCCATGTAAGACGTGACTTACTCCTCCTTGCCTTCTGCCATGATCGTGAAGGCCTCCCCAGCCACGTGGAACTGTGAGTTCATTAAACCTATTTTTCTTCCCAGTCTCAGGTATGTCTTCACCAGCAGTGTGAAAACGGACTAATACAGGCCCCTTTTGAAAAGCCCCACAATAGAGTGTCTCCCTGTCCAATGCTTGCCGTTAGCAATAGACACGAAGCGGGGGATGATAGGGACATCCTCTCTGCAACCCATTCTCCCTCTCCCCTCCTCCTGGACATGCTTCATTTCAAAATGCCAAGTATGCTACAGTTAGCCTCATGTGTCATGACTATTTCACAGATATTTTCCGTTGGTCTTTCACTGGACTAATTTTCCTTGTTTTTCTCAGAAAGAGGATGTTTTCTCCAGGATTCGGTGGGCAGTTGGGGGTTGGGAGGGGACACTGCTACTCTGGGACCCCCAGGAAAAGTTCTGGGATTCTAGGTGACGTCGAGGCAAATCCTTTGGCTTGCAGTGAAATGGCCTGGGTCCTGTGGAATATCTTCAGCTGAAAGTACTTTCAACGGATGCTAAAAATACATTACAGTTTATTTTCCCCAGTAGGGAGCGTGTGTGTTCCCACTTGACCTGGAAACACAAAGAGATCCAATGTTAAATGTAATGTTGCTCATTCCAAGATAAATGAGTTTTCTGGAGAGCAAGGGAAAGAAAAAACAACAGTCGTCTGGGTATAGTTTTGCCTTTGCTCTCTGGAGGAGTCAGTGTCTTGAACACATACTTTATGCTCCACGCTTGTAGTTAAGTGGCAATTCTCAGGCTTCTTAGCCATTGCTGATCAGAACTGGCTTGCTTTCAAATCACATGAGTCCAAGGCAGATTTATTAAATTTAGGAAAGAGGGGTGAGGTATGTTTTATATATTTTTTAAATAAAATTTTAAAAAATCCAAACAAAAGGGGTCAGATTCTTTGTATCTAATCTGAGCTTAATAAATTCATCTTCCATCTTTTTTCAAAAAATGCAGTCAAAATATGAAGTCTGAAACACCCTCTAATTGGAGTGTAGATTTACGGTCATTGTTATTAAACCCTTTCTGTGTAAAACTAGCAAATTGAACAAACACAGCTGATCTACAATTAGCATAGACATTCTGTTGGTTTCCTGCAGTGACATTTATGAATAGTTGTTCAGCCCAGTTCTTGTAGTTGGGGACACTGTGTTTAGAGCTTTGGATTGCCCAATATAATATTCTTCAATTTTGTAAGAGCTCAGTTCAATTTCTACTGAAGACTGGGTGGCAGCCCTGTCTCCAGCTGGTACCTCTTTCCCTCTTTTCTACAGCTTAAAATACACAGTCTGTTCCAGGTCAGTTAAGAACCAATCTCCTCCACCCTCCTGACCCCTGAAGAATTAGCACCGTGATTAAATACATGAATTTTACAGTCTGCTTTGTTTTGAGTGAATTTTGCCACTCAGTAGCTCTGCTTTCATTTTTCTCCATCTGTAAATGAGGCTAATGGAACCTACTATTCAGGGCTGTTGTGAAGATTAAATGAAATATTGCATGAAAAGCACACAACACAGTGCCTGGGTGCATGGAAAACTTTTAAGAGATGTTAGCTATCATGACTCGTGATTATTCTGAGATTTCCCATTGAGTGATGCCCAGTGGCAGGAGAGAATGCCATGATCACCAAGACCTCGTTTGACAAAACTGTTTGATGTCCATTTTTAAGACTTTATTTCTAATCCCCTGCTTTGGACCAAGCCTAACACCTTTCGAAGGGCTATCTCTTCCTGGCCGGGTGCAGTGGCTCACACCTGTAATCCCCAGCACGTTGGGAGGCTGAGGCAGGTGGATCACTTGAGGTCAGGAGTTCGAGACCAGCCTGGCCAACATGGTGAAACCCTGTCTCTACTAAAAAATACAAAAATTAGCCGGGCTTGATGGTGTGTGCTTGTAGTCCCAGCTACTAGGGAGGGTGAGGCAGGAGAATCTCTTCAACTGGGGAGGCAGATATTGCAATGAGCCTAGATCACGGCACTGCACTCCAGCCTGGGCAACAGAGCAAGACTCTGTCTCAAATAAATACATACATAAATAAATAAGTATTTCTTCCTTTTCCTCTGTCTGTTTTTCTCTTGACTTTTTCCACTTCTATCTCCTCCAAAGACAAGCCAAGAAGGGTGTGGCCTAATTAAAATCTCAAAGGTGAGATTTTCTCTTAGTTGCCTTTAGCCACATAGGAGGAAGCATTGTTGTTGCTGTCATTTATTTAAAGCAAAACACGACCTAAAATTACAAGAAAGGAGAAATGTGGGAAACCCTTTGCCCCTTTTCATGATACAGGCAGCATATCTTCAGCTTCTCCAGACTTCAAGGAGAAAACTCAGTTCATTTTCTCATGAGATGTTTAACCCAGCCCTGGGTCTCATTTGTGTGGAAGGGTTAAGTGATTGCCAAATTTTCTTTCAAGACTAGACAGGTAATTTTCATACTCCAAAGTCAGCTGGAACCTCCAGCCCATGAATATCCTGTCTTCTAAGGTAGTGAACAACTAGGTAAATGAAATCAGAACAAAGTCTAAATCAGAACTAAAGCAGCTGAAAATGTGCTACATTTCCTGGAAGCTGTGCTTTCTGAACTCCTGAAGGGTAAAGGGAGAGTAAGTTAAAGGGTTTGTTTTAAAGACCAAGTCAGTTAACAAATTGTACTAGTTTCCTAAGATTACCCTAGTTTTAAGAACAGAATGTCTCCTATCCTGAGAGACCCCTCAGTCTTGTGCACATTGGAGCATTTTGTCACCTTAAAATCAAGACTTGATTAAGTTGTGATAGATTAAATTAAAATTCAATGGAAAAGGGTGCTCATATGATTTTCAAAATGCATCTTTAATAGAAATAGAATAATATAAATTTAAGTGGAAAAACCATACTGACTAAATATCCTCCTAAGAAGCTATCATTATCTAGGCAAATCCTGGCCACTCTGCCCACGTAGTTATAGTGCTTCGTTTGGTAGCACTTATTCTAATTGCAAACTTGATCCCTATAAGGAAATAATTAGCCTTTATAGGGACTCCTTTTGAAAACCCAAACCTTAAAGTGACACCAAATATCCTATAGGCCAAGAAAGGAAAAAGTTTCCAAAGGAAGTTGTTTAACATTTTCAGCGATGGGAGGTCAAGGAGGAGAAAGGGTGAGTTGACCCTTAAGAGGGAAAGGCTCATCAGCATGGTGGGGATGGAAACCAGATTCCTGGACTGGCCCAAGGAGGGAGCCAGGGGAGAGGAGTCAGACTAGCGTGGACCAATTATGGAAGATATTTGACAGAGAAAGGAAGTAAAGTAGTCAGACAGTAGCTAGGGCATTAGCAAGGTTGAGAGAAATCTGTCAAGATGGAAGAAGGTTGATTGAATATGCTGAAGACACAGCAAAAGAAACTAGGATGAAAGCTTACTTGGGGCTTGTTGATAGTTTTAGCAAAGGATAGGAACAAACTACTCTTGCCCACCTCTATTCAGACTTTTTTTTTTTTGAGACAGCGTCTCGCTCTGTCGTCCAGGCTGGAGTGCAGTGGCACGATCTCGGCTCACTGTGACCTCTGCCTCCTGGGTTCAAGTGATCCTCCTGCCTCAGCCTCCTGAGTAGCTAGGATTACAGGAGTGCATCACCACGTCTGGCTAATTTTTTTTTTTTTGTATTTTTAGTAGAGAGGGGGTGTCACCGTGTTGGCCAGGCTGGTCTTGAACTCCTGACCTCAAGTGATCCGCCCACCTCTACCTCCCAAAGTGTTGGGATTACAGTCGTGAGCCATCACACATTGCCAATCCAGACTGTTCTTGACAAAAGACGCTTATCTGGAGCATCTAGGATTCTCCCTTCTAAACAGCCATGTTTCAAGGCCTCACTCAAGACACAACCTCTTTCCATGTACTCTCCACTCTCCTGAATGACTCTGCTCTTGCAGACAGGGTCTAGACTCTGGAACAAAGCCAATGTGTATGGAATGCTCTTGCCATCATAAGGCAGCAGCGAAAGAGAAAACAATCTAAGAGTCAGAAAACAGGATATATTAAAAGGCTTAAGCTGAAAAGGTTTTGGAAAGTTTATAGATTAGATTCATGACATTGGATAGACCTCTAAGGAAAGAAAACTTTATATAATAGAGTTCCTCTTCTCCAAACAATGTTGTTGTTGTTTTTGCTTTTAGAAAAACCCTACCATTTGCAGGGCCACGCTTATCCTTTGCAGGGCCTGGGGAAAGGGTACACGGGAAGGCCCACATGCCACATGCCTAAATATCTAAATGTGTTACATCACCCTAACAGATGTGGCACATTCACACTCCTTGCCCTAGCCTGGGCTACATCCAGCACAGAGAGGAGCTTCGTCGGCACACAGCTGAGGTCCAGCTCCTGCACAACCCCCAGGTCTAGGGATGCCCACCTCAATAACTTCTTTCGAATGACTATGAAAGACTGCCCCACGCTCCCCATCCAGGCTTGAGGCTATTTGCATTGGGAATTCAGGGTCCTCCATACCATGTGTGTTCTAGAAGGTGGAGGGGGCGTGCCCCCTTGGCCCATCAGAAACTTAACCACACGGGGTACAGCATGGTGAGAGGAGGGCCAGGTTAGGTGCCCACGGCAGGAGTCCTTGCCTGGGTTGATACTTGAGAGGATCACTTGAGCACAGGAGTTCGAGATCAGCCCGGGCAACATAAGCAGACCCTGTCTCAATGAAAAAACAGAAAAGATGATACTTTCATGAATCCTCTTTCTTTCTTTCTTTTTTCTTTCTGAGATGGAATCTTGCTCTGTTGCCCAGGCTGGAGTGCAGTGGCATGATCTCGGCTCACTGTGACCTCTGCCTCCCGGGTCCACGCGATTCTCCTGCCTCAGCCTCCTGAGTAGCTGAGACTACAGGCACCCACCACCATGCCCAGCTAATTTTTGTATTTTTAGTAGAGATGAGGTTTCACCACGTTGGCCAGGCTGGTCTCGAACTCCTGACCTTGTGATCTGCCCGCCTCGGCCTCCCAAACTGCTGGGATTACAGGTGTGAGCCACTGCACCCAGCCCAGGAATCATTTCTATAGTTCTTTACGAAGCAGTTTCTTTGAAAGTGGAAAGCACAAAGAAAAAAAAATTTTAAAGCTATATGGAACACAATATCTTTTCATAGAGTTTTCTTTTATCATTGAGTTATCTTTTATCATTTGACTTTCTAGTTTTTAGCATACTGACTTTCTTTTGTTGTGTTGTGTTGTATTTTGAGACAGAGTCTCACTCTGTTTCCCAGGCTGGAGTACAGTGGTGCAGTCTTGGCTCACTGCCGCCTCCACTTCCCAGCCTCAAGTGATCTTCCCGCGTCACTCCTGAGTAGCTGGGACTACAGGTGTGCGCCACCACACCCTACTAATTTTTGTATTTTTTGTAGAGATGATGTCTTGCCTTGTTGCACAGGCTGGTCTCGAACTCCTGAGCTCAAATGATCTGCTCGCCTCAGCCTCTGGAAGTGCTGGGATTACAGGCATATACCCCTGTGCCCATTCACATACTGACTTTCAAAGAACTCATAGACAAGGATTCTTACAAGGCTTCCTACTATATTGACTGCATCAGCTGAGGGGCTCACAAAGAATTGCCACCCCCAGCACACTTATTCACTCCAGGCTTTGGGGCTTTAGTGGGGCTTGAAGCCCCTAGCGCAGGGTCCTAGCCAGTACTTTTTATTAGATAAAGCAAATTATAGATGATCTCCTGACAAATGAAGAGTGCAGTTTTCCAAGGACATTTAAAATAGAAGTATAAGCTGGTCAGGGTGGCTTATGCCTATAATCCCAGCTACTCAGGAGGCTCAGGCAAAAAGACTGCTTGAGCCCAGGAGTTCGAGTCCAGCATGGGCAACAAAGCAAGACCCCCATCTCCAGAAAAAAAAAAAAAAAAGAAAGAAAGAAAAGAAAGGAAAATATAATTTTCTTCAGAGAAAAAGTCTCACTCTGTCACCCAGGCTGGAGTGCAGTGGTGTGATCTTGGCTGACTGCAACCTCCGCCTTCTGGTTTCGAGCAACTCTCGTGCCTCAGCCTCCTGAGTAGCTGGGGACTAAAGGTGCGCACCACTATGCCTGGCTAATTTTTGTATTTTTAGTAGAGATGGGGTTTTGACATGTTGGCCAGGCTGGTCTTGAGCTCCTAACCTCAACTGATCCACCACCTCGGCCTCCCAAAGTGCTGAGATTACAGGCATGAGATGCCATGTCCGGCCATTTTTCTTTTTTAAAATAATTTTTTAAATGAAAATATTATTAAATAAATGAACACCATGAATTTGCATGTCATCTTTGTGCAGGGCCATGCTAATCCTCTCTGTATTTTTCCAATTTTAGTATATGTGCTGCTGAAGCAAGCACAATTTTCATTTTTTTCAATTGATTTCAGCTTCTGCAGGAGGAAGTATAATTTTCTGATGGCTTCTAAAGAGGAACAGTTAGCAGTTATTGAGATATAATCATGTAAGGTGGTGTAGGATGGTGATGCCTACTCCAGTCTCCTTACCCAGGCTGAGTTCATATTTTTGTTAGAAGAAGCTGCAGGATGGAGAATTTGGGGTCTGGCTCAAGAACAGTGTGAGTACAGGTGATGATCACAGGGGAATACATTCCACACGGGGAGTTAGCAGTCCTGCCTCTACTCTACTTTGATGGCTGATTGAGAAGTCACTTACTTTGAGCCCATTTCCTCCTCTGTGGGGGAAAAAAAGGGTCAGCCTAGATAACTCAGAATATTTGTTGTAAAATTGACTGTCTCTGGGAGGGAGTGTGGGTGGGGCTACCCTGAGCCATCTGAACTCTCGGAAGTCCTTCAGAGTGAACACAGATCAGCTCTTGCTGTTCACTTACTCACATTTCATCTGTGGTGTCAGAGCCTCAGGGACCCAGCAGAACTGGGGAACATCCTCCAGTTACAGCATGTACTACCTGCAGCCTGATAACCATCACTGGGGTGGATTTCCAGCCTCAGATGTTCAGGTGCTCTTTTTGGAAACACACACTTCTCACGTTACTGCACCAAATATGGGTCCCCAAATGACAGCCATAGCGCATGTCGGGGAGAGCTGCAGTGGGTCAAGTGATGCCTTTAACCAATTGAACGCAGTTTTCGGTCCCTGAAAACTATTTGCTTCCTTATCAATCAACCTGAAGGGAATGATGGAGGTGACACTGGGAGTCTTGGTAGGTTTCCAGACTTTCATAAGTTCGGGAGAAATTATTGACTTAGCATAGATGTGAGCTCAAAGAAACATTTCCTAACAGCAATAAAAATAAGCATTAGAGTTGAACAATGGACTGTGACTGTTTCCCAAAATAGCTGTTTTCTTGAGTCCGCAGAACAACAGGTACTGTATTAATGGGGATACAGTATTTGTTTCACAGCGTTGTTGTGAAGATAAACGGGATACCCCAGATAAACAGCTTGTGTCCCCCCCATCTTAACAACCCTCCTTTAGGCTGGCGGGCCACCTGCTCAAAAGCCTTCCCCAGGGGGGTTAAAACCGTCTTTTAGTAGTTCTGGTACGGGTGGGCTGGGGGAGATCCTCTAAAGCCAGTGCGACCTTGACCCCAGCCAATGTCCAGGCTCTTGACACATCCAGAGAATGAGTTCAAGGACAACTCAGAAAATAGTGACAATATGCAGATTTATTGCAAAGGGAAAAGTACACACCCAGGAAAAGGGATTGTGGAGAGGGTCACTCACAACGGGGCTTGGGGCTGCTACCTTTATGGGTTTCTTTAACCAAGGGGTGAAATATTCATGAAAATTCCTGGAAAAGTGTGGAGATTTTTCGGGACTGTGGTGCCACCCATTTTTACTTCAAATATGGGTGTCCCCGGAATTGTCATGGCACTGGTGTGACTTAGGATGTTAAAGAGCGTATAATGGAGGCCTAGGAGAAACCTAGGTCAAATCCAGGACCACGTCGGGTCCAGCCGGTCTTAGCCAGCTTGGTACACACCCTGGTTTTCAGGGTCTTATCAGCCCATAGCCTCCAGTCAAGTGAAACTGCTGCCTGGTATTTTTTATTCTCCTCTGACCAGCCTGCATTACTCCTGTCCCATGTTCAACACGAAATAGGGCCTCAGGAAATATTTACCAAATGAATGAATGGTTGCCTGTTCTAATTTTGTTTAACCACACTCTTGTCCTAAGCTTCTATGATGATACCCAGGGCCCCCGAGTTGTGCCAGTTCCACTACGGCGTGGATGCAAGGCGAGCGGCAGGGGAGCAGGTAAAGGATGAGTAAGGGAAGCCGGCGGATCCGACGCATTAGAGAACAAGAAAAAGAAATCCTTAGAGACTGGGGGCCAACAAAGAGCCAGGCGCGGGCGAACCCACCAGGGGGGCCCCGGAGCCCCACATCCGCCGCTGGGACGACCTCCCCGCCCAGCATGGTCCGGGGCGCGGACCCGGCCCCGCGCCAGGCGCCCCCGGCCCCGCACCCGGCGCCCTCCGCAGCTCCCGCCCCCGGGGCGGTGCCGGGAAAACGCGGCGCCTCCGCCGGTCACGTGGGGGCCGCTCCGGCGGGCGGCGCTGCCGCTTCCCAATCGCGCCCTCCCAGCGCCGGGGACGCGGCGCCCGCGCTCCCGCCCGAGCCCGGGGAAACGGAGACAAGGAGGCGCCGCCGCCCCCTCCCCGCGGCTGCGCCCCAGCCCTGCGCCCGCAGCATGCCCGCCGCCGGGCCGAGCGCCGCCCTCCCCCAGGAGCTCGAGGAGGCGACGCCGCTGCCGGCCGCGGGACCGCGGCTGCGAGGGTAGCGGGGCCGGAGCCGGGCCCCCCGAGGCGCCGCGCGGCGGGCGGAGAGGGAGGAGGAGCAGGCATCCTCCGCGGCGCGCGGGCGGCGGCCCTGCTGCCCGGCGCGCCCATGGCCCGGCCGCAGGGAGAATGCAAGCTGCTCTCCACGCGCTCGGCGTCCCCCGGAGCCGCTCGCGTCGCCGCCGCCCCCTAGCCGCCAGCGCTCGGCCGCTGGCTGCGCTAGGACCCGCGGCCGCCGGCCGCCGAGCGCGGGAGGGCAGGCAGGGGCAGGAGCCGGAGGGCCCGGGGCGCGGCGCGGCATGTAGCTGCGGGCTCCCGCGTCCGCGTGAGGCTGTCGGCCCGGGGCCCCGCCATGGCTGGGATGGACAGTGGCAACCTGAAGACCGCGAGGCTGTGGCGGGACGCCGCCCTGCGTGCCAGGAAGCTGCGGAGCAACCTGCGCCAGCTCACGCTTACCGCCGCCGGGGCCTGCCCCGGGGCCGGGGCCGACGCGCTCGAGTCCCCCGCCTCCCCCCAGCTCGTGCTGCCGGCCAACCTCGGGGACATTGAGGCACTGAACCTGGGGAACAACGGCCTGGAGGAGGTACCCGAGGGGCTGGGGTCGGCGCTGGGCAGCCTGCGCGTCCTGGTCCTGCGCAGGAACCGCTTCGCCCGGCTGCCCCCGGCGGTGGCCGAGCTCGGCCACCACCTCACCGAGCTGGACGTGAGCCACAACCGGCTGACCGCCCTGGGCGCGGAGGTGGTGAGTGCTCTGAGGGAGCTGCGGAAGCTCAACCTCAGCCACAACCAGCTGCCCGCCCTGCCCGCCCAGCTGGGCGCTCTCGCTCACCTGGAGGAGCTGGATGTCAGCTTTAACCGGCTGGCGCACCTGCCTGACTCCCTCTCCTGCCTCTCCCGCCTGCGCACCCTGGACGTGGATCACAACCAGCTCACTGCCTTCCCCCGGCAGCTGCTGCAGCTGGTGGCCCTGGAGGAGCTGGACGTGTCCAGCAACCGGCTGCGGGGCCTGCCTGAGGATATCAGTGCCCTGCGTGCCCTCAAGATCCTCTGGCTGAGTGGGGCCGAGCTTGGCACGCTGCCCGCCGGCTTCTGCGAGCTGGCCAGTTTGGAGAGCCTCATGCTAGACAACAACGGGCTGCAGGCTCTGCCCGCCCAGTTCAGCTGCCTGCAGCGGCTCAAAATGCTCAACCTCTCCTCCAACCTCTTCGAGGAGTTCCCTGCCGCGCTGCTGCCCCTGGCTGGTCTGGAGGAGCTCTACCTTAGTCGCAACCAGCTCACCTCGGTGCCATCCCTTATCTCGGGCCTGGGCCGGCTTCTCACCTTGTGGCTGGATAATAACCGCATCCGCTACCTGCCGGACTCCATCGTGGAGCTGACCGGCCTGGAGGAGCTCGTGCTGCAGGGGAACCAGATCGCGGTGCTGCCCGACCACTTTGGCCAGCTCTCCCGGGTGGGTTTGTGGAAGATCAAAGACAACCCACTGATCCAGCCCCCCTACGAGGTCTGCATGAAGGGGATCCCCTACATCGCAGCCTACCAGAAGGAACTGGCTCATTCCCAGCCGGCGGTGCAGCCCCGGCTCAAGCTGCTCCTGATGGGGCATAAGGCTGCAGGAAAGACTTTGCTGCGCCACTGCCTCACCGAGGAGAGAGTGGAGGGATGCCCAGGAGGAGGGGACAAGGAGAAGTGCTACCCACCGTCACCTCCCCCTGTGAGCAAGGGCATCGAGGTGACCAGCTGGACGGCCGATGCCTCCCGGGGCCTGCGGTTCATCGTGTATGACTTAGCTGGGGATGAAAGTTATGAGGTGATCCAGCCCTTCTTCCTGTCCCCAGGGGCCCTATACGTGCTGGTGGTCAACTTGGCCACCTATGAGCCTCGCCACTTTCCTACCACCGTGGGCTCCTTCTTGCATCGGGTCGGGGCGAGAGTGCCCCACGCGGTGGTGTGCATCGTGGGCACCCACGCAGACCTGTGCGGAGAGCGTGAGCTGGAGGAGAAATGTCTGGACATTCACCGCCAGATCGCCCTGCAGGAGAAGCACGACGCGGAGGGACTGAGCCGCTTGGCCAAGGTGGTGGACGAGGCACTGGCCCGGGACTTCGAGCTGCGCTCTGCCAGCCCCCACGCAGCCTACTATGGCGTTTCGGACAAGAACCTTCGACGGCGCAAGGCCCATTTTCAATACCTGCTCAACCACCGGCTGCAGATCCTCTCCCCCGTGTTGCCTGTTAGCTGCAGGGACCCGCGCCACTTACGACGCCTTCGGGACAAGTTGCTGTCAGTTGCTGAGCACCGAGAGATCTTCCCCAACTTACACAGAGTACTGCCTCGATCCTGGCAGGTGCTGGAGGAACTGCATTTCCAGCCACCTCAGGCCCAGCGACTGTGGCTAAGCTGGTGGGACTCGGCGCGCTTGGGCCTGCAGGCGGGTCTGACCGAGGACCGACTGCAGAGTGCCCTCTCCTACCTGCATGAGAGCGGCAAGCTACTCTACTTTGAGGACAGTCCGGCTCTCAAGGAGCACGTCTTCCACAACCTCACCCGCCTCATCGACATCCTCAATGTCTTCTTCCAGAGGGATCCCTCTTTGCTGCTGCATAAGCTGCTCCTAGGGACCAGTGGAGAGGGCAAGGCGGAGGGGGAAAGCTCCCCGCCCATGGCGCGGTCCACCCCCAGCCAGGAACTGCTCCGGGCCACCCAGCTCCATCAGTATGTGGAGGGCTTTCTGTTGCATGGGCTCTTGCCAGCTCATGTCATTCGGTTGCTGCTTAAGCCTCATGTCCAGGCCCAGCAGGACTTGCAGCTGTTGCTGGAGCTGCTGGAGAAGATGGGACTCTGTTACTGCCTCAATAAACCCAAGGGCAAGCCTTTGAATGGGTCCACAGCTTGGTACAAGTTCCCATGCTATGTGCAGAACGAGGTGCCCCATGCAGAAGCCTGGATTAATGGGACCAACCTAGCTGGGCAGTCTTTTGTGGCTGAGCAGTTGCAGATTGAATATAGCTTTCCTTTTACTTTTCCACCTGGGTTGTTTGCACGCTACAGTGTCCAGATCAACAGCCATGTGGTGCACAGGTCGGATGGTAAATTTCAGATCTTTGCCTATAGAGGGAAAGTTCCTGTGGTTGTGAGTTACAGACCTGCCAGGGGAGTCCTGCAGCCAGACACCCTGTCCATTGCTAGCCATGCATCATTACCAAATATATGGACCGCATGGCAAGCCATAACCCCCTTGGTGGAGGAACTGAATGTCCTACTTCAGGAATGGCCTGGACTGCACTACACCGTGCACATTCTCTGTTCTAAGTGCCTTAAGAGAGGATCGCCCAATCCACATGCTTTTCCAGGTAAGTGGAGAGAGGGAGAAGTTCTTCTGTGGTATGCTGTAAGATATGTTTTTGGAGATACTTGGTTGTCATTTGGCAGAATGTTTGTTTAACTTCACGGGTTCTCCAGGAAAGCTTCGTAAGGGAAACACAGGGAGATTTGGAGATGAGCAAAAGGTAGTAAGTACCTGAGCCTTATGAAATGCAGTCACAAGTGTCATCCTCTCCTAACAGACTCAGACTTCCAAAATGGGTTCCAGTCACAACATTTGCCATCTCCTTTCCCCTCTTGTCGATGTAGCCCACATTTGGTGGAAGGAAATTTCAGGTGGTTGAACAGATAGATTCTGGACAGTGTCCGATGTTAGCCTCTTACTGATCGTTGGCTAAAGTGTTCATTAGACACGTCTCAAAGGGGTAGATGAGTTTGAGTTTCAAGTGTCCAGTGTCACAATTTTTTAAAAAACTTAAATTTTCGTGAGTACATAGGTTTGTATATTTGTGGGGTGCATGAGATGTTTTGATACAGGCATGCAATGCATAGAAATCAGATTGTAAAATGCGGTATCCATCCCCTCAAGCATTTAAGCACTCTGCTTACATTCAGAATGTAATTAGAAAGTAAAAATTACTGCTCACTTTTCTTAAGAAATTCCAGAGAAAATCTTTTGTAATTGGAGTGAACAATGGATGAGTAAAGACAGAAATTTCAGACTGTAATGCATGACTAAATCCTGGGGCTGCTGCTCCCCTCCGCCCACTCAGGGACATGGAAGATAGATGACTGAAATCTTTGAGGGGCGTTTCCTCGGGAATTTCCTGGCAGTTTCGAGTTTTATAGACGTCTTAAGGTTTGTTTTTTGGTAAGTGTTAAGCAAATGAAGCTTTCTGGCAGTGCTTAATAATTGAGACGGAAGGGACAGAAAGCTAAGAGTTTTCTGGAGAGTGTTTTCCAGTAGACTTTTTTTTCGTTTTCTTTTTTTAAACCATCATAAGCAAGTGGAAGAATTCCAGGACTAGTTGTCTGGGGTTTTTTGTTTTTTTTTTTTTTTGAAGACTTTTTTTTTTTTCTTAGAGCAGTTTTAAGTTTATAGCAAAACTGAACAGAAGGTACAGAGATTTCCCATATATCCCCTTCCCCACATGCGTAGCTTCACCAACGTCAACATCTCCCACCAGAGCAGTACATTTGTTTCAGTTGATAAACCTGCAGTGACACATCAGTACCAGCCAAAGGTCATAGTTTACACAGGGTTTACTCTGTGTTGGGCATTCTGTGGGTTTGGACAAATGTCCAATGACCTGTATCCCCCATTATAGTATCATACAGAGTAGTTCTACTGCTTTAAAAATCCTCTGTGCTCTGCCAATTCATTCCCCCCAACCCCGGCAACCACAGATCTTTTTACTGTCTCCATAAGTTTTGCGTTTTACTTATATGGGATTTTTTTCTTTTGAGCCTGGTTAATTGGTATCAAACTAGTTTTTAGTTGGGAACGTGTCCATTTCCTCATCCTTTGTAGTTCTTTAAACAACTGTTTTTGTGTGTGTGTGTGTGTGTGTGTTTTGTTTTTTGTTTTTTTGTGGAGCAGGTGGTTAACAACATTCCAAGTGTCCTAAGCACAAACCAGACAGAACAATAGCATCCTTGCACGTTTCTCACCTGGGTCCCCACCCCCAGGGGACCCGGAGGGGTGATGAAATGGAAGACTGCGTCCCACTCTGATCTTTGTCCTGGTCAGAGAGGGACAACAAGAATGCAGCTGGTAATAGTATCAGGAAGGAATTGAATACCAATATTTCCGAAGGTGACATCTTTCCGTTGCCCTGGATCTAGGTTGAATTTAATTCTTAAGCATGAAAAAAGCCAGCGTATTCAGTTACCAGTCAACTGAGACATCCATTCTGTATGTTTATCTGGAATCTTGTCACACTCCATGACTTGGTAGACTCTTCAGTTTGTTTTATATTTGTCATTGTGTGTTATTCATGGAAGCAAGATACTTCTTTATTGTGATACCAAATGGAATAAAGTGACTGGGAGTTACGCATTTACAGGGTAGTTTACTGAAGGAGCAACCTGAAGCCATTCTTAATCCAAAGTAATAAAAACGAATGTTATTAACAACAAAAGGAGAGACATAGGTTATTGAGCAAGTAAAGATCTTCTAAGAACTTTGAGGAGTTAGGGGCGAGGCTGGAGGTTTTTTTTTTTTTTTTTTTTGTTTTTTTTGCTAACGTCAGCTCTTTATGTTTAATTTTTACCAGTCATAAATTCCACAGACAAGCTTGTACTGAGATGCAGAAACAAGCCCCTTGTCTTGTGTTGTCTATTTGCCTTTCAAATGAGGCACACCTGGTTTTGCAATCCAGGCTATAAGGAAGAGATTTTTTTTCAATGTGGAAAACAAATGATTGAAAAATTGTAAAATTATCTTATAGATTGAATAGGAATAAATCATCAGTTGTTTTTAGAGCACGATTATAAAATATATACATATACATATAATTATAAAATATGTACATATAAAATATATATGTATATATACACCAACGTACATATTTTTGTCTTATAGTCTTTTTGTTTTTTTTTGAATTGTGTTGTTTTTCAAAAGTAGCAGAGGGTATAGAATAGTAGAAAACATGATTATAGTACATTTCTCGTTACATTAAGAAGATGCAAAAAACATTTTCCTCTTCTGTATTTTTCTGTGATAGCCATCATTTGTTAGTAATTGTTACAGTTACGAAAGATTTGGTAAAAGTTAAAATAATGAGTTAGAAATAAAAGCTAAATGTGGGAACAGAATTATGTTGAGTGTTTAAGTAGAGCATACATTAAAAATAGATTCATTGAATCCCTAGATTATTAAAATATATATTAATTCAGCAGAAACCCTTTGAATCTATTGGCAGCCTTTGCCTTTTCATGTTTTTTTGTTTGTTTGTTTGTTTTTGAGATGGAGTCTTGCTCTGTTGCCCAGGCTGGAGTGCAGTGGAGTGATCTTGACTCACTGCAACCTCTGCCTCCTGGATTCAAGCGATTCTCCTGCCTCAGCCTCCCAAGTAGCTGGAATTAGAGGCATGCGCCACCACACCTGGCTAATTTTTGTATTTTTAGTAGAGGCGGGGGTTTCGCCAGGTTGGCCAGGCTGGTCTTGAACTCCTGACCTCAGATGATCCACCCACCTCAGTCTCGCAAAGTGCTGGGATTATAAGCGTGAGCCACTAGGCTTGGCCACCTTTGTCTTTTTAAGAAGTCATTTTGCTTCTGGGGACATTAAAAATTGTTTACTTTTATGTTTTATAAAAGCGTTAAGTTGTCCTATAAACTATAACAATTTTATATGCAACGCTGAAAAAGTTGGACTTTGAATTTTCTTAACTTTGGGATGTTACAGTAAAAGTAAATAGTAAATTACTGTCTCTCTTGATTTTATACAGAAAAAATGTATAAAGTTGCACTAATATCTTTTAAAGTATTTTTATGTGAAAAGCCTATTTTGGCCTTGTCCTGTTGGATTTTCTGGCCTGAGCTGCCCTACTGTAGTTGACCACGGGAAGTATAATGGTAAATTTCTCTTTTCTTATTTTGGTTTATACAAGAAAAGTAATGGGCAGCGTGCAGTGGCTCAGGGCTGTAATCCCTTTGCTTTGGGAGGCTGAGGCAGGAGGATCACTTGGGTCAAGGAGTTCGAGACCAGCCTGAGTAATGTAGCCAGACTCCGTGTCTACAAAAAAAAATAAAAAATAAAAATCAGCTAAGCGTGCACACTTGTGGTCCCAGCTAGTTGGGGGGCTGAGGTGGGACAATCACTTGAGCATGGGAGTTTGAGGTTGCAGTGAACTATGATTGTGCCATTGCACTCTGACCCTGTCTCTTAAAAAAAAAAAAAGAAATGATTGGAAAATGCACATCCAGCAATCACTAGTTTCATAGTTTTTTGTAAAAATAAATCACATTGTCAGAGAGAAGACCTATTTGTCTTATTTAAAATAGGTAATCTGACAACGTGATTATCTTTTTAAGACATCTTATTTAAGACAAATGGGTTGAGTGACAGGAGATTCTTTTGGAAACTCGGAGATGGCCTATGATGAAGCCTAAATGTCACTGTGAAAGTCTTGACCTGCTTTCTCCATCCTGGCCAACATCCTAGCCTGGTCAACCTGGTGAAACCCCATCTCTACAAAAAATACAAAAAAATTAGCTGGGCATGGTGGCTCATGCCTGTAATCCCAGCTACTGGGAAGAATGAGGCACGAGAATCCCTTGAACTTGGGAGGCGGAGGTTGCAGTGAGCTGAGATTGTGCCACTGCGCTCCAGCCTGGGCGACAGGGCAAGACCCTGGCTCCGAAAAGAAAGTCTTTACCTGCTTCCTGCAGGTACCCTTTCTTTTTTGCAGACTTGCTGCCCATAGCTGGTAGCCAGGATTCCCTTCCTTTTGCTGTTTTCCTTCTCATTGGTTGGTCCTGTATACTTGTCTTAGAGCAAGTTTCTTCTTGTGGGATATTTGTTTATGCTTTTATTCTGTTCTACCAGTATGACCTCTAAACTCAAAGAGTTGGTACTCTTGAAGTTGAGTGAGGGTACATTAAGATGTGGTGGTTAGGACACGGGCCTGCAGCAAGATTCAAGTGCTTTGATATTCCTTTTAAGCAGATGAGTGAATACTGTGTTTTTGAATTGGAAGAGTGTGTCTTAGTGAGTTAAACTTGCATTGACTGCAGATTTTCACTAAATATCCTACTCTCCAAATTATTTAAGGTCATTTTAAAAAATAAGGAGAAAGCAACCCAAATCAGTAGACAGAATGAGTTATGTGGCTTTCTTTAGCTTTACTGTCTTTCATTTACTCAGTAACTTGATGCCTTTTTGTATCTCATGCCAAATGTCTTCTGTCCCTCAGTTTCTTGCACACGGAGTGTACCTCTCCGACAACACAGCATATTTGACTTGTTTTGTTGGTGTTTGGTTGCGTCATGATATATCTTTGATTAGGTTGTTCACTTGCTGCTTCTGAGCCAGAGACACACCCGAGACTTAGTAGCTTCTGCAGAGCCTCTCAGATGTTTGCTGAATGATAGTTTGGTCTTTTTGTGAGAAATAACTTTTTTTTTGGGGGGGTGGGGGCAGGGTCTCACTCTGTCACCGAGGTTGGAATGCATTGGGGCAATAATGGCTTACTGCAGCCTCGACCTCTTGGGCTCAGGTGATGATCCTCCTACTTCAGCCTCCTGAGTAGCTGGGACTCCAGAAACACCCTACCATGCCTGGCTAATTTTTGTGTTGTTTTGTAGAGACAGGGTTTCGCTGTGTTGCTCAGGCTGGTCTCAAAGTCTGCCTGCCTCAGCCTTCCAAAGTGCTGGGATTATAGGCTTGAGCCACCATGCCCTGCCTGAGAACTATCTCTTTTTCTTTGTTATTCACACACTCAGTGAAAATCCCAGGTAGTATTGTAATGATTATCTGGCTTTGTTTAGCTTCCCAACTCCCTCCCCCTCACAGTGTTCCTCCAGCATTCCCATTGTGCGTCTATGACTGGTCTTACCCTTGAATGGGTCCTTCATTTTGACCACTGAAGCAAAGCAAAATTCTTGCCTTATTATATCTAAGTTTTAGAATTACTGGAATTTGAGCATGACCTAGTTGTTTGGATTGAATTAGTCATTGTTTTTAATTTTACAAAGGTTTTTCAATATCTCTTTGGTTAAGCTTTATTAATATTGATGCTTCTTGGCTTTTCTTTTTATGAATAGGCCTCTGAACTCCCTGGGACTTTGTTTTATGTAAAAATCAAAACCTTAATCAGGCACTAGGATAAACAAATACTGTGCAGAATAGAGTTCTAGAAGGCTAGAAAGGCCTTTGGAGTATTTGAATTATTTTAAATATTAGGTGCCTCTTCTTTAAACCCTGGAATAGACTCTTAAGTCCATCTCTGCACAAGTAGTTTAGAATTTCCTAAAGTATTTTTTCTTTAATTTTTTTTTTCTTTTTGTGTGTGTGTGTGTGTGTGTGTGTGTGTGTGTGTGTGTGTGTGTTTGTGAAATAGAGATAGGGCCTTTTTATGTTGCCCAAGCTGGTCTTGATCTCCTGGCCTCAAATGGTCCTCCCCACTCAGCCTCCCAAAATGTTGGGATTAGAGGCGTGAGCCACCATACCCAACCAGTATTTTTTATTTAGTGGATATTTTATGTCATACTCTGAGGTTATTCCCCTTTGTCCGTGAAGAGGTGAGGGGCTTTAACTCTGTATTATAGGAGGGGAATGAGTGGGGAAAGGAGGAATTGGACATTTCTGTTTTTCTTCTCATCTACCTATTAACTTGCTTCTATCCATGGGAGCCCTTTCTTTTTTTTTTTTTTTTTTTTTTTTTGAGACTGAGTCTCGCTCTGTTGCCCAGGCTGGAGTGTAGTGGCGCTGTCTGAGCTCATTGCAACCTCCACCTCCTGGGTTCAAGTGATTCTCCTGCCTCAGCCTCCCGAGTAGCTGGGATTACAGGCATGCACCACCACGCCCAGCTAATTTTTGTAATTTTAGTAGAAACGAGGTTTCACCATGTTGGCCAGGCTCGTCTTGAACTCCTGACCTCACGTGATCCACCCACCTTGGCTGCCCAAAGTGCTGGGATTACAGGCATGAGCCACTGCGCCTGGCCCATGGGAGCCCTTTTTGATTAAGGACACCTGACCATCCATCCATTAGGGCATCAGAATGCCTGCTGATTTTGTTTTGTTTTGTTTTGAAAACCAGCGGGTGGGTGCAGGCCCAGTACTGCCCTCTCTTGTCTCTGGCAGCCTTGGCGTCCCTGTTCCCTGGGGATGGAGGTCTGCTTTGTGTTTCCAGTCTTTGTGGAAAGCACATCAGGTAGGCTCAGGTCTCAGTCCTCTCTGGTTCAGCTTTTCTTTTCTTTTCTTTTTGTTTTTGTTTTGAGACGGAGTCTTGCTCTGGCGCCCAGGCTGGAGTGCAGTGGCACAGTCATGGCTCACTGCAACCTCCACCTCCTGGGTCCAAGTGATCCTCCTGCTCCAGCCTCCTGAATAGCTGGGACTACAGGGGTGCACCACCATGCCTGGCTAATTTTTGTATTTTTAGTAGACACAGGGTTTCACCATGTTGGCCAGGCTGGTCTCAAACTCCTGACCTCAGATGATCCTCCCTCCTCGGCCTCCCAAAGTGCTGGGATTACAGGCATGAGCCACCGCACCCAGCCTGGTTCAGCTTTTCTGATTGCAACATTAATTGCTGGGGGGTGGTTGTCAGGTTTACCTTCTTCTGGGGGCTGGCAGCCTTCACTTCAGCAGGGAGGGATTAGGAACCCCTGTTTGGCCTGCCTTCTCCAAGGCTGCTCTAGCATGAATGAAGCTGTGCAATGCCTGGCACAGGGCAGATCAGGTAGAAGGGGTCAGAGCAGGTTGGTTATTTTGAAAGAACTCAAACTCTCATTTTTATTTTATTTTATTTATTTTTTTGAGATGGAGTCTCACTCTGTCGCCCAGGGTGGAGTGCAATGGCGCGATCTCAGCTCACTGCAACGTCTGCTTCCCGGGTTCAAGTGATTCTTCTGCCTCAGCCTCCTGAGTAGCTGGGATTACAGGCGTGTGCCACCACGCACGGCTATTTCTTAATTGATGCCTGGCAAGTGCTTTTTTGGTTGTTTATGATATTTTGTTTGTTTGTTTGTTTGTTTGTTTTGAGACTGAGTCTCGCTCTGTCTCCAGGCTGGAGTGCAGTGCCACTATCTGAGCTCACTGCAACCTCCACCTCCTGGGTTCAAGTGATTCTCCTGCCCCAGCCTCCCACGTAGCTGGGATTACAGGCACATACCACCACCCCCAGCTAATTTTTGTGTGTGTTTTTTTTTAGTAGAGATGGGGGTTTCACTATGTTAGTGAGGCTGGTCTCGAACTCCTGACCTCAGGTGGTCTGCCCGCTTTGGCCTCCCAGAGTGCTGGGATTACAGGTGTGAGCCACCATGCTCGGCCTGTGATGTTCTTTATCTTTATGCATTTTAAAGGAAGCCATTGTCATTGTCCCATGTGGTTTTTCTGGTATACATATTCCTGCCTTCCATATCTACCGCCTAATTCTTACAGAAATGGGGGAAGAGTGGGCAAGGGGCACTTAGCAGCAGGATGCAAATGTGCATTTAATGCAGGAGCTGGCCACAGAAAGCCTTCTACCACCTGGCCTTGAGGCAGTGAATACTCCAACCTCCCAAAGCTGATGGTTCACTGGCTGCTGCTTTCTTTTTTTTTTTTTTTTTTTTGAGACGGAGTCTTACTCTGTCACCAGGTTGGAGTGCAGTGGCTCAATTCTCCTGCCTAAGTTCAAGTGATTCTCCTGTCTCAGCCTCTCGAGTAGCTGGGATTACAGGCAACTGCCACCACGCCTGACTAATTTTTGTATTTTTAGTAGAGACAGCGTTTCACCATGGTGGCCAGGCTGATCTCAAACTCCTGACCTCAGGTGATCCGCCCGCCTCAGCCTCCCAAAGTGGGATTACAGGCGTGAGCCACCATGCCCAGCCAACATTCTATAGTGGGGAGCATATAGATGGTGAGGAGCGTGAGGTCTGATGGTGGAGGTGGAATAGGTGCAGGAAGGAAGATGTTTTCAGTGGTTCCCGGAAAGTGTGTACAGGTTACACCTGCTGGTGTGAGTTCCTGGAAGGTCATGGAAGGGTGGCTGGCGTAATGCAGAGATGATTGCATGTGTACTCTATATGATGGTGGCTGCGTGGATAACAGTTCCCAGAATCCACTGCTAGCAGGGCTGACTTATTTCTGGAGACCAAGAAGGAAACATTCTGAGTTATTTTTATTTTTGGCACTAAATCCTTCAGAACATTTTTCCTTCCTCAATCTCTTAGCTGAAAATACTGGGGCTTTGTTTATTAAAAGAGTAAATTTAATGAAAAGCTATCACCAACAAGTTTTTTTCTTTTGCTGTAAATTTATAGAAGCAAAGAGTCTAAAAAGTGCACGTTGGAGCAGGAGAAGAATGTGGGCAGAGGAAGACAGAGGCATCGGGTTACTGCTGGTGGGCTTGCAGGGACATTGTGAGTTTGGAGCCTGTTTCACCCATCTTAGGAAGGTATGGGTCAGGCGTGATGGCTCACACCTGTAATCACATCACTTTGGGAGGCTGAGGAGGTGGATCACTTGAGGTCAGGAGTTCGAGAACAGGTTGGCCAATGCGGTGAACCCTCATCTCTACTAAAAATACAAAAATTAGCCAGGTGTGGTGGTGTGTGCCTGTAATCCCAGCTACTTGGGAGGCTGAGGCAGGAGAATCACTTGAACCCAAGAGGCGGAGGTTGCAGTGAGCTGAGATTGCGCCGCTATACTCCAACCTGGGCGACAAAACAAGACTCCATCTGGGGGAAAAAAAAAAAAAACAAAAAAGGAAGGGATGTCCTGCCCTAGACCGACAGCCCCCAGCACCCAGCCTATTGCAAATGGTTTCTTTCACTTTTGCAAATCTGAACAAGCATGCTTGGGAGAAGGGCGAGGAGGCAGGGAAACTGGAGTCATGTTAAGACTACTCTCTGGAGGTTTCTGTTGTGCGTGTGCCATTCTGCCTTTTGGGTGATGTGGCTTAATGAGTCAAGCCCTGATGACTGATGCTGCTTTTCTTCCTCATCTTCCTCCTCCTCTTCCTCCTATTGAGTGAAAGTCACATAATATGAAAAAGCCATTTTAAAGTAAACTATTCCCTGTCATTTAGTACATTCCCAGTGTTGTGCACCTGCCACATCTCAGCCAAGCACCTTTGGAGGGGTGGGGCAGATACATTGGTGTCATTCTTCCTGGGGCCAAGTGACTGGGAATTCTTTTGCCAGGCTTTGTAGCAACTTTCTTTCCAAGGTGTAACTTAAGAGTAGGGGTTTTGGGGCTAGGCCTGGAGATGCCATGTTGATTGGAGATCTTGGACACGGTTGTGGGGATCCTCTTAGTGTGGATGAGAGGACAGAAAGGAGGGCATCCGAGCCTCCTGGTCTGTTCTAGGGTGTATGTGATTTAATGAGGGGTGACATACACGAGCTCCGTAAAGAACACGTAGAAGAGAAGTACAAATAAATGTTGTGTAATTCTTGTCTTCTGCATAGAGCTTTTTTTTAAAGATAAATTTTAAGTTTAACTCCTGGAATGACTGGCAAGACCTAATGAAGGTAGAGTGGCAGCGGGTGGTGATGGTGGCAGTGATACAAATGTAGATGATTACCAGATTAGATAAGTGTCGTCAATCACTGTTGAATACCTGCTCTATACAGAAGTTTGTACTGAACTGGGAGTTCTAGGAAAATAAAATACCTGATCTTGGGCTTGGGGAGCTGTGTTGGGATCTTGGTTAATGTCATTGTTGATTCTTGTAAATACGGAATCTGACCCCATATGGAGAAAATCATTTGCATATTTGAATGTTACTTTGGGGGGAACCCTGGCTTTTGATTTTTCCAGAAAAAAAATGTGATCCTACTGAGCAAAGCAGGCCACAGCTTTGAATTTCCTTCAGATGTATGAGTAGGTGGAAAGTAATGGTCAAGTCCTTCTTTTGAGTTGACTTTCAGTTTGGATTACTTGTTTGCGAGAAATCTCAGGCAGAACTTGTGAGGATGCTGGAAAAAGGAAATTCATTGTATATGAGGATCTCTAAAAACTTCCCAAACGAATCAGCCTTTCCAAGGAAAAGAAATGCCTTTTCTTCAGGAGTCCTTACCTTTTTTTTTTGAGATGGGAGTCTCTCTCTGCCACCCAGGCTTGAGTGCAGTGATGCGATCTTGGCTCACTGCAGCTTCCGCCTCCTGGGTTCAAGTGATTCTCCTGCCTCATCTCCCAACTAGCTGGGACTACAGGCATGTGCCACCACACCCAGCTAGTTTTTTTTGAATTTTTAGTAGAGACGGGGTTTCATCGTGTTGGCCAGCCTGGTCTCAATCTCCTGACCTCAAGTGATCCTCCTGCCTCGGCCTCCCAAAGTGCTGGGATTACAGGCGTGAGTCACCATGCCTGGCAGTAGTCCTTACCTTTTTTGTCATTTATAGACTTGCTCCCATCTGGGGAAGGATTCAAATCATCAGTCATTTCTGAACACCAAAGACTATATGAATGCTGACTCCAAAGACAGCATCCATTAAAGTGCATATCATCATAATAAAAATATATGACTGCTGGATTTCTTTGCTGAGAGATGCTTTGAAGTACTCTTGTACTATTAGCATATTAAATGTTGAGAAAATTAAAGAGTTTAATTTTCTTAGATCCTCCTTATTCCTAAAATGAAGTCTATGCTATTAACATTGTATTAGTACTAGGTTATAGCAGTAGTGAATTTTAGGTCTCTAGAACAAGCCTCCCTCCCTTCCTCCTCACTCTTTCTGTCCTTCCCTCCTTTTTTCCTTTTTTTTTTTCTTTTTTTGAAAAGAAGGAATTTTTAAAAACGCAATGGAAAGGGAAAACATAAAACCAGAAAAATATTTCGCCTGGGTGCCGTTGTTTGACTTACCAACTTTATTATTGTTTTAATATGATTCTTGTTTTTCATGTCATAAAGGTAATTGTGTTAATCATCACATCAGTCTCCCTATTTTTGGAGAAAAATAGAAGAGGTGACAATGTTGACGTTTTCTCATGTTGCAGAGACAGTGCTAAGTGCCTCCTAGGGGTGATCTTATTTAATCCCCACAGCAGCCCTAGGAAGTAGGTATTATTACTGTCTTTGCTTTCAGAAGGAGAAATTGACATTTAGAAATTAAGTGAATTCCCCAGAGTTAGAGAACTCTAGGATATCAGCCCCAAACCTCTGCTCTGACCCACCGTCACTTGGGTCTCAGTTAGGTTGCCATTGATTTCCAGAGTACACCAGCTCACCTCCTCTCCCTTCATATTCTAAGTTCTGGGCAGACAGTCTGGTACTGCACAGGAGCTGCCCGTGCAGAGGTCAGCGGAGGTCATGGTCAGGTGGAGGTAAGGTGGGGAGAGCGCCATCAGGGGTCTCAGAGAAGGGTTCCCAGAAAGGCCACACTGTAGTTGAGTGTCAGAGGATGATTTCTAGTTAACCACCTGAAGAAGGGAGGTGGGTGGAGCATTTCAAGTTAGAATGCCATTTAAAAGGCAGGGAGCAGACAAAGACTTCAGCAGGCCTAGGGGTGGGCATGTGTGGGCACAGATGCGTTTTGCATTTAGAAATTATAGTAAGGGAGAGACTTCTTTGTTTAAATGGCATTCATGGACTGGTAGACACTTGCCAGTGACCCACTGGCCCATCAACTAGAGTTTTAAAAGCATTGTTCTAGCCTGTCCCTTTGTCATTGGGCTGGGCTCTCTTGAGACCTTGGAAGAGATTTATGGCTGGGAAAACGGAAGGGTAGTTTCACATGATTTGCTCAGACTCATAATCAAGTTATTGTTAAGCTGACAGAACACCTGCTCTGCAGAGCCATGTCTAAGCGTGCTGCTGGTCACTTTCACTATGTCGGAGTAGAGGGAGAAGAGGAGCATTGGTTATTCATTCTAACATCAGCCAGAGAGCCGCATGCCTCTGTAATCCCTAGGAATGTATTCCAGAACATCGATTTTCCCTGCTCTAAATCTTACCCTAATAGACCCTGCAATAAAGGCAAATTCGGATCTGACACAATTACCATTTTATTGTGGGCTGTTTAAGTTTCACTATATTTACTTTATGCTTTTTTGTGTGTGACACTACTCACTGACTGAAAATGCCATTTTTATTAAATTTGCATTAATGGAACACCGTAGTTTTTTTTTTTTTTTTTTTTTTTTTTGAGGCAGGGTCTCACTCTGTCACCCAGGCTGGAGTGTGCAGTGGCACAGTCACAGCTCACTAAAGCCTTGACCTTCTGGGCTCCAGTGATCCTCCCACCTCAGCCTCCCCAGTAGTTGGGACTACAGGTACATGCCACCATGCCCAGTTAGTTTTTATATTTTTTATAGAGACAGGATTTTGCCACGTTGCCTGGGCTGGTCTCAAATTCCTGGGCTCCAGCAGTCCACTCACCTTGGCCTCTCAAAGTGCTGGGATTACAGGTGTGTGCCACTGCGCCCAGCCCTGGACCACCATGTCTTATGCACTTCATTTGTTGGACACCACTTACCGCACTATGACAGTGGTTTCATTTTTTTTCTTTTTTTTTTGACTGAGTCTTGCTCTGTCATGCAGGCTGGAGTGCAGTGGCATGATCTTGGCTCACTGCAACCTCTGCCTCCTGGGTTCAAGTGATTCTCTTACCTTAGCCTCCCGAGTAACTGGGACCACTATTTAGAAGAGTGATAAGTTTGTGGATAAAAAGTCTTTTCTTCATAGAAGAGGTGGAATACAGTATGATCTCTGTTCATATGAACACCTTATGCTCTTTTAAAAGTACTTTTTCCCCTTTATAAAAACTTATAGGCCAGGTGTGGTGGCTCACACCTGTAATCCCAGCACTTTGGGAGGCCGAGGCGGGAGGATCACGATGCATACACCACTATGCCCGGCTAATTTTTGTATTTTTAATAGAGACGGGGTTTCACCACGTTAGCCACACTGGTCTCGAACTGCTGACCTGAGGCAGTCTGCCTGCCTCATCCTCCCAAAGTGCTGGGATTATAGGCATGTGCCACCACGCCCGGCCGACAACAGTGGTTTCTTGCATCTTATCATCATTTGAGTTTGTCTTCCCTTGCCTGCCAACTTATCAAAGTTTCCTCAATTACATTTAATCAAATCCTAGGAAGTACAAGGTATTTTTAAGTCTTAGGTTATATTTTGTTTGTATTTGCTTTATAGATTGACTTGAAACAGTTGGGATTTTGTGTAGTTTTCAAATTGAAGCATTATAATATGGTGGTTAGTTGCAAGAGCTCTTGGAGTAGACTGCTGGGCTCTAATCCCTGTGCCACTGCTTCTTAGTTATGTGACTTTAGGCATCATAATAGTTTGTGTTGGTTCTGAAGATTGAGTTATATGTGTTAAATGCTTAGAACAATGCTTGACACCTGGCAAGAGCTCAGTAGGAGTTTGCTGCTGTTTCCACCATTCCAGAAGGTACAAGAGTCTAAACATACTTTTAGAAGAGTGATAAGTTTGTGGATCAAAACTCTTTTCTTCATAGAAGAGGTGGAATACAGTATGATCTCTGTTCATATGAACACCTTATGCTCTTTTAAAAATGCTTTTTCCCCTTTATAAAAACTTATAGGCCGGGCATGGTGGCTCACACCTGTAATGCCAGCACTTTGGGAGGCCGAGGCGGGCGGATCACGAGGTCAGGAGTTCGAGAGCAGTCTGACATGGTGAAACCCCGTCTCTAGTAAAAAATTGCAAAAATTAGCTGAGCGTGGTGGCACGCACCTGTAATCCCAGCTACTCAGGAGGCTGAGGCAGGAGAATCGCTTGAACCCAGGAGGCAGAGGTTACGGTGAGCTGAGATCGTGCCACTGTACTCCAGCCTGGGTGACAGAGCGAGACTGACTCAAAAAAACATAAAAAATTTGGAGAGTAGAAGAAAAAAAAGTTTCTCATGGTGGGTATCTAAAGTAATCACTACACATTTTGCTCTGTGTCTTTTAGCTTTGTTTCCTCCTTAAGCTTAGGTTTTAAAAATATGTAGTTATAATTGTATAAATAATTCAAATATTGATTTTTTAAACTTATGCTAACATGGATATAATTTCCTGTGATTAGTATTTATACAGTAATTAAAAATGCTTGCATAATAGTACATCAAGGTGATTTTTCACCTTTGTTTATTTAACCTTGTGTTCTTTTTGTTTATCCAACCATTTGTGCTCTTGTTCCCAGTTTTTTTTGTGAGTGATTCTCTGATGACTGTATTTCTTTATAAAAACTCTTTTTTATTTGGGCAGTAATCCCCGAAGTAGAGTCATTGAGTCAAAGGCAAAAAATGTCATTAAATCTCAATGCACGTTTACGTTGCTTCCCATGAGGATGGGCACGTCAGATGCAAGATCTTTTTCACTGTACCTCCTCAACATTGGGTATCATCTATAAAATGCACTACCGTTTAATGGAAACAATATGTCACTGGTGACTGAAGATTTTAACTAGTGGATGTGAACGTTTTCTTGTATAAATGTTGCCTAATTGTGTTGCTTCTTTTCTGAATCCTCTAATAACATCTTCTGGCATCATCTTGGTGGTTTTTCTTTTTTTTTTTTTAATCACAGTGTTTTATCAGTTTATATTAACTCTTCATATATAAAAGATAACCTTTTGTCTATCATACTTAAGGCATTTTTTTCTAGCTTGTTCCCCTCTTTGCTTTAAAAACCTTTAACGTTTTGAAGTTTCAAATTTCATTCAGTATATTAATAGCTTCCTCTGTGATTTCTTCTAGAGCTTAAAAAAACCTCATAACATTTTTCTAAATACAGAGGTGACAGCGGGAATCACATAGTGATTCTTCACCCTTATAACTTTAACTGAAAATAAAAAAAGTGCTATCCATATGTGGATGGTAGATTCATTAGCAAAGCCCCCTTTTTCATAACCCCTCCCCAAACTGTCTCCTCTGTAAAATGTTTCTTGCTGATTTCTTCCAGGGAAAATAAAGCATGTATTTGCATATATTTTAACAGGAATGAGATCATGCTGTACTCCTTGTTCTGCACCTCGCATTTGATCACTTCAAAATATATTTTTGAGATGCCTCCATATGAACAGTTAGAACCCTGTTATAGAAGATTATTATATGTGTGTGTGTGTGTGTGTGTGTGTGTGTGTGTGTGTGTAGAATGTTATAGTATATCCTACAAATATAGCATAGTAGTCTACCAATGGATGTATTGTTCAGTCACACCTATACCGGCAGACCTTTGATCCTTTCCAGATTGTTAAACTAAGTACGTTCTCCACCTTCCAGAGGTGTAAGAAATACTCAGTTTTATTTCCTTCAGGGTTAATAATCCCTCTCTGTGCTCGGAACACTCTTGAGATGCAATTAGAAAAAGACAAATCTCTAAATCAAAGTGGTGGGACCTAAAAAAAGCCTCGAGGGTTATGAAGCCTTCGCTTTGTGATTTGAAACAAGGTAATTTTTTTAAATTGGCTTTGGTGATGTGTATTGGAACACCATTGTTTTCAGCATAATTACGCATTTCACAGCTTAATTCAGCCATTACACGTGATGCAGTGTTTAGACATAGCAATAATTACAAATTGTACATGTTTACAGATAGATATACCGCTGATCAAAATAAAACAGTGGCAGCAAGAATGATGTTCTGTCCATGTAAGAAATCAATGAAATATAATTAAGAACGAACTGTATCTCATTGACTCAAAACATTGCATCTGCCTTTCTGTCCCATCTGTTTTCTAAACAAAAATCTTCCCGTGCTGCGTGGTTGTTTTTATTTGTATCCTAGAACCATCCTCTCGAGTTCCACACCGTTGTATTTTCTACACCTAAGCTTGGTGTGTTCTGCACAGGAAATGTTTCTTGGATGTTTTATCCTCATACCAAGTGGGAATTTAAAATTTAAGAGATTACCCACACTCTTTGCCTTTCTGTACATGTGATGAAGAAAGAGTGGGTGTAACCCAGCACTCTAAAATGTGTTTGACCTGTAAAAAAAAAAAAAAAAAAGTAAGCAATTAAATCCTGTTATAGTTGCTTCTGTGTTTAAAACATACTTAATGACGTATATATTTATTTGAAGCTAACAAAGTCCCCAGTCAGGTTCTTGGGAGTTTTTTTCACAGGACTCATTGAAGTGTTTGGTCTTTAAAATCCTTCATTTCATGCTAACTGCCAAGTCAATGCAGACAGTATGGCCGAACAGAGCTGGTCACATTTTCCCTGAACATGCTATTAAAAAATATATTCACTGGGATTCTCTTGACTCATGGCATAGCTGAGGTGACTTTGATTCCGGAGGGCTATTGCTTATGAATTGCATGTGGAAGAACTAAAAATAGAAATGTGAATTTTCCAAAAGAACACTATGATACCAAAAATGGCTCACTGGCTTGCCTAGAGCTGGGCTGTTTTGTGCCCAAGGTACAGTAATAAGAACTGGGATGCAAAGCCCTGTAGGGTGCATCTGTCCCCTTCCCTGACACCCCTCACTCCCAGATGGCTCACGAGTGGCACTGCCCGGTTGTCTCCGTCTCACTCTTGCACGATGTTCTGCTGCCTGTCTGGGATGGAGCAGGTGTTCTTTTGAATGTATTTGTTAAGCCTCTGAAATATATGCATTTCCCCCTCCCCAAGAAAAACACACATGTGCATGCTCTGTGCTTTTCCCTGGTTACTGTATTGTTCCCATCTTTTTTTTTATTTTTATTTTTTCCCTTGGAATAGGGAATATCCACTCATTTTCTATTTAGTCCCTTCAGGAATTTGCCTTAGGGGCTGTTGGGCCAGGCCTCACTGCAGCCAGCCAGAGCTTATCAGCTGTGTGTTAACCTCTCCCAGACACTTCTTGAATGCTGTTCATGCATCCGAGCCTATGCATCTGAGCCTCCTCTGTGTAATGTGGTGCGGCATTAAAAGCTTACCCAAATAGCAGGGATGATTGCATCTTGTTGATTACCAGGGCTGATAACATTTTCTTGCTTAGCTAAAAAGAAAAGCCAGATGACTGTTTCCAGGAAGTGATAAACTGCCATGCATCCGGCCCCAGGTGGTCCGCATGAAGGAAGCTGCAAGGTTGGAATCCTCCTGCCGTCCCCTTTTACAGTTCATAAATCTTCTGATTTATGGGGCCATTTGTGATTGCAGACACATTTATTCATGGGGGGATTTCCATCGAGATCATAACCCACTGTAAAGCAGGAGGAAGAATCAGGAATTAGAACGGTGTACATTCCTCTTTGTTAGAAAAGAATCCCGATTCTTTGGTCATAGACAAATATTTGCTTTTGAAGAATCTGGTGGTGTGTCGCTGGCTTTGTTCATATCCGTGCACAGTCACATGCTCCCTTGCCTCCCATGGACCCAGAAGCTTATGTTACACAGATCGTTTTATAATGCTTGCCATCCGGGCATGTTTATGCAAAGTGTGAATAACTTTTTGCCTTAGCCTCCTCTTCCTTCCTTCTCCCTCCTTTGATTTAGCTCATTTCTGGAATGGGGCAGATTTTCATCTCAGGGAGTTGATACGGTTTCCTAGGTAGGGTGACAGAACAAGTGTCACCTTAGCTGTAGCTAGAGATGAATATTGCCATGCAGCTTACTTGCTTTATATTAAACCAGCATTAGAGAAAGAGGCCTTGCATCTTTTATCAGCAGTATGTTAACCTCTCCCAGGCACTTCTTGAATGCCATTCATACATCTGAGCCCATGCATCTGAGCCTTGGATGTAATTAAATCAGTGGATTAGGAAGTCGGGGGCCTGGACCTCTGGGAAGCCACTTGGCCTCCCTGGGCCTCAATTTCGTCTGTAAATAGGTAAAAATAATTCTAACAGTTCCCAAGCATTTACACCTGCTATCAGAGTCTCCTTAGATGTTGTGAGGGGGAAATGAATGAATAGATGTCAAGTCCCCAAGTAGTTTTTTCTTTGTTTGCGTGTTTGTGATCACTCTGTTGCCCAGGCTGGAGTGCAGTGGAGTGATCTTGGCTCACTGCAACCTCCACCTCCCTGGTTCAAATGATTCTTGTGCCTCATTGTCATGAGTAGCAGGGATTACAGGCATGTGCCACCATGCCCAGCTAATTTTTGTATTTTTAGTAGAAACTGGGTTTCACCAAGTTGGCGAGGGTGGTCTCAAACTCCCGACCTCAAGTGATCCAGCCCCCTCGGCCTCCCAGAGTGCTGGGATTACAGGTGTGAGCCATCACGCCCAGCTGCAAGTAGTTTTTACCATATAATAAGGGCTCAGTAAACATTAGCTCTGATTACCATCATCCTGGTTTACAGATGAGGAGTGGAGACAGAGGAGGGCTAAGTCATATGGCCAGGGGCACACAGCATGTAGCAGAGCCCAGGTTGTCCTCAGGAACCTATGGTCTTTGCTGTCACCCTGTGCTGCTTCTCAGGAAGGCAATAGCTTGTCACCCATTAAAAATGGGTAGTTATTTGAATGAAAAGCAGAATAACCCCCGGAGGCAGAGGTTGCAATGAGCTGAGATTGCACCATTGCACTCCAGCCTGGGCAACAGAGTGACGCTCCTGTCACCAAAAAAAGAAAAAAAGTAAGGACTCCTTGTGTGAAATGCACATGGTTGCTTTTAACATTGCAGTACTGGACTATAAACATTTGCTGGGGATTGGCAGTGACCAGCCATGGGGCAGAGCATGGGGCATGGGAGGGGAGCAAGGCCTTGACCCCGGGAAGCTGCAGTCCAGGGAAGCAGTGTGGACAGTAAGCAGAGATTTGCAGGGCTGTGTAATAAATTCCAGGAGAAAAAGATCTCCAGGGGCTCGGAGAGGCCTGCGGGATGGAATCTGTCTTGATCCACGTGTGTGTGTGTGGGGTGGTTAGATGGATGGGAGGTCTCCAGGGGAGGTGAGTCGTAGGGACTTTCTGTAAAACCAGGGCCCCTGACGTGTGATGGGCTGTACAAATTACTGGCAGCCCAACTATTCATTTATCAATGCACGTCTGTAAATATTTTTGTTTTCTTTTTAAACCTTTTTTGTTTTCCTGGGAGACAGAGTCTTGCTCTGTCATTTAGGCTGGAGTGAGGTGGCGCGATTTCAGCTTACCACAGCCTCAACTTCCTGGGCTCAAGCTATCCTTCCACTGCAGCCTCCCGAGTTAGCTGAGACTGTAGGTGCGTGCCACCATGTCTGGCTAATTTTTTTTTTTTTTTTTTTTTTTTTTGTAGAGACAGGGTCTCACTATGTTGCCTAGGCTGGTCTTGAACTCCTGTGCTTAAGTGATCTGTGCATCTTGTCCTCCCGAAGTGCTGGGATTACAGGTTGAACCACTGTACATATCCCGTGTAAATAACTTTTAGCCTATCTATTCACTAGCTAACACTTTTTCACCAGAAGGAACTTCTGGCATCTGGGTGTTAAGCTAAATTAAAGCCTGATGGTTTTTTTCAGAGGGTGAGAGGAAAATACTGAAGGGTCAAATGGGGAAATGTCAAATTTCCATTTTGTCAGCACACTCAGGGCAGCAGTGTGGAAGATGGATTTCAATGGAGTAAGAATGGAGTCAGAGGGACCACTTAGAGGTAATTCAGACAATAATAAACAATAGAGGCCCCCAGGTAGGTCCTTGGGGATGAAGGCAATTGAGTCTTGGATGTTAATGAGGCAGAGTCCTGGGCCTCTCTCCTCCTAGCTCTGAGCTCTTGAACCTTCCCAGGCTCCGGTTTCCTCATCCATTAGACAGAAAGCATGACTGATTTAAGTGTATGTTTCAAGAAAAATTTTAACCACAGCGGGAAGAAGACTGCAGCATGTTTTAAAAAACAGAAAGCGGAAGTGATTTGATAAGATTAATTTCAACAGGACTGATGTGGAACGGCTGCTAGCTTAATTGGTTTATTAGGGTCGTGTAGCCACCCTCTTATGATGGATACCAGGTGAATTCCAGGAGATATATAGTCTTAGGTTTGTAAGCAGTGCCATTTGCAGAGGAATAAGGTTCTTTATTTCTTAAATTTGGAAGGGTCTCATAGAAATAAGAGACTTTATAAATATCTAGTAACCTGTCACCGCTTTAAAATACCGCAAAGATAAATGATGCTGATTGTCGCGTGCTTGGCATGATGAATTATGTATGTAGCGTGCCCCGGAGTTCTTTATGGTTGTGCATAACGAATCAGCTTTTGTTCTAGCTTATTTTCAGTGGTAGTGCTTGTAAAAGCAGAGGTCAAAGCAGATGCACTGAAGAGATGTGGTTGGTGCAGGATGATCGGGTTTTGCTATCCTGTTCTGTGCATTGCTTTTGTTTGTGCTTTGATTTTTCATTATCAACTTTGGGGAGGGTGGGAGAGCAGCCTTGTGGCATTAACAGCTGCATGATGGCACAGAGCAGGCAGCGACTCTTCTTGGTTCATGCACCTCAAAAGCGGCCCTCTTTTTGCCTTCCTCCTCCTCCTCTCTGCACCTGCTTTGCATAGCTGTTAACTACTTTTCCACCTAATAATAAAGGAAATTGAAATAAATGGTTAGGAACATGCCCATAATCTTTTTTCTCACTGACTTTCTCTAAACTCTAGACGAAACTAGAGAGGATTAAGAAATGTAAAACACAGCAGAGAATGTCTTTTTTTTCCTCTCCCTTTTTCTCTTCCCCTAGCAAAGATTTCTTTAGAATCTGAGTGAGATATCAGAGGTGCTGTTTGCATATGAAGTAGCGATGACTATGGGTGGAAGCCAGTTGTAAGGTTGCATAGTCATTTATAACTTCTTTCTATGTTAAGGTTACTACCGACTTTATGAGAGGAGCCTCCCAGACTCAGGTGTCATGCCTGACTCATGAGTAATTCATTAGAGAGGGCCCAAGCCATGTATTTCATTGTGGGTTTGTGAGCGGCCTCATCTTCCATAAGATGCTCATTTGTTGGGCTGATCCAAGGCAAAGATCCGAGTAGTTGGGAGTAGCTCCAAATTGGGATGAGCCCAGGCCTACTGTGCATATCTGTTTGGAAGGGCACATCTGTCTACCAAGGGCTGGTTCCAGTGTATTAGCCGAGTGGCACTAGGTAATCAGTTTACAGTCAGTTTAAAAAAGTTGAGGCTATCCTTCTCGGTGATTAATTATGGCTTTTAGTTCATACTAGATTAAAAAAAATCTTTGCATCTTTGCAAGAATAATCATTAACTTAGTTTGTCTATATTATTAGCCGAAAGATACAACACAGTGCTCATGCAGTGTAGAGAAATGAGATAACATCTAGAGTTTACATGTAAGTAGCTATTTGTCAGGATATTTATTCATTGATTCTAGATTCATAAAGCAGGAGTTTCCAGAGGCCTTGCAGCAAGGAATAAGCACCTGGGAGATTCAACTGAATCCCCCTCAGAGCCTGTGCGTTGGGAACTTGGTCTAGAAAATGGATCAGGTTTGTGCGCTATACCACTTATTATAATAAATGATAAAAGTCAGTCTGGACAGAGTGCCACAGAAGTTCAGGCGAGAAAGAGGATTCTTCCAACTGAGTGGGGCCATGGAAAAACTCGAGTTCCATTTATTAGCGGTAGGAAACACATGTTGAGAATGAAGAATGGAGTTAAACAATTGGTCTTTCCCTCAGATCCCAGGGTTTTTAACCTGTTACTAAAAAAGTATAGCAATTTATGGCCAGGCACGGTGGCTCACGCCTGTAATCCCAGCACTTTGGGAGGCCGAGGTGGGCCCATCACGAGGTCAGGAGATCGAGACAATCCTGCCTAACACGGTGAAACCCCGTCTCTAGTAAAAATACAAAAAATTAGCCGGGTGTGGTGGCGGGTGCCTGTAGTCCCAGCTACTTGGGAGGCTGAGGCAGGAGAATGGCATGAACCCGGGAGGCGGAGCTTTTGGTGAGCCGAGATTGCGCCACTGCACTCCAGCCTAGGAGACAGCGAGACTCCACCTCAAAAAAAAAAAAAAAGTATAGCAATTTATAATGTTTGAATTATCATTAGCTTATTGGCGTGTAATAATACTTTGCATACTTTTAAAATTCTGGGGTTGGATTAATAATAAAAGAGTAGAAACATTGTTTTTATAAAAAAAATTTTCTGTGCGACACCTATAGGCAAGTACCTATGGGCCTCCTTTTAATTTTGGACTGTTTTAGGAATGTTTTATTTTATTTTTGGTATCTTAGGAACCATAAGAAGCATACTTTCAAAAATGTGAGGGTATATTTTTAACTTTTGTTATAAAAATGTAACAAAAAGTTTATATGGTGAAGAATTTAGTGGGTTTGCATATGCTGATGACCATTGTGACTTTCATAAAACCCCACAGCCTGTGTTTAATTCCATTTCCTACTAGTACAGACTTGAAGAGCTCAGTCCATCTCCTTTATTATCTTGTTTCCTTTAATCTATATTAATGCACCTTAGCAGTATCAGAAATTTTGTTAATATATTATGTGTAGCTGAACTGTAAGCTAAAAATAGATCATACCAACCCATCTCTCTTTCTCTTTCTTTTTTTTCCCACTGTCACCTTCACATTTATTCTTAGTGACTTGCAAATGATGGGATTACACCTTAAAAATTGTCTTGTATCAGATATGTATTTCCCCATTCTCTAAAGAAGGCTAATTATGCAAGTACACGGTTCTTTCCTGATTCATGAATTCATATCACGATTTTATTTTCAGATTCCTCAAGGTAATTGCTTGTTAGACTGGTTCACAGGATGAGAGATATCCAAGTAGTCATATGAACCGTTTCCGTCCCATTCATGCCATTCTGTCTTCTGCAGAAAATAAGTGAGTCAATCACTGTTTATGAGAATGTGTAAGAGACTGGGGAGAGAGAAGGGACTCAGTGGCCATTTTGTATCACGGATCCTTTTTACTAGGGATAAGAGTGATCCTTACTGGCTGACTGCAGTGGCTCATGCCTGTAATCCCAAAACTTTGAGAGGTTGAGGTGGGAGGATCGCTTGAGCCCAGGAGTTGAAGACCAGCCTGGGCAACATGGCAAAACCCCATTTCTACAAAAAATAAAAAATTAGCTGGGCGTGGTGGTGCATGCCTGTAGTTGCAGCCGTTGGGGAGGCTGAGGTGGGAGGATTGTTTGAGCCAGGGCGGCAGAGGCTACGGTGAGCTGAGATTACGCCACCGTACTCCAGCCTAGAGGACAGTAAGACCCTGTCTCAAAAAAGAAAAAAAAAAAAACAAAAAAGAAGTGATCCTTGCTAAGTTGCCATAGATCCCTGTTCTAGGTTCCCATTCAGCGTCAGAGTTTTATCGTCTGATAAAACAGGGATCAGTTAGAGAGCTTTTCGCAGGCAAAATGACACTGATTTTACTGAACCAATGGTAAAGAGAAGTGCTCCTAGGTTCCCAGGCCCTGTTCTTCTGTATTCTTCCTGCTTAGAAAAAGAGAATAATAAAAGCACTTCAGCTAGGAGTAGAGCTTTCTAAAAATTGGCCAGCCAAATCCCCAGGGAAACCAGGATTTCAGCTTCTCTGTCATCACCTCTGTTTGAGGTTGGCATGCTTTGGCACTTTTTCCGTGGCTGCACTGTCAGGAGAGTAGGCCAAGCCGCCTGAACAAGGAGAGGTGTGGAGGACAGTCATTCTGTAGCTGCAGTAATCCCTGCCCTAGTTTTTCTGCCTTCCTGAGAGAAATAATAGACACCACTTGTTTTACATCAACCAGGCTTCTGACCTTTTTGGACTATGAAAATTAAATTCTTCTAAGACACTAAGTGTTAAATTTGGGACCCAAAAATAGTTGGACTAAGTGGCTGCCTGGTTTAATAGTGGCAACTCAGTTCAGATAATAATTACTAGAAATTTCAAAGAAGTTATAGGAGCCTCACCTTGAGTAGACTAGGATTTGACAGTTGAGTGATATACAATTGTACTTAACAGCCATTTTCTAAAATGAAGTTTTCTGGACAGTAATTCATGTCAAGTGTCATCTGTTGCTTTTCTATGTGATTCCACTTCACCAGGGCTGTCCTGGGAGGGGTCCTTGGTTGTGTTTAGCTTTCATCGAGTTAGGGTAGTAACTCCTAGTCTCCTTCCTCTCCATCCTCTGTACCTTGTGTCTCTTTTCCCATTTCTGATTTTTGTATCCAGGAGTTTCTGATTTTTGCCTTTTGAGTTTTGTTTCTTAAACTAAGTGGAGCTAGGTTTTTATGGGGAAATAATTTCTCAGCCTGTCATCTTGACAGTGAAACATTTCTTTTTTTTTTTTTTTTTTTTTTTTTTGAGATGGAGTCTCACTCTGTCATCCAGGGTTGAGTGCAGTGGCACAATCTTGGCTTACTGCAACCTCCAGCTCCTGGGTTCGAGCGATTCTCCTGCCTCGGCCTCCTGAGTGACTGGGATTACAGGTGCATGCCACCGTGCCCAGCTAACTTTTTGTATTTTTAGTAGAAATGGGGTTTCACCATGTTGGCCAGGCTGGTCTTGAACTGCTGACCTCAAGTGATCCACCCACCTTGCCCTCCTCAAGTGCTGGGATTACCGGCATGAGCCACCAGACCTGGCCTGAAACATGTTTTTGGTTTGTTTTTTAATCTAGGTGGAAACTAGATACCCTTTCTAGTAACTAATATGTGGTTCATACCTAAAGCCAAAAGAAATCTCAAGTAATTTTTTGGATGAGACAATTTCGGCACCATGTTATATAACTTTATGATATCATCTTATCTGAGTCCTCTCTCTCTCCCTCTCTCCTTCCCTTTCCTTTTTTCCCTAGTGCCTGTAGGTGTGAGTTTAAAGATAAAATGACTGCCAAGTGACCCCAAGTTCAAGGACTTTTATCCTGGCATGCAACTGGAAAATTCAGTTTACATGATACATTTCAAAAGTGTCTGGTGGGTAGCTGGTACAAATGATAGGAAGAGAGTAGCTAATTTTATGCTCATTGTGGTTCTGTAAGATGATGTAAATATATGAGGATTTTAGGAGAAATAAAAAGTGATCTCACTGAAACAGTTATTTGTAGATTGCATTTTGACTTGTCTGAAACACATCAAGGTTAACATAAGAATATTTAGGATATGAATTTGGTCCAAGGAACATTAAAAATATTTTTACTTGGTGATTCTGATAGGAAGACATTGTTTCTACTAATGTGGGAGGGTGGGCAAAGAGGAGGAGGAGTCGGGCAGGGCCATTTTGTTGCTTGGTGTGAATGGCATCCTTGAATCGTGCAGTGGGCGGCCCTCATGGCCAGTAGCAGCAGATTTGGTTGAGCATAGGGGCAGAAAATGGCTTTGTTTTTTTAACTTACCCTTCTGTGTTTATGTTACCAGAACACCAGAGATTTGGTTTAGGTCCTGCTGCTTGCCGCACAGAAAGCCAATCACTGCTGAGACAAGTGTTGCCAGGGAAGAAGGCTTTAATCGGGTACTGCAGCCATGGAGATGGGAGCTCAGTCTCAAATCCATCTCCCTGACCAACTAAAATTGGGGGCTTATATAGTGGGAAGGCAATGTAACTACATGCCGGTAAACAGGAATTAGGAAGGTATAAGGAAGAGGAGTTGGTCAACAGGAAGCTGGTGGTCACTGAGGCAGCCATAATGGGTGAAGGGTCTGGTGTCTCCTTGTCCAAATGCAGTGATCTGGTGAGTTTCAGCTCCTTGATATCTGGGAGCCCTGATGGTTGGTTTTCTGAGAAAGGAATTCAGATAAAACAAATGCAACTTTCTTAAGTTTTAAGACAGGGTGGGTCAATTTCTAAGCTCATTAGAAACTGCATATTAATAGATTAGTTCTGTGAGATGATGGGGTGGGTTTCAGTTACAGGTAAGGGCCAGACTCTTAGTGAAAACAGGCCATGGTCTGGGTTAAGGACCAGTATGTTAGGGAAATGATTCTCTGAGGAAGTCCAAATAGGTAGGAATCAGATGGTCAAAACAGAGGTTAGAAACATTTTAATGATATGGTCTGGAAAAATCTAAGGACTAGAGACCACGGGTGCAAGGGGTTATGGCCAGTGGAACAAGAAAAGATCATACGTGGTAATAAATATAGGTAACAGTCCATTCTGGATGAGGTCAACTGGGCAGGAATTCTTTATGCTCCATCTAGGCAGGAAATACATGGAGGCCTTTGAAGTCCCACTGGCATGTGTGCAAGGAGCCACTGTTAATTTACACAGGAAAAAGGAATGGAGGGAGTAACAGCATCAGTTTGAGGTCCTGTGATATATCCATTGGGGGTGAATTGTCCCACAGTTATTAAATTATTTAAAAATCAGTACTGTATTCTAAGTTACACTGCCTGATTTCAGTGCTTACTTTCCGGCTATAGTAATTAAGACAGTGTAGTATTGGCGTAAGTATAAACAGATAGATTGATGGAACAGAATAGACCCACACATACATGCCCAATTGATTATGGACAAAGGTACAAATATAATTCAGTGAGGAAAGAATATTTTCAAGTGGTGCCAAAACAATCAGATAATTGTATTAATAAAAATGAACCTTGAGTCATTCCTTGTACTATATACACAAATTAACTTGAAATGGGTAATCGATCTAAATGTAAGTGCTAAAAATATACAGTCTTACCAAGGAAGCATAGGAGAAACTCTTAGTGACCTTCAGACGGGCAAAGATTTTTACTGTTAAATAGACTATGTTTTAGAGAAGTTTTAGGTTCACAGCAAAATTGCACAGAAGGCATGAGATTGCCCATCTGTTCCCTGTCCCCACACATGCGCAGCCTCCTCCATTAGTAGCATCCCCAACCACAGTGGGACTGGTTACAATCGATGAACCTACATTGACACAACATTGTCACACGAAGTCCAGTAGTTCACACTAGGTAGGGTTCACTCTTAGTGTTCTATGAGTTTGGACAAATGTGTAATTAGATGTATCCACCGTTATAGTATCATACGGAAGAGTTTTACTGCCCTAAAATTCCTCTGAGCTCTGCCTGTTCATCACCTCCACCCCCTAACAGCAGACATTTTTTCTTTTTAGCATAGAAACTAAATAATTTTTTAGTTTAAGAAATTTTTTTAACTTAATCTAAATTTAAAACTTTGGGTCTTCAAAAGATCTGTTAAGATGAAGAGACAATCTATAGTCTAGGAGAAAATATTTGAAAAATATATATCTGATTAAAAAAAAAAAACCTCTTATAGCTGAGACAACCCAGTTAAACATGAGTAACATATTTTGAATAGAGATTTTCCAAAATATGATACATGAATAGCAGGTAAGTATAAGATGTCAACATCATTAATCATTAGAGAAATGTAAATTAAACCACTAGGAGATACTAGTGCATGTTCCCTAGAGTGGCTAAGATGAAAAAGACTGACCATACCAAATGTTGACGAGGAGCTGTGACAACTGGAGCTTTCCTACGCTGCTCTTGGGAGTGGAAAATGATACAGCATTTGGGGAAACAGTTTGCTAGTTTCATATAAAGTTAAACACATGTTTACTAGCTAACTCAGCAATTTCATTCTGAGTTAATTCACCCAAGGGAAATGAAAATACATTTTAAAAAGATACACAAATGTTCATAACAGCTTTTTCCACAATTGCCACATACTGGAAACAACTTGTCTGGTGCACAGATAAACACATTGTGGTATGCGACATAGCAAGGAAAAGAGATGAACTACTGATAAAGCGACATGGATGACTCTCAAAAGCATTATGCTGAGTGAAAGAAGCCAGTCGAGTACATATTGTATGACTCCATTTATATGAAGTTCTAGAAAAGGCAAAACTGATACACTGTCAGAAAGCAGGTCTGGGGCCGGTGGTATGGGGAAGGGATTTACTGCAGAGGGGTACAAGAGAACCTTTTTGTGGTGACGGGAATATTCTACCTCATGACTGTAGTGGAGGTTACGAGACTATATCTGTCAAAATGCATCAAGTTCTACGTTTAAAATTGGTGAATTTTATTACACGTAAAATGCCTTTATTATATCTTGTTAATTTAAAAAATAAGTTTTGATTATACGATTTCCTTAGATGTCCTGAAACATGCTGTTTTCACACTAATTTGGTATATACCTTGTGATTATATCCTTTGTATATGAATATTGTGGTAAGTGGAACATTGTTGTTGGAGATATATCCAGATTTTCTACCTTAGTTTGTGTGATTGATTATATTCTGTTAGACTGAACCACATGAAATTGTTGATATCCAATCATTCTTGACCTACAAAAGCAGCAATTTCACGTGGCATAAGTATAGTAGAAATTTTGTTTGCTTTTTAATTCATTGGAAAGACTTGGCAATGGTCACATCTCGATTGTGAAGTTTCAAGGATTTTGTAAGACACAAGGCCTGAGTGTTCTGTTTTACATTACATGTTTTATTTTGCTTTAATTCAGTTCGGTAGATGTTTTATATATGTCTACCACTTTTCAGGCATTCTACTTGAAATTACAGTGGATGAATGTAAAGATGAGTTTGATATTACCTCAGCCCAAGAAACGTTAAGTGATGAAATTAAAAGGCACGTGTAGACTTTCTGTCATAATCGCTAATAGGGACTGTGAAATAGAACTCCCAGTTCTTGTCATGTCCATTGCAGTGATTATAATAAGGTATTTGGGCTTTCATAGTGATGAAATAAGTGGTTGTGGGTTTGTATACGTATGTATACATAAATATGTATGCGTATGAGCCCAGAAGAAATGGAAACGAGACCAATGATTTAATTTGCATGAAAATTAGAACTGTCTGCCAAGAGCAAACATCTCTCTCACCCTTTTTCAAGAGAAAAAAAGGTCTTGTAGTTTGGCATGACTCAGTGGATGACCTCACACTGATTCTCCTTTAGTTATTGCTTGAATGCGTGGAGCCCTCAGTCCTAAGTGAGGCGGTCTGGGTGATGTTATGGCATTTCATTTGGGAAAGCGGCTGTCACTTCATCCTTAAGCCTCCTGTTTGCTGTGATGGTGGCAGAGCCACTCTCAGCACCACAGGAAGAGCCCCGGGGAATTCCTGAAGACACATTCTAGAGAATCCGGTACAAGTGTATGTAGGTTGGTCACCTTGATGCCTTATTTTCTCAGGCTTCTAGTAGAGATGCATGCCAGCAAAATGGAAAGGAACAGAGGGCGTTCTTGAAGTTTCCTAACTGGCGTATTTTCTCCTTCTCTTTTTCTAATAATTAAGTACAGGGGACTGAGAAGGCAGGGGTTGTTGTTATTTTTACATGGAATGGACCTAACCTAGCAGTCAGATGAGATTGTTGACGCGTAGCACAGTCTGTTATCTTTGGGCATCTGCCACCAAAGAGAGTGTACCCAAGAAGGGCTGTCGTGTGAGTGGGATGGGTTTCCATCTTTTGTTCTGTGCTCTTTCTGTGGAATCTCAGGCCTGCGTGTGCTCCCTCTGACCGTACCTTGACTCTTGATGAAGGATTTGCAGCCCTGAGAGGGAGCAGGCAGACCCAAATTAATTATTTCCATTTTTTTTGTGGCACTGTGGGACAATGGGAGAGAATACAGGCTTTGGAGCCAGCCAAATGTGTTTCAGATCCTAAATCCTCCACCTAAGGTATGCAGTCCTGATGGGTAAGTTATTTTAATTTGTTTGAACTGCCACTTAACTGAAAATGGGATTAATACCAGATATCACTTAAAATTAGTAAAAAATACAGTTGACCCTTGAACAATGCAGGCATTGGGGGCACCGACCCCCCATTCAGTTGAACATCTAACTTTTGACTTTGCAGAATTTAACTACTAATAGCCTACTGTTGACTGGAAGTCTTACTGATAGCATTAACAGTCAATAGCACATATTTTGTACATTATAGATATTAGATACTATATTCTTACAATATAGTAAACTAGAGCAAAGAAAATGTTACTGAGAAAACCGTAAGGAAGAGGAAATATATTTACTGTTCCTTAAATGGAAGTAAATCATCGGTGAAGGTCTTCATCCTTGTCATGTTAAAATTGAGTAGACTGAGGAGGAGGAAGAAGAGGAGGGGTTGGTCTTGCTGTCTCAGGCATGGTAGGGGTGGAAGAAAACTGTCATATAAGTAGACCAGCACAGTTCACACCCGTGTTGTTAAACGATCAACTGTATTTTATTAAGCTGTCTTTGAATAGCACCAAGTATCTTAGTGTATGAGAAGGCCTCTGAGAAGTTCCACAGTTAGGAAACATGGTGAACTTTTTTTTTTGGTGTGAGGGGCACAGAGTCTTGCTCTGTCACCCAGGCTAGAGTGCAGTGGTGTGATCTTGGCTCACTACAACTTCCACCTCCTGGGTTCAAGTGATTCTCCTGCCTCAGCCTCCCAGGTGGCTGGGACTACAGGCGTGTGCCACTACACCCATGTAATTTTTGTAGAGACGGGGTTTCGCCATGTTGGCCAGGCTGGTCTCGAACTCCTGACCTCAAGTGATCCTTGCATCTCAGCCTCCCAAAGTTTTGGGATTACAGGCATGAGCCATCACTACCAGCCGTGGTGAGCTTTGTTTAACCAAGCATTTTTCAAACTTATTGACTGAAGAATCTTTATGTGTGTGTGTATGTGTGTGCATATGTAAGAAGTAACATCCGCTGGAGCTGGTATTGTGCAGAAAATATGTTGAGAAATATAAAACAGATATCTGGCTTGTGTTCCTCTATATAGTCTTTTTTGACTGAGAATGCTTTATCCTTGTTGTTACGGATATTTTCACTTTGTTTATTTCTATTTTGGTCTGAATCATGAGTGTAGTTGATCCTTGAACAACATAGATTTGAACTGCTTGGGTCCACCTCGACGCCACCTGTGCATACGGAGGGCTGGCTCATCTCATATGCAGGTCCCGAGGGCCAACTTCAGGACTTTATGCATAGATTTTGGTGTGCTGGGGATGGGGGCCCTAGAACCCAACCCCCCATATATATACCGAGGGAGGACTGTCTATTTTTGTTTTTTACCTGTGAGGCCATCGCCACAATGAAGAGAGTATCCCCCAAAAGGCATATTTTTAATATAGTTGTAATTATAGCATTGCATAATCGTTTTCAGTAACATAGGTCTCATCTGTTGCTCTAGGTCTTAGTAAAATAAATCACTCTTGTTGAACCCTTCCTAGGCTCCAAAACTGGATGGGCCATTTAATATAATTTTAAATATTAAATTTAAATTTTCTTTCATTTATTAGAATTTTCAAAGGGTAATAATGTTATATATTTAGATTTTGATGACATGGAGACATCTGAGACTTGCTTAGTTTTAAAAAAGCAAAATTTATGTCATACAGCTCTTGTAAGGACTGAATAAAATAATGCATATAAAAATGCCTAAGACAGTGCTTGGCATGTAGTGGGCACTTACTAAACAATTTCCTTCCTTCCCTTGCTGGCTTCTTAACTACTCCCTGCCTTGTATACCCCCTGTGCTCCGTCCCAATTTCTGTTCAGATACTAGACAGATGGCTGTTGCTTTGGGATAGGTCAAAGGCTGTCAGGCGTGGAGGCAGGCAAATGACCCAGATCAGTGAACACCAGTCATTGTCTCAGAGCATTTTGTTTTGTTCAGCTCAGCTATTTGAATCATCTTGGATTTTCTCATTTGTTTAGAAAAAGGTTTCCCCAAAATTGGTGGTGTTGGGTTCCTGATAGCAAAATGTATCAACAAGTGGGCAGTCAGCATATGGAATTTGCCCAACTCTACAGGGAAACTTGCTTTAGGTATTTTAAAAGTTAACTTGTCAATGTCACTGTAGGACAGTTATATATCTACTGAGTTTACAAACAAAAGATTTTTTTTTGTTTTTTTTTTGAGACGGAGTCTTGCTCTGTTGCCCAGGCTAGAGTGCCTTGGTGCGATCTTGGCTCACTGCAACCTCTGCCTCCCGGGTTCAAGCGATTCTCCTGCCTTAGCCTCCTGAGTAGCTGAGACTACAGGCACCCGCCACCATGCCTGGCTAATTTTTATATATTTTTTGGTAGAGACGGGGTTTCACAATATTGGCCAGGCTGGTCTCGAGCTCCTGACCTTGTGATCCACCTGCCTGGGACTCCCAAAGTGCTGGGATTACAGGCGTTAGACACCGCGCCGGGCCTGAACTCATTTTTAATTAGAATTCTTATTATTTCAGTGGCTGAATGGAGGAAAAAAGAAAGGACCTAAGCCCAGAAAATTCACAGGTTTGTTTCAGGGTAGAAAAATTTGGCATATTTTGGCCTGGAAGATATCTCATTATGGAATCAGAAATCTGAAAGGGATATTAAATTAGGAGCAAACTTGTGCTGTGTTGGTTAACCACTGAAAGTTGCATTGGCAGTTTAGTAACTAAACAATAGGGCCACACGCGGAATTTATTGATGTCTCATGAACTTTCTGTTTAAATCTTTATTGCTTTGAATTGATAGGCTTCTTTTTTCCCTTCCACTTTGCTTAAGGGACTGAATCTGTTTTTGGCATTCTAAGACTCTTTTTAGAATTTGGCAGTGCCTCTCTAGGATGTTTTCTTCTGCACTGCCTCCAAAACAAAATTATGAACAGCCTGGCTCTTTCGGTATCTCTCCTCTTTTTTTTTTTTTTTTTTTTTTTTTTTTCACTTTCCTGATGTGAAAGTGTCAGGTTTTGAGCCAGTTTGAAAGATGAGAACTAGAATATATTTCTCTTTCTGATCTAGAGAATCCTAGTGGCTTCTAGGGCAGTGTATAAACAAAGCCCTGTGGCTGCAAGGTTTCCCGTGTGCAGCAATAAACTGATACATGCCGGTGACAGGAATCTGGCTCATGGGCTTGAAACCATCCATTAACTCATTAATTGACCAGACATCATGGGGGTCTGCTGAGTGCCATGGGGATGCTCTGTGCTGGGAAAGATGCAAAGATGAATAGGCTAGGAATAAAAGACCAATTTCATTTTTTAATGTGTCAGTATTTTTAATATTGAAATGTAGGACCTTGCAAGTAAAATACTATTAAGCTAATTTCCCAATTTAGAGTCTTTGAATTATTGTCTTGGATATTAAATATATTCAGTGTTTCCCACCAGTGGATCCCAAAGCCTCACCTGATATGTTTGGCAATTGTCAGGCCCTCTTTTTTATACTCCAGAGGAATTCCAACAGGAAATATGTACACACCATCCCTTACCTCCCTTGCTTCTTTTCTTTTCTGCGTCCTACTTTGTTTGATCTTGAAATACGGGGAAGTATCTTCTGGGCAAGTGCTGTTTCTGTGCCAGGCTGTGCAGGTCATGCTTGCCCCAGTGCCATGAGAAAGACACTCGAGTGAGCTCGGGACAGATCTCTCCAGCACTGTCCTGGCTTGACCCCACCTGACCAGTGACTCTTGTACCATGCCCAGCTCCTTTGGCTGCTGGAGCAAAAAGATCTAGGGAGTTTGTTTTCCAAATAAGGGCCCCAGATCTTACTTTCAGAGCTGTGCATGTGAGGAGTTCATGGGGAATCCCTCATCTCAGCAGACATGGGGAAGACCGTCTTCTAAACTGTAGTTCTGAAACAGGTAAACATTCAGTCCCCGCTCGCTTTCAAAGCACAAAAGTGAGGAGGCTTATTTGGCATTGAAATAACTGAGCATCTTTTCTCATCTGTGTTTCTGAATCTGTTATGGCCAGTGTTTTATAACCCCCTTCACATTACCTTGTCAGTAACTTGCTTCAGATGAAAATAACGGCAGAAAGCATAATTTTTTGTTTTTTTCTTTTTTGAGACGGCGTCTCACTCTGTTGCCGAAGCTGGAGTGCAGTGGCGTGATCTCGGCTCACTGCAACCTCAGCCTCCCAGGTTCAAGTGCTTCTCCTGTCTCAGCCTCCCAAGTAGCTGGGATTACAGGTGCCTGCCACCATGCCTGGCTAAATTTTGTATTTTTAGTAGAGAGTAGGTTTTGCCATGTTGGCCAGGCTGGTCTTGAACTTCTGACCTCAAGTAATCCACCCGCCTCGGCCTACCAAAGCGCCAGGATTACAGGTGTGAGCCACCGTGCCTGGCTGAAAACACTGTAGCGAGTTCATGAATCAGGATTAAAGAATCTGTGGGATATATAGAATGATAGAATAAATTCTATAATGTCCATTTTCATTGTGCAGGATGGAGACATTAGTGTGCATCTCAGTTAGGATTTAATTGCTCCTTCCCTGTGTTCTTGAAAGCGCTTGGAAAGCGCCTCCAATCCTCCATCGTATGATTCTAGTTCAGGTCTGGCTCTTTCACCAGACAATGAGCTCCTGTGGTAAGATGCCATGTCTTAATTCATCTGTTTTCCGCTTGTCCTAATACAATGTTAAGATTGCCAGATAAAATACAGGATGTCGGCTGAGTGTGGTGGCTCACGCCTGTGATCCCAGCACTTTGGGAGGCCGAGGCGGGTGGATCCCCTGAGCCCAGGAGTTCGAGACCAGCCTGGGCGACATGGCGAGACCTCTCTCAACAAGAAATAAAAAATAATTTTGGTATGCTGGGGGTGGGGGCCCTAGAACCAAACCCCCCATATATACTGAGGGAGGACCACGACTGTGGTCCCAGCTTCTTGACAGGCTGAGATGGGAGAATCACTTGAGCCCAGGAGATGGAGGCTGCAGTGAGCTGTGATAGTATCACTGCACTCCAGCGTGGGGTATAGAGTGAGATCCTGTATCAAAAACAAAGAAACAAACAAACAAAACCCCAAAAACCCAAAACCAAAAAAACAGGATAGCCAGTTAAATTTGAATTTCAGATAAACAATAAAGTGTTGCTTATGGGTGGGTCTCATGTATACATCTATTCTTACATCTGAATTTCACGTAAGCAACGAATAATTTTTAGTGTAAATATGTTCCATGTGATGTTCTGATTTAGTCATAATACATATTTTTTTCTTTCTTCCTTTTTTTTTTTTTGAGACAAAGTCCCCCTCTGTCATCCAGGCTGGAGTGCAGTGGTGCAATCTTGGCTCACTGCAACCTCCACCTCCAAGGTTCAAGCAATTCTCATACCTCGGCCTCCTGAGTTGCTGGGACTAGAGGCATGCACCACCTCACCTGGCTAATTTTTTTTTTTTTTTGAGACAGAGTCTCGCTCTGTTGCCCAGGCTGGAGTGCAGTGGTGCGATCTCAGCTCACTGCAAGTACGGCCTCCCGGGTTCACTCCATTATCCTGCCTCAGCCTCCGGAGTAGCTGGGACTGTAGGCGCCCACCACCAAGCCTGGCTGATTTTTTGTATTTTTAGTAGAGACGGGGTTTCACTGTGTTAGCCAGGATGGTCTTGATCTCCTGACCTCTTCTTGACCTCCCAAAGTGCTGGGATTACAGGCGTGAGCCACTGCACCTGGCCTAATTTTTATGTTTTTAGTAGACACGGGGTTTCACCATGTTGGCCAGGCTGGTCTTGAACTCCTGACCTCAAGTCATCCTGCCACCTTGGCCTCCTAGAGTGCTGGGATTACAGCTGTGAGCCACCACACCCAGCGTATATTTTTGTTTTGTAAATTGGGCAACCTTATACAATGCCCATGACTTACAAAGGATTTTTTGCTCCTAAATCAGTGTAATTTAATAATGTGAACACAACTAAGACAAATCAAGGTGTTCATGGAGTTGGTTGGTGTCTTTTATGGAATGCAACATGGGAATTGGAAATAGTAATTATCCACCTTCACCAGTGTGTTAGTGAGTATGGACCATTTAACCTACAACAGTTGGATAACCTTGACAATAGAAATAGGTAGCTAAGCCAGGGGTGGTGGCTCCTAGTACTTTGGGAGGCCGAAGTAGGGGGATCACTTGAGGTCAGGAGTTCGAGACTAGCCTGCCCAACATAGTGAAACCCTGTCTCTACTAAAAACACAAAATTTGCCAGGAGTGGTGGCGCATAGCTGTAATCTCAGCTACTCAGGAGGCTGAGACAGGAGAATCGCTTGAACCCTGGAGGCGGAGTTTGCAGTGAGCTGAGATTGCGCCATTGCACTCCAGCCTGGGCGACAGAACAAGACTCCATCTCAAATATATATACGTAGCTAGGACCTGACCTAATGGTTGTACCCACACTGTTTGCCTTGTACGTGCCAGGCACTAGCAATCTAAGTTGTGTGTGGTTTTTTTTTTTTTTTTTTTTTTTTTTAAGAATGAGCAGACACCTTGTGCGATTGTCCAGGTTAACTAACAAAAATAGTTGTCTGGGTTTATGGAACTGTAATTACGAGTCAGATCCTGGTTCCCTTCCGCTTTCTCTGCTATTTCTGGTTGCTCCTTTTTATTCCCAAAAGGTAGAAAGGGGCAGGTAGGACAGGAGCTTGCCGCCTGTTGAACTAGAGGGAGTAGCTTCCGAGCAAACTGTGACAAAATGGGGTATTTTAAGCCTCCATTTTTTTTGGGGGGTATGTGAGTGTGTGTGTGAGTCGGTGTATATGTACACAGTGCAAGTAAATAAGCCTGAGTGGGTGGCAAGAGCCTTGTTTGTGTAGTAGGAGAAATGGAGCCTGCAGGGGCATAGTCGGGGTCTTGAGAGCAGACACACGGACTGAGCCAGGCAGTTGCTGCTGAGAACAGAATCAGGACCTCCTGCTTCCTTTGGGTGATATTGGGTTTTTTAGGCCACCTTCCCAGCCACAAAGTAGGACTCTGAAATACATCCGGGTATAAATGTTCTTATGGAAATGCAATCACTTCTGACTTTAAGTATGTAGAAGTGAGGGCTCATACCCTTCTCCCAGAATGTAAATTTGACTCATCGGGGCTAACAACAATGATAGCCTAATATAAGAAACTGTTTACCGGACTCTGTTCTGATGTCAGCCAAGCTAGAGCTTTGCATGGTGGGATGCTTTCTCTTGGCTGTGCCCTATTAGGGAAGGCAAAAATAGAAAGCTTTTTCTCTGGACTTCAGAACGGAATTAATGCATGGTTATTAAAAGCATCAATGGCAAATGGCCATGGAAGTCAGAATCTCAGCCTTAATGAAGGGCGATGGTGTCCACAGAACCAATTATTTTGCAAAGAAATAAAATAATAAAATCCTCCCATTGGTTTTAGAGTGGCTGAAACCAGCAGGCACCAGGTCTAAACCCTCTTGTGGGTGTGTGTGTTTGTGTGTATGTGTGTGTGTGTGTGTGTGTGTTTGAGAGAGGGTCTCGCTTTGTTGCTTACGCTGGAGTGGCGTGATCTCAGTTCACTGCAGCCTCCGCCTCCCAGGTTCAAGCGATTCTCTTGCCTCAGCCTCCCAAGTAGCTGGGATTACAGGTGCATGCCACCACACCCAGCTAATTTTTGTATTTTTAGTAGAGATGAGGTTTCACCATGTTGCACAGGCTGGTCTCGAATTCCTGACCTCAAGTGATCTGCCCGCCTCGGCTTCCCAAATGTGATTACAGGTGTGAGTCACCGCACCTGGACATTGTGGTATGTTTTAAGTACTCACGCTAATGACATTTATACCTTGCTTGGCACTCCTGAAACCTCAGCTCTCTGGAGGACAGAATATCTGCTAAGGGTGCGACTCCCATGGTGCTGGAGAGGGGTCTCCTTCGAATGGAAGCCGGCATTCCACCACCCACTCCCTATGTATCCAAAACTGGGCTTGGCATCGCTGTTCCTGAGGGAGCGCTCTGTCCTTATTAGGGATCCGCCTGGTGACCTCAGATTTACACTTAAGCTTCAACTTTGTTGAGGGAAAACATTTTTTCTCTGTCACCAAGAGAATGGAGAACACTGTGATCGCTTTTCAAGTCTCACCTGCCAGGAAATCTTTATTTTGCGGGGGGCATCACAACTTCCTCTTTTTCCATGTACCTTAGTTTACTATTACTTTAAGTGTTTTGGTTGGATTAACTTCCTGTATTTGTTCTTATTTTAAATACATTCTTTAGTTAAAGTGTTACTCAGTGAATGGAAAGAGAAAAACAAGGCAAGAGGAAGGGGTATAATATGAAAGAATAGAGTTTTGTTTCCAGTTTTGTTTTGCAACAGTAGATAAGAACTGTAAACTTTCTAGTCCCTGGTTTTTTAATAGTATATGGAAACACGATTTTGTTGTACTACATGGTAGGATGAATTTAATTAAGCTGCCAAGCAAACTTGTTGATTTAGATAACAACTCCACACGTAGAGTTTGAAGAGCCTGTTTTGTGGTATCTAGACCTCACTTTTAAGAGTATTTCCCTGAACCTGTCCATGCATTTCTGAGACGTTTGTGTGCTGACTGTTTGTTTTATGTTTGTGCAAAGCCTAGTGTCCTACTGACTTGTAGGGACTCATTGAAATGGCAGAAACTGTGTGCATTTTAAGTGCTGGAGGAATGCTAAATATTAATATTTGGGATCAACCACAAAATATAGTTTCTATTTATAAGACACCCAAGACTAAATAAACTGTAGGACAAATGAAGTGTGCACATTCTTTTTGGTAACATTCAGCATCCTGAAAACCACCAAGGGTTAGGAAAAAGAGAAAAATGTATTTTTCATCTTCTGTAATTCATCTAGCCTTGGGATTTTCTCCTAACCTCTTGAGGCACGCTTATATACGTGACCCTATGTAAGACTTTTGGGTGATAAAGTCGAGGAGATTCACTAAGGAGGAACAGAGCAGGTGTAGTGCCCAGGGTGGTAAAACCACAGATGGAGCTATGGGGTGAATATGGAACCTGCTAGCTGGAGATGGGGAAAGAGAAGAGATCGCTGAGATTACGTGAGTGTTGAAGGGTTAGATGAATTGGTGTGTAGCGGGTGCTGACCTGATCTTTCTGGGTGTTCTGATTTTTTTTTTTTTTTTTTTTTTTTGAGACGGAGTTTCACTCCTGTTGCCCAGGCACGATCGCCACTCACTGTAACCTTCGCCTCCTGGATTCAAGCGATTCTCCTGCTTCAGCCTCCTGATTATAGGTGTGCGCCACCAAGCGAGGCTAATTTTGGGGTTTTTAGTAGAGACAGGGTTTTGCCATGTTGGCCAGGCTGGTCTCCTGACCTTAGTGATCCACCTGGCTTGGCCTCCCAAAGTGCTGAAATTACAGGCGTGAGCTACCGCACCCGACCCTGGGTGTTCTGATTTTATATTTACTAATAAACTCTGTGGCTTTGGACATTTCAGAGGCTCTGGTTCTATCTCCTAATCTTTAAAATGAGAAGCTGGATGAAATGATCTCTAAAGTCTGTTCCAATTTAAAAATTCTGTCGTTTGCTAGGAAAATATTAGCACCACAGTCTATCTCTCTAATATGGGAAGTTTTTTCAGATTGGGTATCAGTGCTATTAAACATTTAATAAAAAGTGGGAAATTATTAGTGTGTATTGTCACAGACATGTTAAGCTATTTGCATTTTAATGAATGAAAGAGAACTTTAACTGTTAACATTTACCAAGGGGTGTAGCTGAGAGTTAATAGTTTACAAGGGGTGTAGGTGAGAGTTAATGGTTTATAAATGTTAACTAGTTTAATAGCTGTTAGTTGCCTCGGGATTTAAAGGTATACACACTGATTTTTGGTTTTGGTAGCCTCAAACCTAGTCAAGAATCATACAAAATTATCTTCATTAGAACAAGCATAGTATTAGCCATCAGTGCTATGTAAGGTAAAGATTTCAAACTCTCTCTGAGGCTTCATTAAATTCCTTTGCTTTCCTGAAAGTTTCTACCATCCTGAGAAAGTCTAGCAGCTTCTTCAGAGACCTGGTTGCTTTCTGTCTCAGAATATTTAAAGGAAAGTACATTTTCTTAAAATGGAGTTTTCCCTGGGTCATACCAGGCAATTAGGGCTTTGAGCCATGAACCGTCTTCAGGATTTGGTTCCCTCTGAGAGAAAGGGAAAGGAGATAACTTTTGCCCTTGCTAGAAAGTAAAGCTTATCTACCCTTACCTGTTTGAAGTTTAGACAAATAGTTTATTTATACAAAAGCATAGTTTCCCTTGACCACAATGAAGTGTCCACTTGGACTGCTCATTTCTTGACCAGGAGACACAAAATGCATTTTCAGCCCAGGGGAGGCTCTTTGGGGCCACAGTTGGACTGAACAGGACCGCAGCTGTGAAGGTCTAATTTGCAACTGGCAAATATCTTTATAATAACCCCACGTTTCTTACTGACACAGAATACACACACGTGTAAGTGCACACACATTATGCACATGTGGGGTGGTGAAGGCAGAAAATCAGTGAACTGAAATTACTTGCTGCAAGTATTACTTTCTGCAAGGCTTTCAGAATTACTTGCTACAAGGCTGGGTGCGGTGGCTCACACTTGTAATCCCAGCACTTCAGGAGGCTGAGGCAGGCAGGCCACTTGAGGCCAGGAGTTCAAGAGCAGCCTGAACAACATGGCAAAACCCTGTCTCTATTAAAAATACAAAAATTAGCTGGGCATGGTGGCTCACGCCTGTAGTCCCAGCTACTCGGGAGGCTAAGGCAGGAGAATCGCTTGAACACGGGAGGCAGAGGTTGCAGTGAGCTGAGATCGTGCCATTGCTCTTCAGCCTGGGCAACAGAGCTAGACTCTATGTCTCCAAAAAAAAAAAAAAAAAAAAAAAAAAAAAAAAAGGTAAAAAGGAATTAATTGCTGCAGAGCTGTTCTTTGCATTGTGTACCTTTACCCTGCTAGTGGGAGGAAGTGGTCAATTCCATCATGTAGCAATTTAAGAAAAAAGTAAGTATAATAGTGTTTTGAATTCAGAAGTAAATCCCTCTTCCTACCTTCAGAAGAAAAAAGGTAACTTGATTTAACCAGTTTTTAAAAACACCAGCTTTGAGAACGGAAACCGACTTCGCACTGTTTGATTAAATTGGTTCTGTGGCTATTTAATTCATTTGTGTTAAGTAGCCTGTGGGCCGACTGCTTGCCATAGCAGTCTGTGTTTTTCATTTGTTTGCTTTAAAAAACACGTCCTAATGTAAGGACCAAAATCTTTGTCCATTCTCTATTGAGTACTCAATTTATGGTTTAAAAATAACTACCTCTTGCGAGATCTGATTGTTTAAAAAAAATTAATAACTGCCCAGCTCCGTTAGTAGTAAAAGGGCTTGTCTTTATCTCATGAAGTATTTTAATTCAATTTCCAGTTAAATGATCAGGGGTTTTTGAGTTCTGCCTGAGCCGTTTGCCCTTTACGTGTGTCTCTTTATGTTAATGGCTTTCACTTTTATTCCTTTGCCTGCAGTGGAGAGGAAAATGAAGTGGGATGGCATGGCTTCTTTTTTTTTTTTTTTTTCTTCCTCTTTAGGCCTGACTGGCCCTTTTTAAAATGGAAAGTAGAGGCACTCCCTCCAAATGGCTAACACGGGTTCAGCGGTGTGTAAATTGGAGTCATAATCCCTTCTTTGAAGACTAGGAGGAGGCTATTATGATAAATGTTGGAGAAATGATTAAAGAGATGAGAACAGCAGGATGCAGATGGCAACTGCAAACCCTGTGGTGTCAGGTGGAACACTCTGGGAGCTCGGCTAAAAGGGACAGAGAAGCAAAGGGACTAGCCAGTGCAGCCCTGGGCGGGCTGGGTGGAAAGCAGCCGTCCCAGATGATTGTCCCAGCAGTTCAGTTGCAACCCAGTGTCTAGGCTGTGCTTTGTTTTTTCTCACCTTTTATCCTAGGATGGGGAAAATATCCCCTAACAGGGAAGGATGTTTGGATAGTGTTTTTAATGTTACATGTGTGCATCACAGCAAGTATACTGCCTCTTTCAATATTTACAAATCTTTTTTTAAAGCATAACTGTGGTGTGAAATTGAGGTTGTTCAGCAACATGGGCTATACCAGATATTGATTAGACTAAGCTGAGCATCCCTTAATGAATGAATTGACTTTAAACACCTGCTGTCTGAAGCGGTTGGGAATAGAAACTCTCCTATCACTGTTGATGATAAAATGGAATTTTAGTTCATACACATTTTCTGAAGGTCCAGAGTGTGCAGGGAATTTACTGCAAAATTGTTTTATACGTCTGTCATGAGATGTCTTCATCAGGTAGTTAGTAAATGACAATTCTAAGCATAGGGCTCTTTTTATTTCTTAGTATATAACCACCAGCTGTCTTATCAATAATGAATTTCCATTCTGTCTTTTGTCAAGTAGATCCTGCCTGCTTCTGAGTAGATCCTTTCTGCTTCTTTGTTTCTTAAGATATTTCTGGCCGGGCGTGGTGACTCACACCTGTCATCTTAACACTTTGACAGGCCAAGGCAGGTGCATCACCTGAGGTCAGGAGTTTGAGACCAGCCTGGCCAACATGGTGAAACCCCGTCTCTACTAAAAATACAAAAATTAGCTGGGTGCGGTGGCACATTCCTCTAATCCCAGCTACTCAGGAGACTGAGGCAGGAGAATCACTTCAACCTGGGAGGTGGAGGTTGCAGTGAGCCCACATCAAGCCATTGTACTCCAGCCTGGATGACAAGAGCAAAACTCTGTCTCAAAAGAAAAAAAACAAAAAATATTTCTAACTAGCGAGTATACACAAGTACCTGTGTCTCCAGTCTTCCTGCCAATTACGAAAAATATCATTGGTGTTAGCCTCATTTTGGTGATTCCTCTGAAAAATCTAAGACAATTGTTTTTCTGAGTGTGTTTGGAGGAGGGATGTTGGAATTCACTCATTCATTTATTCATCCATTCAACAAATATTTATTGTGTCTGGCATATAGTAGATGCATAATAAGTTTATTCCTTCATTCTGCAAGCATTTGTTGAATGCAGTGTATCAAAGGTCATCGTAGACACTGCACAAAGTCATTGTTTTTATGGGTTTTACATACTTGTGATGAGAGACAGAATGATGGGCGGGGTGGGTCGCTGCTATTTTAAATAAAGCAGCCAAGGAAAACCTGTCTAGGAGGGCTAATTCAGCAGAACCTTGAATGAAGTAAGGGAATGAGCAATCTTATTATGTGAGGGAAGAGCATTTGAGGCAGGGAGAACAAGTGCAGAGGCCCCGAGACAGCTGTGTTCTTGGTTTGTTTGAGGCACAACAGGAAGGCTGCAAGCAGGGGAAGAAGGAGAAAAGAGATCAGAGAGGTGCCAGCAGCAGAGGGGAGATTCTGTGAGGCTTGGGAACTTTGAGCTGAGAACATTTTAAATGAACTAGTTTTAAAAGGTCCTGGAGAGTGTGTGGTGAATAGGTAAGGGTGAAGGCAGGGAGGTAAGGCAGGAGACTTTTGCAGTAGTTTGGGCAAGGAACACTGATACCTTGGACTTGCATAGTAGCAGTGGAGCTGGTGACCAGTGGTCATTTTCTTCTCCTTCTCCTTCTCCTCCTCCCCCTCCTCCCCCTCCTCCCCCTCCTACTCCTCCTTCTCCTCCTTCCCCTCCTCCTTCTTATCCTCCTCCCCCTCCTCCTCCTTCCCCCCCCCGCTTTTTTTTGGAGACAGAGTCTCGCTCTGTCGCTCAGGCTGGAGTGCAGTGGCATGTTCTCAGCTCACTGCAGCCTCCACCTCCCAGGTTCGAGCGATTCTCCTGCCTCAGCTTCCTGAGTAGCTGGGATTACAGATGCGTGCCACCATGTCCAGCTAATTTTTGTGTTTTTAGTAGAGACAGGGTTTCGCCATGTTGTCCAGGCTGGTCTCAACCTCCTGACCTCAAGTGATCCGCCTGCCTTGGCCTCCCAAACTGCTGGGAATACAGGTGTTAGCCACTGTGCCAGGCCCATTTTCTAGATCTGTTTGGAGGATCGAGTTGAAGGGGTTGTTGATGGATTTGTTCTGGGTTTTGAGAGAAAGAGGTAAAGACAAAGGTTTTTGGCCTGACAACCAGAAAGATGGAGTTGCTATTTATTGAACTGGGAAAGCTAGGGAGAGGAGCAGATTTTGTGGGGAAAATTAAAATTGGGTGTGGGACCCATTTAGTTTTTTGCTGTGGTTGTTATGAAAAGCTATTATTGTCTCATTCAGTCTTCTCTATGCTTTTCTATAGGGATAAGTGTGCTTTTGTTAACAAATCTCAGAGTATAACACTAAGCTTAAGATAGGGAAATATTAAGTCAAAAAAAGGAAAATTCAGGATAAAGACTAGAAAAGACCACTGAGGAAGAAGCATTCCCCGGAGCCTGCCATGGGCCCCCCAGCAGGAGGGTCTTGTCAAAGGCCATTTAATGAAATTATAAGTGTCTCATTGAGAACCTGTTTCCGGCAGCCTCACAGATGCCACTCATAATCTTCTGCTCCTGGGTCTGCCGCTAGATAAGCGTGCACCCAGGCTTGGGTTTCACTACCCGGTATGCTCTGTGATATGCTAATATTACTGAAAAGGAATATGATTTTCTGCTGCTTCACAGATACATCAATTGTAATCTTGCCAATATTGGTATTGATGATGAAAGCACCTTTTTAAAAAAGTTTTTAAGTGTCTATAGGACTGTTTCTGACTTTTATGTGAACTAACCTAGAAAACTACCATTATTTGTTCAGCTGATTAAATCTGAAAAAGAATGGCAGTTGAAGCAGAACATAAAAAATCCACTTGATTTTATCCTCTTTGCATATGAATGACAGAGGGTCAGTTTAAATTTCTGTTCGTAACTCTAAAGGGAAAAACACATGTGCATTCAGAATACTGAGGGTAGTTGTATCTTAATCCATTTTATAGGTCTTCTTAGTTTTCCTCTTACTCCAACAAAAATGAATTCTTTTCTTCTTCTTCTTCTTTTGTTGCTCTTGTTCTTATCTTCATCCAAGGATTGCTTTGTCATGCAGATAGTTTTGGGCCTTCTTCTTGAAAATACAGCAACAACCTCACTGACCAGTATTAGAACTTAAATTTGCTTATTTGGCCAGTGGTTATGGCCTCTGTGCCAGACACTGTTTTGATGTAGTAGTAGTGCCAGGTAACACCCCTCCTCTCTAGGAGTTGAAAATCAAGTTGGGGAAGAGGAATGGTCAGTAATCCAATATGCCAATTATAATTTAAGCTTTGAGAAGATGTAAGAGAGGTTCAGGGGATAGAGTGTGATGGGTGGTGCATGAGAGATGGTCTGAGAAGGAGGCATCTGAAGCAGAGAGCTGACCTTGCGGAGCTTCCCGTTTATGCCCGAGAAGGTGGACAGAAGCCAGCCCTGCCTCTGCAGAATTAGAGCACGCCAGTTGTGTCATTTTTAGATCTTTTCAGATAAGAAGCTGGTGCAAGAGTCATGCTAACTTTAAACAATGACAGGTGTGCTGTGTATATGCCTAGGCTTATTTGTATTTTGGTAAACAAGACTGGCTAAGTGTGAATAGAGTCATGTTTTGAAGAAGTCTGGACTATTTCCTAAAATGAGCAAATGACACATTTGAAGCCTGCATCTGGTGAGACTACCTGTGAGTCATTTTTCCCATTTTAAAGAGAAATAGTAATATTGAGACAATGATTAACTGACTTAGAATCATACAGTTTTTAGGGCTCCTATGGAAGGACCTTTGGAGACAACGTTGGTTGATTTTTCCTGTTTCTTTGGATGACAAAGCTGAGCCTGAGAAACTGCCCACAGTTCTCTTGCTAGGTTAGTAGTAGAAGGGCTGACACTGCATTCTGGGCTTGCTGACTTCAGAGTTCTTTCTTCTCCATCTGTCATTCTTTTCAAAAGGATTAGAATTTGCGTTTCTGTGCCTTTCAGCATGACACCCATGTAGGTAGAGTCCCAGAGAACAGTGGATTGTTAATTACTTAAATTGATCCCACAATCCCTTATAAAATAAGATTCTGCTATTTTTTAATATTTTGTCCTCTTTAGGCAGGTAATACTGCTTTGGTTAATGATAAAACAGAGGTAATTAATTCTTCAATTTCTACCTTTCCATTTTTGGACCTTAGCGTAAAAGTTAAATTTAAGAGAAATGTGACTCCTTTTCCAGCCTGTAAGATAGGGATGAGTTCGCTGATGTTTATGGGAGCAGGTGCAGGGTGACGTGTGGGGAGAAATGAGCCTCTGCCCTCTCTTCTGACCTGCTTCTTCCACACCGGACCTGCTCACCTTTCACTTTCTTCTTTTTCTCTCCCAAACAGACCCCGCTCCCTGCTTTCTCTCTCACTTTCTTTTTATTTATGTGTTTATTTATTTTTGAAACGGAGTCCCACTCTTTAGCCCAGGCTGGCATGCAGTGGCATGATCACCACTCGCTACGGCCTTAACCTCCTGGGCTCAATCCATCCTCCTGCTTCAGCATCCTGAGTAGCTGGGACTAAAGGTGCACAACACCGTATCTGAGTTTCTTTATTTTTTGTAGAGATGGGGTCTTGAAATGTTGCCTAGGCTGGTCTCGAACTCCTGGCCTCAAGTGATTTGCCCACCTGAGCCTCCCGAAATGTTGGGATTACAGGTGTGAGTCACAGCACCTGGCCCTCTTTCGCTTTCTTTTTTTTTTTTTGAGACGGAGTCTCGCTCTGTCGCCCAGGCGGGACTGCGGACTGCAGTGGCGCAATCTCGGCTCACTGCAAGCTCCGCTTCCGGGGTTCACGCCATTCTCCTGCCTCAGCCTCCCGAGTAGCTGGGACTACAGGCGCCCGCCACCGCGCCCGGCTAATTTTTTTTTTGTATTTTTAGTAGAGACCGGGTTTCACCTTGTTAGCCAGGATGGTCTCGATCTCCTGACCTCATGATCCACCCGCCTCGGCCTCCCAAAGTGCTGGGATTACAGGCGTGAGCCACCGCGCCCGGCCTCTTTCGCTTTCTTAGATGCTAACCAGATACTACTCTTTTGTTTTTCTGTTAATTCAAACCATGCTAATTTGTAAATGCAGATTGCAAAGGCCCAAGTGAGAAATTGGAGAGATCACAGGGAGCACTATGAGCATCCGTCCTGTGTCCTGCAGCATCAGGTGGGAAGGAAGAGGAGGCAGTGTCTGGGATTTCTCATGATGGTGCATGGGTTACTAGGATTAGGGCATTGCTTCTCTAGCTTTAACGTGCTGTCCGATCACCTGGGCACCTTGCTCAAAATGGATGATGCTGAGTCCAGAGATTGGGGCAGGGGCTGAGGTTCTCCTTTCCTTACCAGCTCCTGGGTGATGCCGGTGCTGCTGGTGCAGACCACACTTGATAGCAAGGCTGTACGGATGAGGCTTCTAGTGCGATTTACACGTGCGTCCTGTGTCACTTTGATGTTGTGAGTTACTGTGTACCGAGGAAATGTTAGCATTCAAAATCAGACGTGGGGTCGGGCATGGTGGCTCACGCCTATTACAATCCCAGCACTTTGGGAGGCTGAGGTGGGTGGATCTCCTGAAGTCAGGAGTTCGAGATCAGCCTGGTGAACGTGGTGAAACCCTGTCTCTACTAAAAATACAAAAATTAGCTGGGCTTGGTGGTGGGTGCCTGTAATCCTAGCTACTCAGGAGGCTGAGGCAGGAGAATCGCTTGAACCTGGGAGGCAGAGGTTGCAGTGAGCCGAGGTTGAGCCACCGCACTCCAGCCTGGGCAACAGAGCGAAATTCCGTTTCAAAAAAAAAAAGAAAAGAAAATCAGACCTGTGAAGTTACAGTTTCTCCGGAAGAAGGTAGGGTGGGTCGTGCTGCTTCTTTCAGGACTTCCCTTGAAAACCTGCAGCAGGCTGTCCGGTTACTAAGATGATTATAAAGGCGCAGCCTTGTTGGCACTCAGCCTCCCACATTGCTTGGCTCATTCTTTCACCGTAGAGAAACACCGGCTCTGATTATTTTTAACTGCATGCCTTGCTGAGACTGAGTAGGGGTTTTTATTTCTGGAGCTAATGCAGAACACACATCCCTCTTTCTTTAAATGCAGAAAATCTCACATAAGGTTGCCAAAGTAGGATGGCATATTTCCTAAAATTCTGCAGCAACATAAGGGTGGCTTATTCTGGGATACGAACAGGAAGATCAAGTCTTTTTGGTTCAACCCAAACTCTCGTACCCGTGGGGTGTGGCCCATGTGGGGTCTGGAAGGCTTCGTGGAGCAGGGAAGAGTATAACCAGGGGCTGGCTTCTTATTCCTGTTCAGTCTCTCTGCAGCCTGGAAGGAGCTACTTAACTTCCTTTTGGCCTTACCATTGCCATTTTTGAAATAAAAGTCCTCCACTCGACTGTCTGACCGAGTGATTGTCAGCTCACAAGGCCTCTTACATTCAGCATGTTTGCTTGAGGGGAATGAGTGAGTGTTTTACATGTGGTGGATCCATTCCCAGCAAACAACAAAAAGAAGTCTTTTTTTTTTTTTGAGACGAAGTCTTGATCTGTCGCCCAGGCTGTAGTGCAGTGGTGCATTCCCGGCTCACTCTGCCTCCTGGGTTCAAGCGATTCTCCTGCCTCAGCCTCCCGAGTAGCTGGGATTACAGGCGTGCGCCACCACGCCCAGCTCATTTTTGTATTTTTAGTAGAGATGGGGTTTCACTATGTTGGCCAGGCTGGTCTTAAACTCATGACCGCAGGTGATCCGCCTGCCTCGGCCTCCCAAAGTGCTAGGATTACGGTTGTGAGCCACCACGCCCGACCCAAAAAGAAGTCTTGAAGTACAGCCCGCCATCGGTATTTTTAGCACATGAAGAATATCTTAAGGAATATGCGAAGGAGATGTTACATAGGTAGCTTGACCTTTATTAAGGCACTTGGTAATTGCCCTACATTTTATTATTTTTTACTTATTTAAGGTTAAATGAAGACATTTAAAATATTACATGTGATGGGGCTTATAGTTTTACATACAATGTCATAGTTTGTGTGCCTTGTTTAAAACAAATCCAATATGAGAATATGCTCTTGTGTAAGAAGTGTATCATTTTACTAAAGGATTTATAAGATATTTGAATCAGGAATCCTGTAGTACTTTAAAAAGTGGTACCTTCTACACCATCTTTTTAGGAGCATGTTTATCACACAAGGCAAGGCAAATCACTAGGTTAGGCATCCAGTACATAGAATTCGACTAGAAGTGTAGTGAGGTGTGAGATTTAGGGGGACAGGGATTCTAAGAACCAACGGCATCTAACTAATGGACTTGTTCCTAAAGGAATGTTGAAGAAGTGATCATCCATCTTAAAAGATTGTGCCTTCAGAAGAACTGAAGGATACTTTTGCTTTCGTGTACAGTGTGCCGAGTTTGATGGTATGTCATTACCGGGTCGGGTCCATGAATGACCGGCACCATCATGGCTGCCAAGTCCTTGAGATTTGAACAAGATGTTCCAGATGGTAATGAACCATTCTTTTTTTTTTTTTTTTTTTTTTGTATTGAGATGGAGTCTCACTCTGTGGCCCAGGCTAGAGTGCAGTGGCACAATCTCGGCTCACTGCAAGCTCCGTCTCCCAGGTTCAAGTGATTCTCATGCCTCAGCCTCCTGAGTAGCTGGGACGACAGGTGTGTGCCACCATACCTGGCTAATTTTTGTATTTTTAGTAGACACAGGGTTTTGCCATGTTGGCCAGGCTAGCCTGAAACTCCTGACCTCAAGTGATCTGCCCGCTTCGGCCTCCCAAAGTGCTGAGATTACAGGCGTGAGTCACTGTGCCCGGCCAGTAATGAGCATTTTGTTGCGTCCCTGGAGTCTTCCTAATAATGAGGTAGTGGCAGTGGGGTTGGAACAGTAGGTGCTTGGATATGTCTTTTGATGGATAACAATTCCTTAAAAACATTGAGTTACACTGTACAAACATATATGTGTATATATACGTATATGTATATCCATTTACTAGAATTAAGAGAATGCATTCAAATACTAGTGGGTTTGTATCTTTTTTTTCTTTTTCCTCCAATTATTGTGTTTATCTTGACTTGCTATTAAAGCTCTGGAAATACTCATCTGAGACAGTCCAGGCATGGTAGGTTCTGGATCTTCCACTGTAATACTATGTGAAATGAGATATTCTTTGTTTCTTAGAAACAGGTGGATTCAGCCAGGTGACCGTTACTCTTTGGGCTCGTGTTACAAGGATATCATGATGGTGTTTCATTGATATATGTAATCAATAATATATTACGTTATTTCAGCCAGACCTAGGAATAAATAATACTGCTCTCTTTTATTGAGAGTGGCTTGGTGATTTTCAAAGTTTGTTTATATGCCATCATCAGATCTGCAGAGCAAGCTTATGAGATGAGGAAGGCATGGATTGGTGGACATAAGAAATGGAGGGTTAAGGCAAGTGGTTACTTACCCACAGTCACTAATTTCATAATTGGTAGATTTGGGACCAGAACTAGGATATCTCATTTCCAGCCTAGTGTTCTTTCTGTGATATTTGTTAAAGGGGCCATCTGGTTAAAAGGATAGTCTGGCTCTTTAATGATGATAGCTTTCAAATATATAACACTTTACAGTTTGACAGGCTTTTACATAGATAGCACATTTTCTTCACAAAAAGACAAATAATGGCTTTACATATGTTGGATGAAGATGTGGAGAAATTAGAGTCTTTGCATACTGTTGAGAAGAAAAAAAAACTTTATTTTTCTCTTTCTCAGTCAGTTTTTGCAGCAAGTCTTTTATAGTCCTTATTTTTTTTTTAATTCTCTCTTCCCCAGGTTTAATTTTCTTAAGAGGCAGATTTATAATACTAAGTAATATCCAGAATAGATAGTTCCTGCAGGAAATGGGTTTATTGTTCTCATAAATTTTAGTGGTCTAGTTTGTCAATATTACTGTCATTTCTTAATAGCATTTGTCTTTCTGAGTAGTAACTTGTACTTGAATTAAAATCTTTCACATGTATAGAGTGGAGCAAAGAGACCCTGCATATATTATAAAATGGTACATGCCTTTGCTTAGTTGTCATTGTGTTAGATCAGAGAAAGAGAAAGTCCTTTAAAATATGAAAATAACTGGTACTCAGGAAGGGAGAAGAGAAGCTTGAAGGTACGTGGATTTTTTTTTTTTTTTTTGAGGCAGGGTCTCGCCCTGTTGCTCAGTCTGGAGTGCAGTGGTGCAGTCTCGACTCACTACAACCTCTGCCTCCCAGTTCAACCGATTCTCCTGCCTCACCCTCCTGAGTAGCTGGAATTACAGGCACCCGCCTCCATGCCCAGCTAATTTTTGTATTTTTAGTAGAGACACGGTTTTGCCATGTTGGCCAGGGTGGTCTTGAACTCCTGACCTCAGGTGATCCGCCCGCCTCTGCCTCCCAAAGTGCTGGGATTACAGGCATGAGCCAACGTGCCCAGCTGATATATGGAATTTTATGTGAGGCTTATTAGAAGGTGTGGGGTATAGGGGGAAGAAGGACAGCTTCGCTTCTTTTCATCTTTCAATATGAAAACACAGCAGGATAGCGTAAAATTTTTTTAATGATGTATAGTTTGCATACAATAAAATGTACCATTTTAACTATACATTTGGGTGAATTGTGACAGATTTAGGTATCTACCACCACAATCAAGAATATAGACCCTTCCCCTCAATCCTGGGGTTGCTTTCTGCCTCTTCCCAGCCAGGCCTCCCTCATGCCAGCCTCAGGCAACCACTGATGGGCTTTTTGTCACTATAGATTAGATCTGCCTTGTCTAGAGCTTCGTAGAAATCCTAACGGATAGTCTTTTGTCTGACCTTTTCACTCAGTGTAATGTATTTGACACTCACTCTTGAGGTGTTGCACAGGTCAGTACTTCATCCATCTTATTGCTGAATATGCCGGTTTATTTATCCATTCACCAGCTGATAGACATAGAGGCTGTTTCCAGTTTGGGGTGATTATAAATAAAATTGTTATGAACATGCATGTACAAGTCTTTGTGTGCTGGACATGTCATTGTTTCTCCTGAGTAAACATGTAGGGGTGGAATGGTGGGTCACATGGTGTTAAATCATTTCGCTGATTTTACTGAGCAGTCATAATACTGTTTTCTGTAGCGGTTGTACCATTTTACATTCCCACCCACAGTGCACAAGAGTTCCAGTTTCTCCACATCCTAGCTAACACTTGTTATTTATTTATTTTTTTAATAGTAGCCCTCCTAATGGGTGTGCAGTGGTATCTCATTGTGTTTTAAATTTGCATGTTCCTAATGATAAGTGGTGTTGAGCATCTTCTTCCTCTTCTTTTTTTTTTTCAGTTGAGATGGGGTCTCACTCTGTCGCCCAGGCTGGAGTGCAGTGGCGCGATCTTGGCTCACTGCAACCTCCGCCTCCTGGGTTCAAGGAATTCTTGTGCCTCAGCCTCTCGAGTAGCTTGGGAGTATAGGTGTGCGCCACCACGCTTGGCTAATTTTTGTATTTTTAGTAAAGACAGAGTTTCACCATGTTGGCCAGACTGGTTTCGAACTCCTGATCTCTCAAGTGATCCGCCCGCCTTGCCTCCCAAAGTGTTGAGATTAGGCGTGAGCCACTGCGCCTGGCCAAGCATCTTCTTATGTACTTATTGGATGTTCTTCTTTGGAGAAATGTCTATTCAACTCCTTTGCTGCATTGCTTTTTAAAATATTTGGACTTGAAAGCCCAGCAAGGATAACTATTTTGTTCTTCTGCTCTAAGAATATATAAAGATCTTGCTCAACTCAGCAGAACATTTGTATCATCATTTCAGAACTGCAGTGGTATGAACATCTAGTTGCTAATTACATATTTAGAATAGTTCATATTTCAAAATGCTAAATAAATATTTGTGGGCACTGAGCCTAGTTATTATGTTTTGCCAAAGTCACAAGTTCCGCCATTGCACGTCCCAATCCAGTTCAGCTTGTACAAAAATGCTTAAAATCTCTTTTGCATGAAACTATGTTTTGGTCATGACATTAAGCAGACAGAATGAGACTTAATATGTCTTTAAAGGGTCATTTTAAATAAACAACAAGATGACTGTCACTGCGGCGGAACAAAAAGAGGAAAGAAGAAAGGTTGGTTAACTTAGAGAAAAATGGCAAGATTCAGATGGGAAAGGGAATCAGAATTTTTAGACCCCTGTGTGCAGAAAGGAAACTAAAGGAAGTTATCTAGCTCTACTTCATTTGTTCTCCCCAACCTTGAGTTCATGGATAGAGATGAATGGAGATACCAGGAAGTGTTCAAAAAGGAAAAGTGGATGGTTGGGCGAGGTGGCTCATGCATTTAATCTCAACACTTTGGGAGACTGAGGTGGGAGGATCACTTGAGGCCAGGGGTTTGAGACTAACCTGGGCAACATAGGAAGACCCTGCCTCCACAGAAAAAACAAAATTGGCTGGGTGTGGTGGTGGACACCTGTAGTCTCCAGCTTTTTGGAGGCTGAGGTGGGAGGTTCACTCGAGCCCGGGAGTTTGAGACTGCAGTGAGTTCCGATCATGCCACTGCACTCCAGCCTGGGCAGCAGAACAAGACCCTGTCTCTAAAAAACAAAACAAAACAATAAAGTAGAAAGGAAAGCTGGGTACTTTTTCTAAGAAGCCAAGAGCCATTGATAATTACAACTCACAGAAGCAGACTTTTTGAGAGGGACGCCACCCAGAACCTGAGGCTACTCAAACTATTATTTTGTCAGAAGCAACAGGGTTGCCTGAAATTTGCAATTGAAACAGTGTGCTTTTCTCACATACACAGCCTTTATGTAATTGTTCAGTTGTGTTTTAAAAAGAAATAACATCACTGAGGTGTTTGGTTTTCTCCTTTTCTTTCCTCTCTGTCTTGCATGGTTCAGCATGTTGTTTTAGGTCAACAGATATATTATAGATTGGAGTTCAGCACACTTTTTCTTTGAAGGGCTAGATAGTAATTATTTCTCGCTTCGCAGGCTATAGCCTGTGTGGCAACCACCTACCTGTGCCACTGTAGTAGCATCGGTTAGCAGAATTGCACTACCTTGGAAAGCAGTCGTAGATAATATGTAAATGACTGGCTGTGGTTAAGTTCCAATAAAACTTTATTTACAAGAACAGGCAGCGGGCCATGTTTTGCCAACTTTTGTTCTAAATAATCACAAGAGGCCATGAAAAGTTTAATTTCCATACATGAGAACTGGGTCTGAATATTGACTCTTCTACGTAGTATAATGGGTGTCCCAAATACTCTTACCCAGTAAAGGATCTTTTAAAATTTTAAGTTGAAACCATATTCAGTGGCAGGAATCCTGAGGAAGTGAGAGAGAAAAGCTTTATAAATATTAATAAGTGCTGAAAATTAAGTTGTTGAAAAAATTGTTCACATAAAAGATCATTATATAGCAAGTTTGGAATTTAGTTTCAATTTTCATTTCCTTGTAGAAACATCTTCATCGTGAGGAAAATGAGGGAATTAATGAACATTTGTTTCCTGAGTGTGAGCTGTGATACCTTGTAGTCACTGAGATGGCGGCTGCATGATGGGTATCTCGTAACTCTGCTCCGGGATGCCCACCATCTAGAAAGATGCTCAAGACCCGTGGGACAGGATAGTGTTTAGGAATGTGTGTTTTAAACTTTTCTTGCAGTATTTAATTTCTAAATAAACTTTATTAAGGTATAATTTATATACAGTAAAAATGCACCTATTTTTTTAAGTGTGTGATAGATTCTATGGGTTTTGGCATGCATTCACTCCCAATCAAGATAGAGAGCATTCCCATTACCCCAAATGTACCCTCACTCCCCTAATGCTCACCCTCGAACAACCACTCATCTGCTTTCTGTCCATGGGAATTAGGTTGCCCTATTAGAGAGCTTCCTGTACATTCAGTCATTTAGTATGTACTTTTTTTGTGTCTGGTTTAGAGGTTTCCAAACTTCCTTGGTTCACAGTGCCTTTAGAATCCATAATTTTTTATGGTGTTGAAAGTTAAAAGGGATACCTACCAGTTCCATTAGATCCAGAGAACTCATTAAAAGTAGCTTACATGGTGTCCCACAATTATTGCTGTTTCCCTCCAAGATTTAAAATATCCAGTGGCATGTCTGTGAGTTCACTGGGGGCCCTGGGGTGGTTTCGTGCACAGTTGAGGAACCACAGATCTGGCTTCTTCTACTTAGCATAATGTTTTGGAGGTTTATTTATGTTGTTACATGAATGAATACAGTCATGCATCCCTTAATGATGGGGATACTGAGAAATGTGTCATTAGGCAATTTCATTGTTGTATGAACATCATAGAGTGGACCCACATAACTTACATGTTACAACCTATTATGCACCTAGGCTATATGGTCAAGCCTGTTGCTCCTAGAATAGAAACCTGTGCAGCATGTTACTGTAATGAATACTATAGGCAATTATAACACAGTGGTACTTGTGTATCTCAAATGTGAACACAGAAGAGGTACTGTCAAAATACAGTATAAAAGACAGAAAATGGTGCACTTGTATAGGGCACGTCTCGTGAATGGAGCCTGCGTACTGGAAGTGTCTCTGGGTGAGTCAGTGAATGAGTAATGAGTAAATGTGAAGGCCTAGTACATTACTGCACATTACTGTAGGCTTTATAAACATGGAACACTTAGGCAACACTAAATTTATTTTAAAAAATTGAGTTATGGCGGCTATGATGTCACTCCGTGATAGGAATTTTTCCACTCCATTATAATCTTATGGGACCACCATAGTATAAAATGTCATTATGCTGCATGTGACAGTAGTCTGTTCCTGTTTTTTGTTTGTTTGTTTGTTTGTTTTGTTTTTTTTTGTTTTTTTTGACAGAGTCTCACTCGGTTGCCCAGGCTGGAGTGCAGTGGCACGATCTTGGCTCACTGCAGCCTCCGCCTCCCGGGTTCAAGCGATTCTCATGCCTCAACCTCCTGAGTAGCTGGGATTACAGACATGTACCACCATGCCCAGCTAATTTTTGTATTTTTAGTAGAGACGGGGTTTTACCATGTTGGCCAGGCAGGTGTTGAACTCCTGTCCTCAGGTGATCCGCCCACCTCAGCTTCCCAAAGTGTAGCCTGTTTCTTTTTGTTGTTGAGTAGTATTCCATTTTAGGAAGTACTGCAGTATGTTCATTCATTTGATGGGACATTTGGGTTCTTCTCATTTTTTTGGCAATGTGACTAAAGTCACTATGAACATTCACATGTAAGGCTTTGTGTAAGCATATATTGTCATTGCTCTAAGATTAGAATTGCTAGGTCTTATGGAAAGTGCATGTCTAGCTTTTTGTTTATTTGTTGATTTAATTTATTTATTCTTAAAGACAGGGTCTTGTTCTGTCACCCAGGCTAGAGTGTGGTCGTGCAATCGTGGCTCACTGCAGCCTTGAACTCCTGGTTTCAAGCAGTCTTCCTACCTCAGCCTCCTGAGTAGCTGAGACTTCAGGCATGTACCACCATGCCTGGCTAATTTTTAATTTTTTTGTAGACATGGGGTCTCCCTGTGTTGCCCAGGCTGGTCTTGAACTCCTGGCCTCAAGCGATCCTCTCACTTCCGCCTCTCCATATGTTAGGATTATGGCATGAATCACTGCACTCAGCCCATGTCTAGCTTTATAGGAAGCTGCCAAATTTTTCCAGAGTGTTTGTACCATTACATTCTGATATGATTTGGATCTATGTCCCCACACAAATCTCATGTTGAAATGCAATCCCCAGTGCTGAAGGTGGGGCCTGGTGGGAGATGATTGGATCAGGGGGTGGTCTCTAATGGTGTAGCACCAGTCCCCCTTTGGTGGTGTTGTCACGATGGTGAATTCTCATGGGATCTGGTTGTTTAAAAGTGTGTGGCACCTTCCCTTCTCTTTCTTCCTCCTGCTCCTGCCATGTAAGACACCTGCTCCCCCGTTGCCCTCTGTGATGAGTAAAAGCTCGTTGAGGCCCTCCTAGAAGCAGATGCTTCCGTGCTTTTTGTACAGCCTGCAGAACTGTGAGCCAATTAAGCCTCTTTTCTTTATAAATTACCCGGTCTCAGGTATTTCTTTATAGCAGTGTAAGAATGGGCTAATACACAATTCGACCAATAGTTTGTAAAAATTCTTAGCCTGGGCAACTAAAAGAGACCTCGCCTCGACAAAAAATTAAAAGTGAAAACTTAGCATGTAGTAATGGCATGTGCCTGTAGTCTCGGCGAGTCAGGAGGCTGAAGTGGGAGGAACGCTTGAGCCTAGGAGTTCAAGGTGGCCGTCAGCTATGATTGAGCCACCACACTCCAGCCTGGGCAACAGAGAGAGACTCTGTCTTGAAAAAAAAAAAAAAAAAAAAGAAAAAAATTCTGGTTGCATCACGTGTTCATCAGTACTTGGTATTGTCAGTCATTTTAATTGCAGGCATTCTAGTGGTTATGTTGTGTATCTTCGTAAGGTTTCTGTTTGTGTTTCTGATAGCTAATGATGAGCATCTTTGCTCATTGTGCCATTTCTGTGGTTACTGGCTGTGTGTGTGTGTGTGTGTGTGTGTGTGTGTGTGTGAAGTATCTTGTTCTAATTTTTGCCCATTTTTAATAGGGTTGCTTGTCGTCTTATCATTGAGCTGTATGAGTTTTTAAATATATTCTAGAAACAAGTCCTTTGCCAGATGTGTGTATTACAAACATGTTCTCCCAGTGGGTGGCTTGCTTTTTCATTTTCTTCAAGTGTCTTTTGAAGAGCAAGAGTTCAACATTTCAATTTGTCGAAGTCTTCTGGTTAGTACTTTTTTTTTTCTTTCTTTCTGTCCCTCTCAAGGTTAAGAAGACCTTCACCTAGAAGTTTGTGATTTTGGCTTTTGCATTTAGGTCTAGGATCTATTTCAAGTTACTTTGGTGCGTGTGTGTGTGTGTGTGTGTGTGTGTGTGTGTGTGCGTGCATGTGCGCCTTGAAGTAAGGATTGAGGTTTATTTTCTTTTCCATACAGATATCCAGTTGTTTTAGCACCATTTGCTGAAAAAAGCTATTCTTTCTCCTTTAAATTGCCTGGGCTCTTGTCAAAAATCAATTGACGGCTGGGGGCGGTAGCTCACACCTGTAATCCCAGCACTTTGGGAGGCTGAGGCAGGCAGACGGATCACGTGAGGTCAAGAGTTTGAGACTAGCATGGCTAACATGGTGAAACCCGTCTCTACTAAAAATATAAAAGTTAGATGGGTGTGGTGGCGCATGCCTGTAATCCCAGCTACTCAGGAGGCTGAGGCACAAGAATCGCTTGAACCTGGGAGGCGGAGGTTGCAGTGAGCTGAGATTGCACCACTCCAGCCTGGGCGACCGAGTGAGACTGTCTCAAAAAAAAAAAAAAAAATTGACCATTTATGTGTTTGTCTATTTCTGAACTCTATTCTGTTCTATTGATCTATATGTCTGTTCACATTACCCTGATTCTTGTAGCTTTGTGGTACGTTTTGAAATCAGGTGATTGTGGAGATGTATTTTTCCCATCCAAGTACTAACGAGGCCCGACCCTGCTTAGCTTTCCAGATCAGGTAGTATGGCTGTAGACAAGAAGGTGTATTTTTAAGTTGGATTTATTCGATCAAACTTTTATCAAATGCATTATTCTACTCATATTGGAAAAATGAAGTAAGAGTATCATTTTTCAAAGATGGCATTGCTTGGGACTGATTTGTGACTCCCAAATTATATGTTGAAGCCCCAACCCCCAATGTATATTGGAGATAGAGTCTATAAGGAGGTTTTAAGGTTAAATGAGATCATGAGGGTGGTTGCTGATTCAGTGGGGTTAGTGTCCTTATTGGAAGAGACCCCCGAGAGCCCACTGTGTCTCTCTCTGCCATGTGAGGACATAACAAGAAGGCAGCATTCTACAAGCTAGGGAGAGGCCCTCACCAGACACCAACCATGCAGGCACCCTGATCTTGGACCTCCCAGCCTCTGGACTGTGAGAAACTACATTTCTGTAGTTTAAACTACCCAATCCGTAGTATTTTGGTATAGCAACCTGAGCAGGCTAAGACAAAGAGCAAGCTGACTTTAAAGGAAGGGAAAGTATACTGAGAATATTGGCTGGGCACGGTGGCTCATGCCTGTAATCCCAGCACTTTGGGAGGCCGAGGTGGGCGGATCACCTGAGGTCAGGAGTTTGAGACCAGCCTGCCAACATGGCAAAACTCCGCCTCTACTAAAAATACAAAAATTAGCCGGGCATGGTGGTGCTGTAATCCCAGCTACTCGGGAGGCTGAGGCATGTGAATTACTTGAAACCGGGTGGCGGAGGTTGCACTGAGCCAAGATCACACCACTGCACTGCAGCCTAGAAGAAAGAGCAAGAATCCATCTCAAAAAGAAATATATAGGATAGGATTCCTTGCTTTAGGGCCAACTTTGGTGACCTTGGGTACATGTTTCCTTTCCTGTAAAATTAGAAAATTGGTCCAGAGAACTCTAGAATAGCCCCCACTAATGTCCTATTTAAATTTAATAACCTGTAATTTTAGATGGATTATGAGTGATTTTCTCTTTTACTTGTATTCTCTGCCCTGATTCAGGTTTTAAAATAGCTGAACAAAAACAATACTGAAAGCCAAATCGTTTGATGAAAACGGTGGCTGACACTTAATAATAACTTAGTCTTCTTTTAGTTAAAATGCTTCAGGAAAATCCTGATATAGATAGAACCAGACTCTAGTTTATTTTAGGAGTTTTTACAGTCATTTCTTCCTTGAGCCTTTTGCTTGGTGTTTCCTGACACAGAACTCGAAGCCATGCTTTCTCCTTAGTTAATGGCTCCCCACGCCAGAGGTGTGGGGCCACCTCATATATGTGTCCTGGGACAGATCCCAGGATTGGAGAGAAATTAGAGGTCATCTAGTCCCGGGCATTTCAAATGTGGTCCCTGGACTAGCAGCTTCGACCTCCCCTGGGAGAATATTAGGAATGCAGAATCCCAGGCCACACCCCAGACCTGCCGAAGCAGGCACACTCTAAAGCAAGGCTGAGAAGCACTGTTCTAGTTGAACAGTGAAGAATCTTCTGTATGGTCTTCCCAGCAGACCATCTGGCCTCTGGGCACCTCTGAACGTGACCTCACGTGAGGCAATCTGTTCCATTTGTGGACAGTTCTGTTCAAGTCTCTTTTTTGTATTCATCTGAAATGTGTCTTCCCCTCCCTTCTAGTTTAACTTGCTGTCATCCATTGGTCCTGCCATTGTGTCAGGCACTGAGGATACCCCACGCAATCTCCTTTCTCAAAGATCTCGCAATCTTTTGTTTGTTGGTTTGAGACAGAGTCTCACTCTTTCGCCCAGGCTGAAGTGCAGTGGCGTGATCTCGGCTCACTGCAACCTCCACCTACTGGGTTCAAGCGATTCTCCTGCCTCAGCCTCCTCAGTAGCTGGGATTACAGGTGCCTGCCACCTTGCTTGGCTAATTTTTGTATTTTTAGTAGAGATGGGGTTTCACCATGTTGGCCAGGCTGGTCTTGAACTCCTGACCTCAAGTGATCTACCCACCTAGGCCTCCCAACGTGCTCTGATTACAGGCATGGGCCATGGCGCTGGACAGATCTCACGATCTGATATAGAAATAGAGATGTCCATGAATGAACTAGAGCACAGTGTGAGAAAGGCAGTGAAGAAGATGATGTCCAGGGTGCTGAGCTGCACGGAGAAGGGTGCTGGAGAGGACCTCCAGGTGGGGGTGCAGCCCGGTACACATACTGAGTTGGAATCTGCCAGACTCAGGATGGGGAAGGGGTTCTGGGAGGGCGCTCCGCACCCAGAGAAGAGCTTAGCAGAGGCATGAGAGGTGACGTATTGGGGTCCCTGAAAAGTTTGATTTCCTTATGTTAAAGTAGCAAGGAGCTGGGAAAGTGGGCAGGGGGCTGGATCACAAAGGGCCCATTCTGCAGTGTCCAAGGAGTTCACTTGAATGTGAGAGGCTGGGGAGAATAGATTTGCATTGTAGGAAGAAGGCTGCTGGCTGCAGTAACGGGCCGGAAGAGGGAGGCAGGGGTGCTCTTAGCAGATTGACAGAGCCTGATCTAAAGGAAAGACATGAAGGACTGAGCTAGGGGCGGGATAAGAGCTCGGCCACTAGTCTCTAAGGAATCTACCTCATAAATCTAAAGCAGCAAATCCTGTCCCCTCAGTTCTCCACTTTTGCTCAATGCTTATTCATTAGGGGCCAGCTCTTTCCAGGCTATGCACGCCGTGAGGACTGCACAGATAAAGGTGGCGTGGGCCTTGCCCGCATTACAGAGTGTCACTGCTTAGTGGGCAGTGGGCATCTCCAGTTATTCCTTCTTCATGTGATATTGTTTTAAATGCCCTTAGCTTTTGCGTTTTTCCTCCGTGGAGTGGTCTAGTTGATATTCCCCTTAACTGGTCGTGTCTGAAACTGAATTGCAGGCTCTAGGTAATGGTGTGAGCAATGTGGACTAGGGCCCGGGCTGTTACCTTCTTTCTGTGAAGACGGCCTAAGATACAGTATGGCCCTGCGTCTTTGAAGGCCATCTGAGAACACTGCAGCTTCAGACTGCCCTAGGTCAGAGCTACTGGCAGTGTCCCAAGGAGGCCTTGGCATGTGTTCTGCCTCCCCACTATTTCTCTTCTGTATTTGATGGCTTTGATTTCACCGCACCTAAGTGTAAGTTCAAACTATATCCTATTAGACATTATCTTGTTAAACAGTTCCTGTTGCTCCATGCTTTTGAGATGTTTTTTAATCTCTGGTTTCATCCTGTTAATTTATTCTCTTGGTTGTAAGCGACACAAATGATTGACGAGTTCCCTTGTATATTTGCATCAGCATCATTCACTGAAACATTCTCGAAGGTAGGGCATATGTCAGAGTCCTGGCAGATGTAGGCTGCTTCACACTGTGCCTCCAGATTGGGAAAAGGTGGCATTCCTAATCACCGGGGGAAGTAAATTCATCAATAAATGTGGTTTAGGACAGCTGAAGAGCTGTTAGAAAAAAAAGGGAGCTGGGGTCCCTCCAACATTCCTTAGATAAAAATAAACTACATAACAAAGAAAGTCTCTTAAAAAAAAAGAAATTAAATTGTCTGAAAGATTTAGACTTAAATAATGAACTCATAAAAATTATTAGACGAAACATGAGTAAATTTTAAATATATCTTGGAATGTAGACAGAAGACTTTTTTCCCCCCAAAGCGTGTCACAAAACACAGAAGCTGTAAAGAAAAAGGCTAACTTTCCTAAAAGAAAAATTTCATGAGGAAAATTTAAAGTTCTGTTGGGCAAAAATTCCATAAATGTGGTCAAAAAACAAGTAATATATTGGAGAAAAATATTTGCAGCCTATGTGTCAGAGCTAATTCCTTTCACATGGAAAGAAGTCTTAGAAGTCAATAGGAAAAATGAAAAATGGAATAGTTAAACCAATGTTCATTGCTAGAAGTGAGCTTGTGAAAACATAGTAAACTTCACTTTGTTTAAAAATGCAAAGGAAAATAAAGAGGTCTCATTGTTTTCATCTGTGAAATTGGATGTGGCTAAGTCTGATAATACCCACCTTGCTGGTGAAAGGATGAGAAAACAGACATATTGAGTTGACCAGTGCTGTTGAAGGGCATTTCTACAATATCCTTAGACTAGAATTTAAAAGGTTCGTATTCTTAGACTCAGTCATTCCACTAATGACCCTGTAAATGTTTTCCAGCATGTACACAAAAATAACTACGCAGATATTTGTAATAATAGCATTTATACTAGCAAAAAATAGAGGTAGCTTATATGACCATCTGTAGGTGTCCAGCAAAATATTGTGTAGTGTTAAAAATGGCACAATTCTCTACGTACTAACTAGGAAAGGTTCAGGATACTAAATGGAAAAGCAAATCACTATGCATAGGAGGATGTTGTGTTAAAAATTAAAAAGATATACGGGATATCAGTAAGGAAGATATTAGCTATAAATTAACAAAAATGAAGGGAATGTATTTACCTTGTACAACAAGACATCTTCATATGTCAGCAGTGCAGGGTTGGGACAGGGTCTCACTATGCCATCCCTGCCTCAGATGCCATCTTTCTCCTCTGCGGTACTAATTATGTGGGTGTGTTTCCTTATGGCAGCAAGATGGCTGCACTGTACCGGACCTCACATCTGCATTTCTGATGGAAAAAAGATGTAAGGAGGAAGGTAAGAAGTTGGAATCGGAAAACCCAAAATATTTCCAGAAATGTCCAACCAGCTCTTTTTTGAGATGGAGCCTCACTCTGTCACCCAGGCTGGAGTGCAGTGGCGTGATCTCAGCTCACTGCAGCCTCCACCTTCTGGGTTCAAGCGATTGTCCTGCCTCAGCCTCCCGAGTAGCTGGGACTACAGGCGCCCGCCACCACGCTCGGCTAATTTTTGTATTTTTAGTAGAGATGAGGTTTCGCCGTGTTGGCCAGGCAGGTCTTGAACTCGTGACCTTAAGTGATCTACCCTCCTGGGTCTCTCAAAGTGCTGGGATTACAGGCGTGAGCCACCATGCCTGGCCCAACTTCTGCTTACATTTCATTGGCTAGAACTATCCCATGGCTACCCAGACCTTCAGGGAATCTGTCAAGGCAAAAATTTTGATTAGGCACGTGTTCTTCCCTGACACACAATCCAGAGTTCTGTGAATATGGAAGAAGAGGAGAAGGGATATTGGGTAGGCAGCAGTGTGCGACACACACACACACACACACACACACACACACTCTTTGTGTTTGCATGCAGTATTTCTGGAAGGCGCCTGAGAAATGGGTAACAGTAGTTACCTCTGTGGAATAGACTGGCCGTCAGGAGGAAGGTGGACATTTATTTTTCACTTTATAGTGTTCTTTCCTGCAAATTTTTTAAAAAAACAATGAATATGTGTTAACTTTAAAGGAAGGAAGTTGATAGGAAGCTGACAACTATCCATTATCAGAACCTCTTGGGTACAGCTGTCCAACCAGTTACTCAGAACCAGGTCATTTAACCTCTGTGAACTTCAGCCTCAACTGCAAAATGAGAGGCTAGAATAGATAGTATCTTAGGCTCCTTCTACCTCTGAGCCTCCTCCAGTTAATTACACAATCTCCAGGAGCTGAAGGAGAGAACTAAGAGTCAGCTCCTTTAGCAAGAAAAGACATCCAGGATTTTAAACAGGTTCTTACTTAGCCTTTGTTATGGCTGAATTGTGTTCCCTCTAAAATTCATATTTGGAAATCTTAATCTCCAGAAGGTAGTATTTGGAGTTAGGGTCTTTAAAGAGGTAATTATGGTTCAATGAGGTCATTAGGTTGGGCCCTAATCCAGTAGGACTGGGGTTCTTACAAGAAGAGGAAATTTGTACCCAAACATCCTCAGAGGGAAGGCCACGTGAAGACACCGGGAGAAGGCAGCCACCTGCAAGCAGAGGAGAGAGGCCTCAGAAGAAACCAACCCTGCCAGCACCTTGATCTTGGACTTCCAGACTCCAGAATTTGAGAAAATAAATACCTGTTCTTAGGCTGGGCATGGTGGCTCACACCCATAATCCCAGCACTTTGGGAGGCTGAGGCAGATGGATCACTTGAGATCAGGAGTTTGACACCAGCCTGGCCAACATGGTGAAACTCTGTCTCTGCTACAAACACAAAAATTAGCTGAGTGTGGTGACGCACACCTGTAATCCTAGCTATTCTGGAGGCTGACGCCGGAGAATTCCTTGAACCCGGGAGGCGGAGGTTGCAGTGAGCAGAGATTGCGCCACTGTACTCCAGCCTGGGCAATAGAGGGAGACTCCATCTCAAAAAACAAAAAAACCGCAACCCTTTTCTTTAAGTTCTCCAGCCTGTAGTCCTGTGTTATGATAGCCTTAGCAAGCTGATGCAGTCTTCTGTCCCTTTACACTTTGTGAGGGGAGCTCTGCATTTTGCAGAATCTCTAGGACAGCATGAGATTGCACTGACTTAGCTACTGCCTCTATTCCCTTCCTTGGTGAAAGCAGGTCCCCTAGGAGTCTAGCCTGGGAACCTGCAAATGCTAAACGTGGCCTGGGGGCAGAGAAGCGCATCTGACTGGAAGAAGCAAATCTGTTCCCGTGAGGCCAGCGCAGCCTTCCTCCAGGGTGCGATCGCTGTGCACACCTCCTTCCTGGGTTCCTTGGGGCCTTGCCTCCAACTTGCTTACCTGTTCTCTAATCTATTTTCTTTCCTTGAACTTCAGAATTGATGGATACCCTGTCTCACTCTAGATTCCTTGCCTGGCTTCTGACCGCTAAACCCATCTGGACTACAAATGGTTTATCTTTTAGAGATGATCTATATCTCTTCAGCTGGTGAGATTTGAGGGCAGGATCTTATGTTACATGAGTGACCTTCTTATAGATATTGGCAAGAATCATTTTCTTCTTCTGATGGAGCAGAAAGGGGTGTGTGTGTGTGTGTGTGTGTGTGTGTGTGTGTGTGTGTGTGTGAAAGAGAGAGAAAGAGAAAGACTTTCATTGCCCTTTAAGCCCTCACCCTAGCACTGCATCTGAGCCAGAAGACTCTGAAATGGCCTGCAGTGTTCCAGGCCATTTAAGGGAGACTGGATCTTTTCTGAGGCTAAATGAGGGCTGGTTTTCCTGTGCTGGAGTGGGTAAGGACTCCGGGGTACCCTGTGTGCTTGGAGGGAGGCAGTCCTGTATTTCTTAAGATGCTTAAGAAGATGCAAGATGTGAGATGCTTAGATGATGGAAGGTGAGGAGAGATTGGCCTCCAGGCATCCTGCTCCCCGCAGAGCCCCTGAGAAGGTGGCCTTATTTATGGAGTTTGCCTGTCTGTTTACTGGCTTCTTCTCAAGGGAGCATAGAGGACCCCACTGGTCAGGTGTCAGACAAAAGAGCTGTACGGATGCATAGATTTAGTTCTGCCTCACAGGCAGGTAGCCTGAGCTCCTAGGGGGAACTGTTTTTGCTAAGTAGGGAATGAAAAGCATGTTTATTTAAGCACAAAATTAAATCTCTCCTATTTTTATATGATTTCCCGTTGTTTTCTTCCCTGTAGGGAAATCTGCTGTGATAGAGAACTGCGTAACAGGCCTTTTCTGTGAGCGCTCACTCATACATTATGCACGACGTGGCTAAGATCTTTGAAGCGCATGGAGACAGGCACATCTCTGAGAGGCGAGATTCTTTCTTTTCTCAGCCCCCACTATCTTCTGTGCTACATCAGAGATGGAGCACAGCCACCGTGGGTCTTGAAATTTCGCAGGTGATGCTCTTCTCGGTGACCTGTGGGTTCATTACCTGTGTCAAAGACTGAAGACGGGAGAATTAGGGAAGTGGTGGCCTGGGAGAACCAAGGACATGTTTGTGTGCCCTATTTAGGCGATTGTTCTACTTCATGCTAAATTTGTGAGGAGTTTTATGAAGCCTAGAAAATTAAGTAGAAAATATATTTTTACAGTATTTTAAGCTGGAACAGACTATTTAAAGCTCGAAGAGACCCTAGAGATAAACCAGTTCAGTCTCTTCCTTTTGCAGTAGAAGGGACGAGGCCCAGAGGACTCACGGTGTTTCGGGAACTTGCAGGGAGTTAGCGCAGCACCAGGATCGGAGCGCGGGGCCCCGTGTCCAGCTCCTTACTCTTTTTGTTCTGGCAGCGATGCCCACCGGGCCTTCACAGTACATTTCTCTGGATACAGAGAGAAACATTATTCATCTGAAAGCAAGGCTTCAGAAGCTGTTTTTATAATAATTTGTTAGAGCCACATAGTAACTTGCAAATAAACATTTACAGTTAATGAGAAAAATGGATACCCCTGAGAAAAACCGTTTGTAGTTACTGTGTTCTAGTCAGAGCTCTTGAGCTAATTTGAAAGGAAAGTCAGGATTCTGGCAGGAGGAGAGCTATCCCCAGATTCCAAGGATGGGGAAGAGAATCTCTGTATGGACTAGAATTCGAGACTGTCCTGTGTCCCTCTGTCTCTCCTTCCCGGTCTTCTGTCTGTGTCCTCTGTGCGGGATCCCATGCCTGGCTCTGTTACCCTCCCTTCCCGCCACCAGCCTGTCGGTACCTCCTGTCCTGATTTTCTGGTTTTCAGTCATTCCAACCCCTTCTCAGTTTCCCTGACTTGGTCCCTGTGCCCGTCTCAGTCCCCCTGACTTGGTTCCTGTCCCTGTGTCAGTCCCCCTGACTTGGTCCCTGTCCCCTTCTAAATCCCCCTGGCTTGGTTCCCTGTCACCATCTCAGTCCCCCTGACTTGGTTCCCTGTCCTCATCTCAGTCTCCCTGACTTGGTCCCTGCCCCCATCTCAGTCCCCCTGACTTGGTCCCTGTCCCCGTCTCAGTCCCCCTGACTTGGGTCCCTGTCTCCATCTCAGTCCCCCTGACTTGGGTCCCTGTCTCCATCTCATTCCCCCTGATTTGGTCCCTGTCCTCACCTCAGGCCCCCTGACTTGGGTCACTGTCTCCATCTCAATCCCCCTGACGTGATCCCTGTCCCCATCTCAGTCCCCCTGACTTGGGTCCCTGTCTCCATCTCAATCCCCCCTGACTTGGTCCCTGTCCCCATCTCAGTGCCCCTGGCGTGGTCCCCTGTCTCCCGCTCCATCCCCTGCCCCCATCTCTGTCCCTCTGCATCAGGCATGGTCACGTCTCAGTGCCATCTCACCCTCTCCCTGAGGACTCGCTCCATTTTCCTCTCCCCTCAGACCAGCTTGCTCTGCAGCTGCGCACGATGCAAATGACCGCCCCAGCCTCTCTTGGCTTCAGTCCCCCACCACAGACTAATTCTATCTCTCACCCCAATTTCAAATCCCCAGGGAGCTGTCTGATCTGCCTGCTTCAGCTCCTCTCAGCCTGCCTGGTGCTGCCGCACAGAGGAATTGGCTGCCCGTGGCCGGGTGGAGAGTCCTCGTCTTGTGTGTGGCCAGGGTCTCAAGGCCTCATGCTACACACTTGCGTATAGCATCTCGTGCAGGCTTCACCACAGTCTTACGAGGCATGCGGTGACCTTGCCCTTAGACGTGTGCACTCAGGCCTAGAGCTGTCAGAGCCATTTGTCGAGCGACCCGCTGCTAGGAGATGGCAGAGCTGGAGCCAGACCCCAAAGCCAGCGCTGCGCTGTTCTCCTTTTGACGCGGGCTTATCCACAGTTAATCAGTGATTTCCTCAGATGTCCACATGCTCCTACGGTGACTAAACCCAGCTGTCTTTTGCACATAGTTGGAAAAGTTACTATTAGGCACCTAGACTAGGTTTGATAGCAATAGGATTTTATTAAAACCTTGATGGAAAACCTGCGTAGTATCTGCTAACATCTTTGCATGCTTGGAGGCAGAGGAGGATTTAATATACATCAAGTCTGTGTAGCAACATCAAAGGAAGATTTAAACACTGCTGGCTTTTTTGTGCGATATTTAAAAAGCACCCCCCACCTTTTAAGAAAATGTGAAGTTCTGGCATAAATCAAAGTGTGATTAATCAGTGATGATTGACTGGTATTTTCATAACCTGTGGCATTAATAACAACTTTGTATGGACATAAGAGTTGTAAGCAAATTTGGGAGGGAGGTTACTGCTTCATGCTATTCTCCATGCCGATCTTCGATCTTTGTACATACTTACTTGCATTCTGTAAAATTCGGCGTGATGAAATCCAAGAACCAAAAATGCAGGGTGGAAATAGGCTTAGTAGTAAGTGACCTTCTATTTCCACTTCCCACCTCCTTGTTAAGATTCTTTGACCTCCTGCCACAGGGGCCTTAGAGGCATCCTGTAAGCTTTGCACAGAAGCTGCTAATCCCCCGGCAGGCAGTTCAGGCAGGCAGTTCATTCCGTTTCCACCTGGCAGCTGCTCCCTCTGACACCCAAGGACTCTCAGGGAGTGGCCGTTGGACCTGCAGACCCCTGGGAACAGGCAGGGGGAAGATATGTGGAACTGAGACCCAGAGGCCTCCCCACTTCCCTGTGCTGACTCACGTAGGCTGTCATCTCTGTTGGCTTTTAAAGGAAGAGGGGTAGGAAGGACAGTGAAATTAGAAGCATTGCCAGGTCTTGCTTGAGAGCTTCTCTCTCTCACTGCTGCTATTTTTTCTTCATTAAATGTGTGATGTGGGTTTGTTCAAAGCATCCAGTGGCTCTCCACTTAGATCATTTAATTCCACGATGCAAATGGCAGCACAGCTTTGGCCTGGAATCATGCTTCGCACTTGGTCAAGGCCACCTTTAACTGCCTGGCCAGACGGCTAGAGATTTTCCCGGGGCACCCCTGGAGTTTTTCCCATCCTGACTAGAGATAATCTCAGAGCGGGAGCCAGCCCCAAGTGAGAGGGCCTCTGAAAGACCACAGGATGGGAACATGGACGTGTAGCCTCATTTCCTCAAGGGGATGCAAGGAGATTGATTAGGCAATGGGGGATTCCATGAAAAAAAAATTCATGATATTAGTCTACTTACGTAAAATTGTTTGGGTGAGCACGGGTGGAGGGGCAGGGTGGGGAAGAGAAAGACATTGAGATCAAGTGAATAAAGGAATTGGGACCAAATACCATTCTCACGCTAACCTGACTGTCAGATGAAAGAAGAGAATGTTGCAGTTATGCTTATGGCTTGATTCTGCTTGGAAGAAAAGAAATCAACACAAAAAATTCCTGATGTGTGCATGCGCTTTTGGAAAAAGGTGTAGGGAAGGGCACACAGCAGTCTAATCCTGGGGACTTGAGAAGGGGGAGCACAGCAGTCCCAACCCTGGGGACTTGGGAAGGGGGAGCATAGCAGTCTAACTCTGGGGACTTGGGAAGGGGGAGTAAGGGAAAGGATTATATTCTTTTCTTTGCACATCTTTATATTTATTTCCTTATTCAAACCAGCACTGTTAATTTTTGTAATTAAATAAATTTAGAGAAAGACTTTTTAAATGTGAGAGAGCTGTTCTGGGGGAAAAATCAGAACAAAAACTAAATTTACACTGGGATTGTTTATTTTAAGTTTTGTGTTTCATAGATAGTCTGTATAGACTGGGTGTGGTGGCTCATGCCTGCAGTCCCAACACTTTGGGAGGCCGAGGCGGGAGGATAGTTTGAACTCAGGAGTTTGAGACCAGCCTGGGTAATGTAAAGACCCCGTCTCTATCAAAAATAGAAAAAGTCAGCTGGGCATGGTGGTGCGCACCTGTGGTCTCAGAAACTCGGGAGGCTGAGGCAGAAGGATTGCTTGAGCCTGGGAGGCTGAGGCTGCAATGAGCTGTGATCATACCACCACACTCCAGCCTGGGTGACTCAAAAGGTACAAAAGGCTCTTTGGGGAAAAGGAAGTTGTCTGTTCTGTCCACAGCCATGTATTTCCCTTTCTGGAGGCAGCCACTTTGGCCAGATTCTTGGATATTCTTTTTTTTTTTTTTTTTTGTTTTGAGTTGGAGTCTTGCTCTGTCGCCTAGGCTGGAGTGCAGTGGCGTGATCTTGGCTCACTGCAAGCTCCGCCTCCCGATTCACGCCATTCTCCTGCCTCAGCCTCCCGAGTAGCTGGGACTGCAGGCACCCGCCACCATGCCTGGCTAATTTTTTGTGTTTTTAGTAGAGATGGGGTTTCACCCTGTTAGCCAGGATGGTCTCGATCTCCTGACCTCGTGATCCGCCCACCTCGGCCTCCCAAAGTGCTGGGATTACAGGCGTGAGCCACCGCACCCGGCCAATTCTTGGATATTCTTAAAGAAATGCTCTATGGTTTAAAAAATCTAGAGATTTGTTTATAATATATATATTTGCATGTATATAATGAGTAGGGAGAGAAAGTCTCCCACCCCAAAATGGTAGTAGAATAGAAACAGTGTTTTGTATGCTTTTTAAAAGTTTAATATATACACTGCAAAATATTGATATATAGAGAGCTGTTTGATTCTTTTTTACTGGCCACGTGATATTCCATTATATAAGCCGACTTTATTTAGCCAGCCTTCTATTGATGAGCATTTTGATTATTTTCAATATTTTACTCCAGAAACAACACTAAAGACTCGAGATTGTATTCTTTGACACATGTTAGTATATCCGTAGAATAAATACCTTGAAGCAGAATAATTTTTCTCCAAAAAGGGGCTACAAATAATACACTTCCTTCAGAAACATGTGAAAGTGCTAGATATTCTTTATAGAACAAGGTCTGCATTGGAAGTGGGATGAAATATAATGATAGCGACAGGGACTTTAGAGAAGGAAGTAGGAAAGTCAGGGCCCTTGCAGTTGCTTCTCTCATAGACACCTCTCTTTCTAGAAGATATTTTTGCCCAAACTTTGGTTTTTATATTTCAGGGTAACAAGGATGTGAGGAAGGAAGTCAACATTGAGTGAGTTGCTATTATGTGCCAAGCCTAGGGTTAAGTCAGTTGCAAGTATTGTTTAATTCTTGTAGTGTTCCTATAAGGTCCATATTTGGCATTTACTATCCACAGAGCACAGATGAGAAAAATGAGGCTCAGGAGGCTAAGTCAGTTCCACAGGGTTATCCAGTGGATAAATGGCAGAGTCACCTTTCAGACTTCATGAAAGTACTCTAGCTTTTTACAGTCCTTCTCCTTCTCTTCCTCGTAGAAAAATAGAAATCTCTGTAGCTCTTGCTTTGTGAAGGATCTGGGGATGCATGAACCAGGAACTAGGTGGAAGACCAGTTTCACCTGAGGTTGACCTGTGATGTATGACTTTGCTTGTACTTAAGAAGTCACTTTTAATAAGGTTGTAGGGTGTGCAGAGAAAATTTACTGTTGGATTATGTGGATTGTCTTCAACCACAAAGGGCTGTGTTCCAGAAACTCTTCTGAGTCTACTGACTTTAAAGGAGAAGAGCCAGCCCCGAAGTATGACGCTCTGAAAGCTGGTCAGGTTTCAAGGTGGACCCACAAAGCCCACCTAACTTAGAACATTCTGAAAGAGTATGACGTATGGGTGGCCATGATTTCTTGGTGTTCTTAGTCCATAATGGGATGCATAGGTGAGAATGTATGTATAGATACGGGCTAGAGCAGGGGTCCTCAGTCCCCGGGCCACAGACCAGTACCAGTTCATGGGCTGTTAGGAACTGGGCTGCAGGGCAGGAGTGAGCAGTTTCATCTGTGTTTATAGCTGCTCCCCGTAGCTCACATTTCTGCCTGAGCTCTGCCTCCTGTCCGATCAGCGGCAGCATTACATTAGGTTCTCATAGGAGCTTGAACTCTATTGTGAATTCTGCATGCTAGGGATCCGTGCACTCCTTATGAGAATCTAATGCCTAATGATCTGAAGTGGAACAGCTTCATCCAGAAACCATCCCCCTCCTCCGCCATCCCTGGAAAAATCATCTTCCACGAAACTGGTTTCTAGTGCCAAACAGGTTGGGGACTGCTGGGTTAGAGCCACAGCAAGGAGAACAGGAGGGGCGAGAGCCCCCCCATCTGCGGGCTGGGATGGAGTCCAGGGGCACTGCGGCAGCACTCGAGGCTGCAGCAAGGCTGGGGCTGTGGCCAAGGATACAGGGCAATAGGTGGCCTCTTAGGTGGAATTGTTGAAAGCCTCAGAGAGAGCACTGTGAGGAGGAATGAGGCCATTTATTATTTTTGAAAGTCAAGTATGTGTAGGTTGGCAACTGCCCATACTTTTTATTTCAAATGGCTTTATTAAGCGAATTACCTCTGATACAAATGGACGTCAATTAACAAAGAGCTTGGAGGTAATTTAATGTAATTTCTCAGCTCAAGAAATCAAGTGCTTTTTTTTTTTCCTTTCATAGAAGCCAGGGTAAATTTTCTCATAGCTGACAGAGATTATTATGGTGGTTACTCATTTTATCAGAAGTGATGTAATATCCAGTTTAGATGGAGAGAGGATGGTGCTCTTTGGAGCTAGTTTTCGGAGTCTGCCACTAGATTGCTGTGTGCTTCTATACTGAAAGCAGCCAGTGTCCTGATCTCTAATTACCCTTAGCCTTGGTGTCTCTTTGACATTTCGAGGGGGATAGTGTTGGATGAACTAAAGCTCGTGTCTCACTTTTAAGTTACAGTTCTCTGAACCTTGTAAACAGGTAGGGAGTCATTTCCTGAGGCTGAAGAAGAAGAGGAGAAAGAAGCCACGCTTATATATGTCTTTAGTTGATTAGAGATGGGTAAGAGTATGTTAACCTTGGCTTACCTTTCCCTAAATGTCAGCTCTTACATGTGGGTCCTTCAGTCAGTAGGTGTGTTTCCATGTTATTGCTACTCCTTCAAAGTTTATAACCATCAACTATGTTTAACTACTTTGACCTACTGATATAATAACCATTGGTAGGTAGTGTCATCTACCAATTATTATTAGATAGCATCTAGTATTATTAATATGAGAACTTTCTACATGTTTGCGTAGAGCTTCAGCTTGAATTTCATCTCATAGAATATACTTTTTTTCTTTTACCAACAATACAGTAAGGCACAAATGAAATAATCATAAATATTTCACAGAACGATGCACGCTTATATGGCATTTCTGCCTGTGTGTGCATTTGATCTATGAGATTCCCTGATTCTTTAGCATGAAACTCATGGGATATGATCAGTGAAATTTGTCCCGCTCAGAATCTGTCAAGCATTTTATTTTCTTGGGGAGGATGGTCATGCCATAACCCCAATTGATATTTCTTGGTGATAGTTTAGGTTTTGGGTTAACCATAGGGTTTTGTGTTTTTGTTTGTTTGTAATTGAGATATAACTTGCACACAGAAAAATGCATAGTTGAGGGTCCAATTTGATAGATTTTGATATATACATACACCCATAAAATCGTCACCCCAGACCCCATCATGAGTATGTCCATCACCCTCACTCCTTGCTCACTTCCATTCCTTCCTGGCTCCCATCCTCACCCCCAGCAGCCACTGATCTGCTTCCTGTCACTCCAGCTTAGCTTGCATTGTCTAGAATTTTGTATAATGGACTCATCCACTATGCACTCTGTTTTTGGTCTGGCTTGTTTTACTCAACATAGTTATTCCCAGGTCATCGATGTTGGCGTATATATCCATGGCTCATTCCTTTTCCTTCCTAGATAGTAGTCTATTGTACGAATATGCCACAATTTGTTTATGTGCCGACCTTTTAACGGACACTTGTATTCCTTCAAATGAGGGAGTTTCTACTTTTTGACTACTTCAGATGAAGCTGCTACAAGTCTTTGTATGGATATATGCTTTGTTGTCTGTTGAGTAAATATCTAGGAGCGGCATAGCTGGGTAACATGGTAGGTGTATGTTTCAACTTTTCAAGAAATGCCACCCACAGTGTAGGAGAGTTCCAGTTCCCCCACATCCTCAGCAACAATTGATTATGCTGAGTGTTTTTCATTTTATAAATTCTAGTAGGCATGCAACAAACATATGAAAAAAAGCTCAACATCACTGGTCATTAGAAAAATGTGAATCAAAACCACAATGAGATACCATCTCACACCAGTCAGAATGGCAATTATTAAAAAGTCAAGAAGCAACAGATGCTGGCGAAGCTGTGGAGAAATAGGAATGCTTTTACACTGTTGGTGGGAGTGCGAATTAGTTCAACCATTGTGGAAGACAGTGTGGCAATTCCTCAAAGACCTAGAACCAGAAATACCGTTTGACCCAGCAATTCCATTACTGGGTATATACTTAAAGGAATATAAATCATTCTGTTATAAAGATACATGCATGTGTATGTTCATCGCAGCACTATTCACAATAACAAAGACGTGGAATCAACCCAAATGCCCATCAATGATAGACTGGATAAAGAAAATGTGGTACATATACACCATGGAATACAATGCAGCCATAAAAAGGAACAAGATCATGTCCTTTGCAGGGACATGGTTGGAGCTGGAACCCATCATCCTCAGCAAACTAACACAGGAACAGAAAACCAAACACCGCATGTTGTCACTCATAAGTGGGAGCTGAACAATGAGAACCCATGGACACAGGGAGGGAAACAACACACACTGGGGCCTGTGTGGGGGGCGGTGAGAAAGGGAGGGCATTGAGAAGAATAGCTAATGGATGCTGGGCTTAATACCTAGGTGATGGGTTGATCTATGCAGCAAACTCCCATGGCACACGTTTACCCATGTAACAAACCTGCACATCCTGTACATGTACCCCAGAACCTAAAATAAGAAAAAAAAAAAAAAAAAAGAAATTCTAGCAGGCATGAAGTAGTATCTCATGTGGTTTTCATTTACAGCTCCCCAATATGCATCACGTTGAGTGTCTTTTCATGCTCCTATTTACCATCGGTTTACCTTCTTTGGTGCCTGTTAGAACTTTACCCATTTAAAAAAATTATTTTATTTATTTTCTTAAGTTTTCAGAGTTCTTTACATATTTGGCACATAGGTCTTTTATCAGATACATACTTTGCAAATATTTTCTCCCAGTCTGTGACTTGTCTTTTCATTCAGCATTTTTGGAAGAGCTTAACTTTTTTAACTTTCATGACAGGCTTACCATTTAAATAAAGAAATTGCAGTCATTCCTTGCTTAACAATTTGCATATGTTCTGAGAAACGCACCCTTGGGCGCTTGTGTCATCGTGCGAACATGACAGAGTGCACTTACACAAACCTAGATGGTCTAGCCTACTACACACCCAGGCTGTAGGGTCTAGCCTATTGCTCTTGGGCTACAAACCTGTACAGCATGTGACTGTACTGAATATTGTGACCATTGTAACAACGATGGTAAGTATTTGTGCATCTAACCTTAGAAAAGGTACAATCAAAATACAGTATAAAGATAAAAAATGGTGACCAGGCATGCTGGCTCATGCCTGTAATTCCAGCACTGTGGGAGGCTGAGGTGGGCAGATCACTTGAGGTCAGGAGTTCGAGGCCAGCCTGGCCAACATGGCGAAACCCTGTCTCTACTAAAAATACAAAAATTAGCTGGGCGTGGTGGCACACACCTGTAATCCCAGCTACTTGGGAGGCTGGGGAACAAGAATCGCTTGAACCTGGGAGGTGAAGGTTGCAGTGACCGAGATCATGCCCCTGCACTCCAGCATGGGCAACAGAGCAATACTCTGTCTCAAAAAAAAAAAAAAAAAGATAAAAATGTGGTATACACCTGTGTAGGGCACTTACTATAAATGGAGCTTGTAGGAATGGAAGTTGCTCTGGGTGAGTCAGTGTGGGTGAATATGGAGGCTCAGGACGTTACTGCTGCTGTAGACTTCAACACTGTACATTTAGGCCACATCCAATTTATTAAGTCTTTATTTCTTTAATAGTAAATTAACCTTAGCTTACTGTAACTTTTTTACTTTATAAACTTTTAATATTTTAACTTTTTGATTCTTACAGTAACACTTAGCTTAAAATACAAACATTGTACAGCTGTACAAAAATATTGTTTCTTTATATCCTTATTGTATGAGTTTTTTCTATTTAAATTTTATAGTTTTTTAATTTTTAAAGCTTTTTTGTTAAAATGAAGACACACACACATTGGCTCAGGCCTACACAGGGTCAGGATCATCAATATCACTGTCTTCTACCTCCACATCTTGTCGCACTGGAAGATCTTCAGGGACAATGACAGTGATGGAGCTGTTATACCCTGTAATAAAAATGCCTTCTCCTGGAACACCTCCCGAAGGGCCTGCCTGAGGCTGTTTTACAGTAATGTTTTAAAATAAGTAGGAGTACACCCTAAAAGAATGATAAAAAGTATAGTATAGTAAGCACATAATCCAGTAACATAGTCGTTTGTTATTATATACTGTACATAATTGTATGTGCTAGCATTTTATGACTGGCAGTGAAGTAGGTGGTTTATACCAGCATCACTGCAAACATAAGAATAATGCATTGCTCTACGACATCACTAGGTGATAAGAATTTTTCAGCTCTTTTGTAATCTTATGGGACCACCCTTATAAATGTGGGGTCTACCATTGCTCGAAAAGTCATTATATGAAGGCCAGGTGCAGTGGTTCATGCCTGTAATCCCAGCACTTTGGGAGGCTGAAGTGGACAGATCACTTGAGGTCACAAGTTTGAGACCATCCTGGCCAACAAAGTGAAACCCCGTCCCTACTAAAAATACAACCTTTAGTTGGGCGTGGTGGTGCACGCCTGTAACCCCAGCTACTCAGGAGGCTGAGGCCAGAGAATCGCTTGAACCCAGGAGGTGGAGGTTGCAGTGAGCTCAGATCACTCCACTGCACTCTAAGCCTGGGTGACAGCGAGACTCTATATCAAAAAGGCAAAAAAGAAGTCATTAGACAGTGCCTGACTGTATTTTATTCACAGTATCAAGCACTAAAAAACCTATGGCAAAAACAAGCACAAAGCAAAAGCAAAACATGCCTGTAGCCACATTACCCCTTCCCGCCAAGACAGTGTCACAGGAACCATATTCATTTGCACACCTAGGGCAAAAACCCCAGTCAAATATAAGAAGTAATGATTTCCAAGACCATGAGCATCAGGCAACAAAGGACAGTGATCCTGAGCTATGAGAAATGAAGGAGGCAAGCCCTGTCATTGCCCCAGCTTACTGTCTTGAGAGTTTCCAGGCTGTGGTGCCAGGAGGGTGGCCTAGATAGCCGACCCAGAGGAGAGAATTGCAGAAAGAAAGATCTCCAGAGATGTGCCCACCACCCTGGGACCCAGCAGCGTACTGACCAGCCCGTGTAAGTAACCAAGACTGGAGGACAAAAAGGGGGATGCTAAGATCTTACGCCGGCTTCAGTCTCCCCCTACCCCACACCCCTGAACCACTAAATGATTCTTCGTATCTCTGCCCTTTCCCCCTCAAAGGAAGCCATTTGCAACTACGATTCAGAAGAGGACATTTTGCACTACACTTACGGGCTTCTCCGAGCCATGTAATCCTCAAAATTGAGAAAATATTCTAAGAGGTTGGCATTGGAGTCGCCGCACATGGAACTTGACTTTGTTGTGGTTTTCTCTTTAGTTTGAAAAAGATCCAGTAATCTGGTAAGACAGCAAAGCAGGGTGACCACTTCCTGGAGTGCTTCTGGTTTTGGGGTTTTTTGTTTGCCCTTGGATGGCATGCGGAGAAGGTAGTACTGCCCAGGGAAGTCTGGAAGCTTCCTAGGTGGTGACTTGTGTACCCTGTGGAAGAAGAGGGTGTGGACTCTGGCCCCCGCAGCCTAACCCTGTGCCCCACCAGTGTCGGATTCAGAACCACACGCTTGAGGGCACTTGAGAGACCTCCGTGTTTATGCCCCAACTTATGGATTCGGGGATGGATGAGTTTCGTTCTTTAACATATATCTAGGGCCTGCCGTGTGCCTGACATTGTTCTGGATGCTTGGGATCCCACAGTGAGTAAGGAAAATCCCACTCTTGTGGAGCTTACGTCCCTGCAGAGGAGACGCAGCATCAGCTAGTATGCGTCAGGTGGACGTTAGTTACCCAAAGGAGAATAACCCTGGCCTTGGCCAGGCATGGCGGCTCACGCCGGTAATCCCAGCACTTTAGGAGGCTGAAGTGGGAGGATCACTTGAGACCATGAGTCTGAGACCAGGCTGGGCAACATGGCGAGACCTCATCTCTACAAAAAATAAAAATAAAAAAATGAGGTATGATGGTGTGTGCCTGTGGTCCCATTTACTTGGGATGCTGAGACTGCAGTGAGCTATGATTGCGCCACTGTACTCCAGCCTGGGTGACAGCGCAAGACCCTATCTCAAAAAAAAAAAAATTTTTATTCTGGTTTGCAATTATAATTTTTCAGAGGTTGAAGAGGCTTGGCAGTGCTGGGTTTAAATTAGTTGTGCAATTTAGTGCTTTTCCCGTCATCATAGATGCTGTGGGTTTCAAATGGCCTCAAGTCCCGGCTGGATTTTATTCTGCGGATGACACTTGGGTAGGGGAGTAGATAAAGAAAAGCTGGTGTTGAGAGAGGATTCCAGCTGGAATCCTCTCCCTGTAGTGCTGTGGGAGATGTTTCTGCCTGCGCGAGATATTATTCATGAGCAAAAGGAGAAAGTTGAGCCATTTCAAGGTTCCTTCTGGCCTTGAGGTGCTGTGGGTCCGATTGCAAGCCTGTGGGTTTTCTCCTCTCTCCCAGGACTCTTCAGGGAGGCCTCAGCTCTACCAGACCTCCCAGTCCCAACCTTCACTCCTCCTCCTTCCTCCCCTTCCTTGGAGAAAAATGAATCTGCAGAAATGTTAGGAGACAAGAAGCAAGTACACTTGACCGTTGAACAACTCGGGGTTTAGGGGCACTGACCAGCCCCCTCCCATGGAATCACATCCACATATAACATTTGACTCCTTAACTACTGATAGCCTATTGTTGACTGGAAGCCTTAACGGATAACATCAGTAGTTCATCAGCATGTATTTCGTATGTTTTATGTATTATATACTGTGCTCTTACGATAAACTAAGCTAGGGGAAAGAAAATGTTTAGAAAATCATAGGAAGAGAAAATGTATTTACTGTTCAGTGGAAGTGGATTGTCATAAAGATCTTCATCATCGTCTTCGTATTGAGTGAGCTGAGGAGGAGGAAGAGGAGGGGTTGGACTTGCTCTCTCAGGAGGTGGCAGAAGTGGAAGAAAATTTCCTGTAAATGGACCTGCATGGTTCAAACCTTTGTTGTTCAGGAGTTGACTGTATACGCCTTCTGATCATTTGTTTTTTCCCAAGACGGTCTTGCTTTGCCGCCCATACTGGAGTACAGTGGCATGATCTAGGCTCACTGCAACCTCCACCTCCCAGGTTCAAGCGATTCTCCTGCCTCAGCCTCCTGAGTAGTTGAGATTACAGGTGCCCACCACCATGCCTGGCTAATTTTTGTATTTTTAGTAGGATGAGGTTTTACCATGTCGGCCAGGCTGGTCTCGAACTTCTGGTCTCAAGCAATCTGCCCGCCTCGGCCTCCCAAAGTGGTGGGATTACAGGCGCGAGCCACTGCGCCCGGCCTGGCTTCTGATCATTATTAAGGACTTCACATGATTCCCCTTAGTACTTCAAAGTCAGGTAGATTTTGATAAGGTCCTTGGGCGCTAGTTTTATAATTTCAGGTCATAAGGGTTCGTCCTATTTTCTCTTGCAAGGAAAATGAATGTTGGGGAGAGAACGTTGTCGTCTGAATGCTTTTATGCCGTCTGCAGTAACCTCTCTGAGTCTGGAACCATTTTCCAGTAAGAAGTAGGTGACAGGCTATCAAAATAAAGAGTAACCTTTTGAAAGCACTTCAGTGCAGCACTGTGGGCTTTTTATAATCTTGACTTGTGTTTTGTGAGAGGAGAGGGCTGAGCTAGGTTTGTGCTCTGCTCCTCCCCCTCCCCCTCTCCCCAACTGTCTTTGATCTGTGAAGCTTGTCTCATCCTTAGCCAAGTCTGCTGGAACTTTATCCAGAGCAGGAAAAGGGGAAATAGTTTTCCTTTCTTGGGTGGATTTGTATTTATATAAACCCTTAGCGAGCAAAATGGAGCCAAGTGGCACACGCGTCTGCAGGGAGGCGTGGTGGGACGAGTGAGTGGCGGGAAGAGGCGGCTTTGACTTGGGTCACATGGTGTCAGACCTTTTTAGGGTCAGTGAGGAGAGGATGGTGTAAGTCCTTGTGCACATTTTCTTAAGGACATACTTACATGTCGGGCCATTGTAGAGCAACAAAGGGCAGGGTGTGTGTGCATCTCACTGTATGTCTATATCACCAAGAGCAGCTGTCTCCAACCTTGTTCGGCACCACAGACTGGGGTTGGTGGGATGGTTTCATGATGATTCAAGTGCATTACATTTGTCGTGCACTTTATTTCTACTATTATTACATTGTAATAGATAATGAGATAATTATACAACTCACTATAATGTGGAATCAGTGGGAGCCCTGAGCTTGTTTTCCTGCAACTAGCTGGTCCCATCTGGTGGTGATGGGAGTGACAAATCATTAAGCATTAGATTCTTACAAGGAGCGCGCAACCTAGATCCCTCACATACAAGTTCACAGTAGGGTTTGCCCACTCTTATGAGAATCTCATGCTGCCCTGATCTGACAGGAGATGGAGCTCCGGTGGTAATTTGAGCAATGGGGAGTGGCTGTAAACAGATGAAGCTTTGCCTGCTCACCTACCACTCACCTCCCTCTGTGCTGCCCATGGACGCGTACCAGTCCATGGCCCTGGCGTTGGGCACCCTTGCTATAGAGTCATTCCTCCAACCCTTATTTGCGGGGGATGCTTTCCAAGTACCCTACTGGATCCTGAAACCACCAATGGCACCAAACCCAATTGCCATCAATTGGAAAACGTTTCCGGTCATATCTTTTGCCCACAAATGTAATGTCTTTTTCATCTTAACTAAGCACTTAGCAGGTGCTGTAACCATACCTTTTGCAGTTTGAGGTGTAGCAGCAAAACTAGCATGGATTTATTTTTCCTTTTTCACAGTTTCACAGAATATTCATTCTCACTGTAGATCTGGTAATTTCAGCATGCAATTTTTTTTCTTTCCTTATTAAGTCAAGACCTTTCAGCTTTTTACTAAAGCACTTAACAGCTTCTCTTTGGCAGATCCAAATCGCCAGCATCACTACTCTTACACTTTCGGGCCATTATGAAGTAAAATAAGGGTGACGTATTAAGCACTGCAACACTTTGACAGTGGATCTGATAACCGAGAAAGTGCCTAAGTGATGAGCAGGTGGGGAGCGTTTACAGCGTGGGGACACTGGGCAGAGGAGGGTTCCCAGGGGAGCGTCTACAGTGTGGGGACACTGGGCAGAGGAGGGTTCCCAGGGGAGCGTCTACAGTGTGGGGACACTGGGCAGAGGAGGGTTCCCAGGGGAGCGTCTACAGTGTGGGGGCACTGGGCAGAGGAGGGTTCCCAGGGGAGAGTCTACAGTGTGGGGACACTGGGCAGAGGAGGGTTCCCAGGGGAGCGTCTACAGTGTGGGGACAGTGGACACAGGAGATTTCATGGTGCTGGGGGGTATGGAGCTGGACAGGTCGAGATTTCATCATGCTACTAGAATGGTGCTAGATTTAAAACTGATGATTGTTTATTTCTGGAGTTTTTCATTTAATATTTTCAGACCCAGATTGATGGCTGGTAGCCGAAACCTTTGGAAGCAAAAACCACAGATGATGGGGGACCACTGTATATCTAAATATATCACTATATATAGTGATACATACAGATGAATGACAAGTTCAAGTTCATTTTGCTTTTTAAATTGTTACTAAGAGAATAATGTTGTAGAAGGCCTTAGCTCTCCTTTGCAACATTGACCTCGGAAGTTTTAGCTACTTACAGTGTGTCCCACTATTAATTTACTTCCTTGAATTAGTCTCAGCCTTTCACACCAGCTCTGGCCACTTCTTGTGGATGGTGAGGTTTTTAAGTGTGCATGCCATCCACGCGAATGCCTTCTTTTCATTGTAGGGGGTACAGGGAAAACTTTCCCTTTGCTCTCAGAAGAAGGTTCAGTGAAAATCAACTGATGAAAGGCAAATTAATAAGAATAAGAAGATTACTAAGGCAAATAAATTTATTAACATTCAAAGGGAATCACAGTGGGATACAGAAGCTATACGCTTTTTCATAGGGGAGGGAAGAGATGAGAATGTAGACAGCTCTTTTGAGAGGCAGTAAGTGAGGATTAGGGAGAATGAATGGACCACAGAGACCGAAATGAAATTGTAAGTGATTCTCTTTGGAATCTGAATGGGCCTGAGAGGCAGACATTATCTCGGGAAAATGTCTGTCAGGTGTGGTCACATTCGTCAGGCTTTTTTTCTGAGATAATGAGATTCCAGGGAGGGCATAGAAAGCATTTATGTTTCTTTTGGTGAGCGCTCTTGGTCAGATAAGGACGTTCCAGGAATAGTCCCTGCCCTTGTGGTTTGGGGAGGCACAAGACAAGGTTAGAGGGACCTTCATTCTGAGGCTTACTTCAGGGGCCGCTCAGCTTTCAAAAGCGCCCAGCGTGCTCAGGTGCCATATTTTGAGGAATGATTTTCTATACCCCCAACATCATAAAACCACCTCATTGAAGCTTCAAGTGGTGCCTCATGGTTCCTTTCTGTGTTTTCTTTTTTTTTTTGAGACAGAGTCTGGCTGTGTCCCCAGGGCTGTAGTGCAGTGGCACAATCTCGGCTCTCTGCAACCTCTGCCTCCCGGGTTCAAGCGATTCTCCTGCCTCAGCCTCCCAAGTTGCTGGGATTACAGATGTGTACCACCTCGCCTGGCTAATTTTTGTATGTTTAGTAGAGATGGGGTTTCAACATGTTGGCTAGGCTGGCCTCGAACTCCTGACCTCAAGTGATCTGCCAGCCTTGGCCTCCCAAAGTGCTGGGATTACAGGCCTGGGTCACCGGACCCGGCCCCTTTCTAGGATTTTTAGAAATTCCAGAGAAATCTCATACAAAATCTAGAGAAAGCATCTATTGTTCTTGTGTTATTGCAATTTGTATAGTGTCAGGGTTAATCTGGGACTGATGAAGATGCTGAGAACAGTAAGTTTAAAGAACTTTGATATAGAACAATATTTTACTTTGCTATTGTTCTGTCTTTTAGAACCAAAAATAAAGCCCTTCTTAGTAGGTGACTCAGCTTCCTGCAACCTCGCTGGGGAAATTTCTCCAAATATTAATGCATGCCACGTAAGCCAGGTTCACTTGCTGGCCCTGGATGTTTATTCTGGCCCCCAGTTATATTTATTTTGTGTCTGGTAGAGCCTCACACTTCAAAGTGGAATGCTCCTGAAGTTTCTACCTGGCCTCTCATCCCAGTGTTGTAATGGACACTTGGGGAAGGAAACTCCCCAGGGACTCTGGAGATGCCAAGACTCTGACGCTTTTGCAGCAGGTGGGCGTCCCGTGAGGAAGAGTGGCTTGGAGGAGGGGAGATGGGCTCTCCTGTTGCAGGTATTAGAAACAGAGAAAGCAGGAGGAAGAGGAATTGCAAATAACCAGGCATGAGGAAGACGTAGGGAACAATGCTACAGAGGATTGGATTTGTATGAATTATTTTTAAAACAAAACAAAACAAACAAACCCCCAAACGGCCAGGCACAGTGGCTCACGCCTGTAATCCCAGCACTTTGGGAGGCCAAGGTGGGCGGGTCACCTGAGGTCACAGGAGTTAGAGACCAGTCTGGCCAACATGGCAAAACCCCATCTCTACTAAAAATACAAAAATTAGCCAGTCATGGTGGTGCGCGCCTGTAATCCCAGCTATTTGGGAGTCTGAGGCAGGAGAATCTCTTGAACCCGGAAGGTGGAGGTTGTAGTGAGCCAAGATCATGCCACTGCACTCCAGCCTGGGCAACAGAGTGAGACTCTGTCTCAAAAAAGAAAGCAAAACAAAACAAAAAACCCTCCAAACAAAAGGTTGTCATGAAAGGGAAATGCAGTTGACCCTTGAACACACACGAGTTTGAACTGTGCCGGTCCACTTACAGAAGGATTTTCTTCCACTTCTGCCACCCCTGAGACAACCAGACCAACCCCTCCTCTTCCCCCTCCTCCCCAGCCTCCTCAATGAACAGACAATGATGAGGAAGACCTTTATGATGGTCTACTTCCACTTAATGAATAGTAAATATATTCTCTCTCAAGATTGTCTCAATAGCATTTTCTTTTTTCTAGCTTATTTTATTGTAAGAATACAGCACATGCTATATGTGACACACAAAATATCTGTTAATCAGCTGATTACATTATTGGTAAGGCTTCCAGTCAACAGTAGGCTTTTTGTAGTTAAGTTCTGGGGGTGGTCAGAAATGATACGTGGATTTTTGACTGCTTGGGGTGTTGATTGTTCAAGGGTCAACTATATAAGCTTGTAATGTGAGGGAAGAGACTAAATTCTGGTAGAGATTTGAAAAATAGTAGCAGTTTTTTCCCCTTGGCTTTCTGTGGTTGAACGTTTACCAAATGCATTGGAAGGGCCGTTGTGATCTGAGGCCTCAGCTTTTTGATCTAGAAGAGACCTGACTGATGATCCCTCAAGGGGCCCTTGGACCAACTGCAGCTCTTCTTGGTTTAGCAAACCTGAGATCATTTAGTCATCCCCTTCTCCCTCCTATCTTTCAAACCAAAAAATAATTTTAACAAAGCTTTATGTAATTAGCAAGCAAACATTACTGTCAGGACGATCGTCTTCTGCCAGGAGTTGGGCTAAACAAGGAAAAGCTGAGGTCATGGGCTCCAGGTGGAGCACCTGCCATGAAAGGAAAACTGAAAGGCGCCCGTCATCCGTGCCCAGTGTGTGGGCCTGGCACGGCTTCCCTGGCGTTATTCATTGGGAGAATCTGAGAACCATTGTGTGAGTCGCAGAAGTAATCAAGAGTGTGGCCTTTTTTCTTCCTTCTGCCTATAACTATCACCACTTTGGAGGATGCTTGGAAGAAGTGGAAGAAGCCAAGTGCTGACACTGAGTTTGTTTAGTGTTGCCTAGTGACCAGGCCATGAATACTCACTGAAGATAGGTGCTGAGGGCTTTCTGATTTAAGGGCATCTCTGAGAGGCCCCAACTGGCCTGGTTTATTTACCCTACCGATTGTACTCTGTGACTGCTAAGACTTCACAAATGGTTTCCAAAGCTTCAAGACGCTGAAGGGTGTTTATGAATGTTGTTTTTTTGTTTGTTTGTTTTTTGTTTATTTTATTTTATTGAAGTTTCAGCATTCAATATCAAAACCGGACTTGAGAATTCCACAAATGCCTGAAAATGGAAATTTCCTTACATTGTTAAATTGCCCAGAACTCAGTGGATTCCTACATTTTGAAGAGTTGCAGAGATGTGTGCTGAAAATGAAAACGGTTCTAGGAGAGGGTCATAATTTTTGATGGTGTAAGTTTTTGTAGCTGTCGTTGGAACCATACCTTAGGATATATTCAATTATCAAGTGAGCCTATGAGTTTGAGTCGTTTTGAAAAGGAATGATATCTGTGGGGCACTGGTTCCAGGACCCCCATGGGTACCAAAGTCTTTGGATGCTCAAGTCCCTGATATCCAGTGGCATGGTATTTGCACATAACCTACGAACATCCTCCCGGATGCTTTATTTTATTTTAGTTTAGTTTTCTGAGACAGAGTCTCACTCTGTCGCCCAGGCTGGAGTGCAATGGCACAGTCTCGGCTTACTGAAACCTCTGCCTCCTGGATTCCAGTGATTCTCCTGCCTCAGCTTCTGGAGTAGCTGAGATTACAGGCATGTGCCACGATGCCCCGCTAATTTTTGTTTTTTTAGTAGAGCCGAGGTTCCACCAGGTTGGCCAGGCTGGTCTCTAATTCCTGACCTCAGGTGATTTGCCTGCCTCGGCCTCCCAAAGTGCTGGGATTACAGGTGTGAGCCACTGCTCCCAGCCTCCTCCCTTACTTTAAATCATCTCTAGGTTACCTATAATAACTAATACAATACAAATGTTATGTAAATAGTTGTTATACTATTTTGTTTAGGGAATAATGACAAGAAAAAGGTCTATACATGTTCAGTACAGATGGAATTTAGTTTTCTTTTTCTTTCTTTTTTTTTTTTTTTGAGACAGGGTCTTGCTCTGTCGCCCAGGCTGGAGTGCAGTGGTGCGATTTCGGCTCACTGCAACCTCTGCCTCTCGGGTTCAAGCGATTCTTCTGCCTCAGCCTCCCAGGTAGCTGGGATTACAGGTGCCTACCACCATCCCTGGCTAATTTTCATCTTTTTAGTAGAGAATGGGGGTTTCACCATGTTGGCCAGGCTGGTCTTGAACTCCTGACCTCAAATGATCTGCCCCCACCCCTCGGCCTCCCAAAGTGCTGGTATTACAGGCATGAGCCACCACGTCCAGCCCAGGTGCAGTTTAAAAACAATTTTTTCGACCTGCAGTTGGTTGAATCCGTGGATGCAAAACTCACTGATAAGGAGGGCTAACTCTGTAATTGAGCCAAGAGCAAACCTTGTTCACAGGAAGAATGCAACATCCCTACAGTTTTGGGGAACCACTCTTTGAATCCCCAAAACCCCTTAAGAGTATATGTGGCTTAGTGGTAGAATATACCTGTGGGTACCCCAGCTGACTTGTTAGTGGCTATGCAGGAAGATTGTTGCCAAATCTACCGATAGCCTGCATACCTTGGGTAAGTCTCTTGCAAGTTCAGCAGCAACTCAGCCCCTTTAAGGATGTTCCACCTGCCTTCCCCATGAATTCAGCATCCCGTGTGGGTGGCCTTCCAGGGACCACAGCTGTTGCCTCATCATGTTTCCCAGAAAGTTCTGTAGCCTGCTTTCCGCACAGCCTGCTCCTTCACCCCCCAAGATAGCTTCCCAGGGAATTTGTTGGCACCCAGAGGACAGTCCCCTGCCTGCTAGCTTTGGCCAGCTGATCATGGACAGTCTGGCCTAGGGCAGTCCAGCCAGCTTCTCCACCATGCAAGGAGCTGCTCCATACCCTACCCTTCATTCCTTGTAACTGGGTAGCTTATAAGGAACAGAAATCTGTTTCTCACAGTGTGGGAGGTTGGTAAGTCCAAGATCAAGGCACCAGCAGATTTGGTATCTGGTGAGGGGTTTCTCATTCACATATGGTGTCTTCTCGCCATGTCCTCACATGCGCTTGTATGAACTCTTTGTGTATTTAGAAGAGTAAGCCTTTAGAGAATCTTCTCGTGACTACAGTAATAGGGTCAAGTACTTACTAGGTGCCAGATACAGTGTTCAGTATGTTTCGTGTATGTGTTACCTAATTTAAACATCATGCTATCCTTGACACAGGATATCTGGTAGTGATGAGTTTAGTCAGTCCTACTGTCAGAGTTCAGCACAGCCACTTCTTCCTGTGACCATTGGCAAACTACCTCTTGCATCTGAGCCTCAATTTCCTCTTCTGTATATAATGAGGATAATAATTGTCCCTCCCTTCTGGTGTTGTTGTGAAGACTGAGATGGTACATAAACAACATTAAGCCAGTAAAAAGTGCTCGCTCAATGTCAGTTGCTGCTGTGGTCATCTTTTCTTCTTCCTGGATTAACTTAGGCTTATTTTGCAGTTTGACATACATTACACCATGATGGTAAGGTAAAGTGCACGCATCGTTCTCCATTCTGATAACAAAAGTTGCTGGGTCCTTCGTCTAAGTGTTCCCCACTCTGAAGTCTTTCCCAGTCCTGTGAATCAGTATGAATCTCTCCTTCTCCGAACTCCACCAGCATCTCCTGTAAATTTCCTTGGGGGCCTCATCATACAGGACTGTAGTTCTTTGCACACCTGGCCTCCCCTGTGGACACTGGGATCCTCCATGGTGGAGGCTGTGCCCTCAACTCTCAGACCCCTGCGTCTTCTTCAGTCCTCACCCACAGTAAGGTCTCAATAGTTAGTTACTCAGTGAAATAATGCACTTTATTTTGAAGATCAAGTTTATGTTCAATTTGAGAATGATTAGCTTCTGTTTTGCTAGATAGCACACAAATAAACCATTCTTCATATGTGAGTTAAGATCATTTTGAAAGGAAAAAGCTGTTTTTCTTATGTTCTTAATCTAGGAACTGTGCACGTTTCTTAAATCCTGAGGATACTGGCACCGCGTAGTAGGTTGTTGGAGTATACAAACATGCTGGAAACTGTGGACTGTTCTGCTTGCTGCTCAGTATTTGTTAACATCAAGTGAATTTTTCACATGTGTGAAACTTCTCAGTGCCTTCCACCTTCGTGCTCTGTTTCCATGGATGGCAGTCCTGCTAGAGATAAGACCCAAACAAAACCAGTTACCTGGCTCTGTGTGACGTGGACAGTCTGGGGTACAGTTAGAGTTGATAATGGAGGCTTAATAGTCTGCTGTACATTCTTTCTTTCTTTCTTTTTTTTTTTGAGACAGAGTCTCACCCCATCGTCCAGGCTGGAGTGCAGTGTCTCAATCTTGGGTCACTGCAACCTCCACTTCCCAGGTTCAAGCGATTCTGCTGCCTCAGCCTCCTGAATAGCTGGGACTACAGGCGCGTGCCACCACGCCCCACTAATTTTTTATATTTTTAGTAGAGGCGGGGTTTTACCATGTTGGCCAGGATAGTCTCGATGTCCGGACCTTGTGATCCGCCCACCTCGGCCTCCCAGAGTGCTGGGATTACAGGTGTGAGCCACTGCACCCAGCCTGTTATTTCAAATTCTCTGGCAAAATGATCTGACCACCGAAAGCTGTGACATACTAGCCAAGAAGCCTGCTGCACCAGGCTGGTGCCAGGGATGGGTGCTGAGGACAGGGGCTTGGCATCTGCTGTTGTTATTCTGAGTGTCCAGGCAGATAAAAGCAGGTGGAGCTGGGGCCTGTGTGGAATTCCAACCAGGAGAGAGTTTTCAGGGGAAACCAAAGAAGCTGCATCTGTGTTCAAGCCCTGGGGATGATTTTAGGACAAAAGTAGAACTTGAAGATAAGCAGGCAAGGAGCTAGGTGAGGGCAGTCTCAGAAGTAAGAGTGTTAAGAGACTGGGGTGCCCACAGCAACTTCTCGTTGGAGTCCTGGCCCCTGTGGTGCATGGTGGGTGGGTTGGTTTACAGACCTGCAGCTCTCTGTGGGACTTGGAGCAAATCTGTTAAACTCAGAGGGCTTCTGACTTACTAGTTGATGTTTGGACTGGATGCCTTCCAGGTTCCAGTCTAGCTCGAACATGCTGTTACTTGGGTTCATTTTATTACTTTGATAAGCATTTAACATTTACATTTTTAACTTGCATTTTTATATTTGAGGATCTTTTCCTAGCTGGTGTTTGAAGTGCATTTTTGATATCCACATAGCCATGCTACAAGCTAATGATGCTAAATTAACTTTTGTAGCAGTTTGCTGTTTACAGGAGTTTGGTTAAGGAACTCAAATTACATTCACTTAATATTGTGCGACACTATATAAAAATGTACACGTCAGGAAATTAATGTTTTTCATAAAAGTATGTCGCTTAGTTCATTAATTAAAAATAGCGTTTTTAGATTGCTCATTTAGGAAAGATGAGTTCTGGCATAAAGAAGCAGTCCCTGCTTTGGGGAGGCATTAGCCTGGGGGCAAAGAGTAAGGGCCCCAGAAGTGGGTTCCCAAGTTCACATCCCAAGTCTGCTGCTGGTTAGCTCCTGACTCTGGGTACATCGCATAACCTCCCTGAGCATTAGCATCCTCATTTGTAAAATGAGGATAAACCCATCTAGGGCCATTGTGAAGATTACACGAGGTGTACATTTAAAACTGCAGGCCCAGTGCTGATATGGGCCTGCGCTATCAGTGTGGCCTTTGCGGGGGATGAGACATTTAGAAATACGGTGTTTTTGTTTTCTTTTGCTCTTTGAGACGGAGTCTCACTCTGTCGCCCGGGTTGGAGTGCAGTGGCCTGATCTCAGCTCACTGAAACTTCTGCCTCCTGGATTCAAGTGATTCTCATGCCTCAGCCTCCCGAATACCTGAGATTACAGGTGCCCGCCAACATGCCTGGCTGATTTTTGTATTTCTAGTAGAGACTGGGTTTTACCATGTTGGCCAGGCTGATCTTGAACTCCTGGGCTCAAGCGATCCACCCGTCTTTGCCTCGCAAAGTGCTGGGATTAGAGGCATGAACCACTGTCCCAGCCAGAAATACAGTACTTTGAAGCAAAGGAATTTCATATCATTATACGTCAGCAGATACAGTGGTCCCCTTATCCATGGTTTCACTTTCTGTGATTTCAGTTACCTGCAATCAACTGTGGTCCAAATACATGTGAATGCAGCATAATAATAGTTTTTGAGAGACCATATTCATAAAAGTTTAATTATTAATACAGTATATTATCATTGTCCTATTTATTGTTGTAAATTTCTTACTGTGCGTAATTTATAAATTAAACTTTATCATAGGTATCTACTTATAGGCAAAAACATAGTCTGTATAGTCTTCGGTACTGTCCTCGGTTTCATGCATCCGCTGGGGTCTTGGAACGCATGTCTGAGGGATAAGGGGGGACTGCTCTTCTTTGGAGTCTCTAGAATTTCTTTTCTTTTTTTTTTTTTGTTGTTGTTGAGACAGATTCTCACTCTGTCGCCCAGGCTGGAGTGCAGTGGCGCAATCTGGGCTCACTGGAACCTCTGCCTTCCGGGTTCAAGCGATTCACCTGCCTCAGCCTCCTGGGTAGCTGGGACTACAGGCACCTGCCACAAATGCCTAGCTGATTTTTGTATTTTTAGTAGATGTGGAGTTTCACCTTATTGGCCAGGCTGGTCTCGAACTCCTGACCTTGTGATCCACCTGCCTCAGCCTTCCAAACTGCTAGGATTGCAGGTGTGAGCCACCGCGCCCAGCCCGGAGTCTCTAGAATTTCAAGTCAGCAGTAGAAGTGGTTGGTGCAGAGAGTTGAAGTTGTAATTGCAGTAGTGTCTTTCCCCAGTTGGTGTACATTTCACATCCTTGATTTGGTTAATTGACTTTCTAGAAGCCAGACATGGTGGCTCACACCTGTAATCCCAGCACTTTGGGAGGCTGAGGTGGGAGGATTGCTTGAGGCCAGAAGTTTGAGACCAGCCTGGGAAACATATCGAGACTCCTGTCTCTACAAAAATAAAGTAAAAGGTTAACATTTAGCCAGATGTGGTGCTGCATACCTGTGGTCCCAGCTATTTGGGAGTCTGAGGTGGGAGGATCACCTGAGCCTGGGAGATTGAGGCTGCAGAGAGCTGTGATTAGGCCACTGCACTTCAGCCTGGGTGACAAACCAAGAGCCTGTCTCCAAAACAACAACAAAAAATTTAGTTCCTAGGTTTAAGTAGGGCAGTTTGAACAATAATGTGTCCCATCTGCAGCCAGGAGCTGTTTCTTGAGTACTCTCTGAGAAAGGGCAGGGTGCCCTGGGTATATGGATGAGAGAATGGAAGTCATCACTGCTTTTAGAGATGTAATGATCTAGTTGAAGAGAGATTACATCCAGGGCATGCAGAGTAATAGCGTTCCTTTAAGTATTGTGGTGATCCATTAGGTTAATTATGTGTTTTTGCTAGACTCGTTAGATAGTGTTGTGTCGTGCATCTGCTTCACACATACCTATCAGGGCAATCCCCTTGCCCAGAGGAGGCTGGGCTGATCTTAGGCTGTTTGTGTTTTTAACACTTTTAGTCTGCTGTGTTTCCAGATCATTTATATAGGGCTTTGTTGAATGGTTGCTGTGGTCTGCTTGAGTCCCATCTGCCCCAAATCCTAATTATGAACACCTCCTTGGCAGCCCTTGCTTCGGTGGGCTCTGGGGACTCTGGCTCAGTCGTTGATATCTAGATAAAGATCCCTGGAGTCAGTCTGTTAAAAGGAAGGTGAGCAGAGCAGTGACAGATGCTGTCTTTGTCTAGTGTGGGCCTTCCTGCCATAACCATGAAAATTTTCTCCACGGTGACGCAGAGGAGGATTTAGGCGCTGGAGCCGGCGCCCAGGCAGTTCTGCTGTTCTTGGTTGCACATTTGTTCTCACATCCTTCGTTGCTTCACCTCTGCCCTTCTCCCCCTGCCCCCATCCCCGGGCAGTGCTGTCTTTGTAAAATGAGCCCATTTTTAGTGCACATCTCCCTAACACGTTTTTCTCTCTCCTCCTACAGGGGAGTTGCTGAGTCAGCCCAGACCGGAAGGAGTGGCAGAGATCATTTGCCCCAAGAACGGCAGCGAGCGAGTAAATGTTGCCTTGGTTTACCCACCCACGCCGACTGTGATCAGCCCCTGTTCCAAGTGAGTTCTCAAAGTCCCTCTGGCCCCGGGACCTGGCTCCTGATCCCAGCTCCATAGATATGACCACAAAAATCCAGGTTAAACTGCATCTGCACAAACCTTGCAAAGTCCTCCTGAACAGACATAATTCTTCTGGATGACATCAGCATCATGATTTATGCAGCAAAACAGGAACTTTTATTTCCTCTTTTTTGTGATTTTTTTTTTTTTTTTTACTTTAGCTAATAAAGTCAGAACATTTTTTAACAGCCTTTTTGAGATGTCATTCACATACCACAGTTCACTTACCTAAGTGTACAGTTCATTGGTTTTCAGTTTATTTGCAGGTATATGGAACCAAAAAGAACATTTTTTTTGTTGTTGTTTTTTGAGATGGAGTCTCGCTCTGTCACCCAGGCTGGAGTGCAGTGGTGCGATCTCGGCTCACTGCAAGCTCCGCCTCCCGGGTTCACCCCATTCTCCTGCCTCAGCCTCCCGAGTAGCTGGGACTACAGGCGCCCACCACCATGCCCAGCTAATTTTTTTGTATTTTTAGTAGAGACAGGGTTTCACCCTGTTAGCCAGGATGATCTCGATCTCCTGACCTCGGGATCCGCCCGTCTTGGCCTCCCAAAGTGCTGGGATTACAGGCGTGAGCCACCACGTCCGGCCTTTTTTTGCCTTTTTTTTTTTTTTTTGTTTTGAGACGGAGTCTTGCTCTGTCGCCCAGGCTGGAGTGCAGTGGCGCCATCTTGGCTCACTGCAAGCTCCGCCTTCCGGGTTCGGGGCATTCTCCTGCCTCAGCCTCCCGAGTAGCTGGGACTACAGGCGCCCGCCACCGCGCCCGGCTAATTTTTTTGTATTTTTAGTAGAGACGGGGTTTCACCCTGTTAGCCAGGATGATCTCGATCTCCTGACCTCGGGATCCGCCCGTCTTGGCCTCCCAAAGTGCTGGGATTACAAAAGAAAATAGTTTTTTGACGGGCAGTCTTAACTCTGTCATTGCAGAATGAAGTTGGCTCTCACATCAAAAACCAGCGCAGGCCCATTCCATGAGCAAAGCCTGCAGAAAGTCAGTAATAGGCCGTTTTCTGTTGCATGGTTCTGATTGCGGAGTCAGTCCCTGAAAATCAAGGGCTGTGCAGTTTGCCACCACCTTGCCCCAAAATGGACTTGAAGACAGAGAACGCACACATGCCAAGTAACTTTCAGATAGAACATTGGGTTACTACTATTCTAGATAACACTCATCCTGTTGGTTTGGGTTTTATGTATGTGTGTTTTTCGTTTTGTTTTGTTTGTATTAAGAACCAAAGAGGCCGCTTTTAAGCTGAGATGAAATGCCTGTTACTTCAAATCCTGAAAAGCAGCAGCCACAGATCTTCTTGGGTCAGATCTCATGATCTGGGTGATGTCAGCACCATGATTTCTCCAGCATAGTATTCATATCCATGCAGCAAACTCGACTCTTTCTTCCTAGCTGGCCACATGGAATTTTTTAATGAAAAAATTATGTATGAATCTAAGCCTGTTTTTAGGGAGCTTGGAAAGTGCGCCTTTGGGAATTGTGACCTGTCATCTCCTCTTGGGAAACTTGCTGTCCGGCTGCATTCCAGGCAGTGTGACAGGCATCCATCTCACCCCTCACATGGCAGCTTCCCTGCCTTTGGTGTGCTCCCTGCAAAGCGAGGGTTCCCAGTGGCATTCTTACTCATTAGCTGCTGCAGTAGAAGTAGAGGGCACTCGGCTCAGTGCCCCGTTTCTCCAAACTGGGAAACTCATTACATAGAACATCCCTAATCTATCCTTGCTGGAAAATATCACCGAACACCCAAGGGAAACTGTTATCTAATGCTCTTGTATTCAGAGTACTATTTAACTATCATGTGCATAGTTTAATTTATCACTGACCCTAAGACATTGTGAATCTTGAAGTGCTTCTTAAATATTAAAATAGGATTACAGAATAACTGTTAAAAGTAATTGCACAATTACTTTTGCACCAACCGAATATTAACCTGAATATCCCCTGTCCTGAACATATCAAACAACGGAAATTTTATTGTTTCTCTTTTAATTTCTTTGAAATTGTACATATTGGTCCCTTTCTTTCAGATACACCTGGGTGAGGATGGATAAGGGGATATTATATGTTTTCTTTTTCTTCTGTCTCTTTTTTTTAATACCCCGCAAGTTCTTAAAGCTCAAGGGGATATTACAGAACCAGCAAGGTATGAAACAGAGGAAACAAAAATTCAATATACTTTGCATTGGCGTAAACTTTCCAGAGCCAAGAGAGACATGAACCTATTGTTTTGCCATAGCCAAGTGCCGTCGAATAGGTGCGATAGAGGTAGGAGTTAAAATATCCATTTGCGCTAGAAACCTTCCTGGCACCAAGCCAGCTTTATCAGTGTTTTCCCATGGGCTTCTTGTACTGCCGCAGAAAGACCACGTTTATACCAACCTGAAAAAAATGTTATCAGCCTCTCTCTCGACAGCGTATTGAACCTGAACGAACAAGCAGCCTAAAGTCATGGGTAAGCGGCGGTACATGGCGCCAGACATCCAAATGCCGAGGAAGCCTCTTTAGGCATTGAACCACTTTTGACCTAGCTATCAGAATCATTTTATTTTGAAAGAGGTTAAAAAAAAAGTCTCATGAAATGGATGACAGCTTTGCAATATAATTCTCAACTCTAAATGAAGGAATGTTCTCTAAGTAGGGAAGTTTCATATTCCTGGCAAGACGTTTCTTGGAAAATTACCATATTTTAGTGCAGCTGCAAGAGGTAAATGATCTCTTGTGTGACTTTATAGAAAAGCACACGTAGATGTGAAGCCTGTGCTCGAGCTGCCCAGTGTTCCCCCACCTTCACCGCCTTAAGCACCCACAGTTTACATCCATGAACACATGGACAAAAACAAACTCATGTGGAGGCCGGGCCAGGCTCCGGGGAAGGTCCCATTCATGGGTGGTTGACAGTGGATTGGAAGCGGGAGATTTGGGGGGATCGGTTAGGATAGCTGGCAAAGAATCTGTGCTTAAGTCAACACAGCTTGGGCCTGAGCCTGAGACTTGGGGTCTCAGCAGGCACTAGACATTGGAAGTCCGGGGCTATTGCACTGGCTTTCAACTCCAGCCGAGGTAACTTAAGCAGGTCACCATAGAGGTCAGGCTTTTTTTTTTCTTTTTTGACAAAGGGTCTCACTCTGTCACCCAGGCTGGAGTGCAGTGGTGCGATCTCAGCTCATTGCAAACTCCACCTCCAGGGTTCAAGTGATTCTTCTGCCTCAGCCTCCTAAGTAGCTAGGACTACAGGCGCACACAACCACACCTAGCTAATTTTTTGTATTTTTTGGTAGAGACGGGGTTTCATCATGTTGGCTGGGCTGGTCTCGAACTCCTGACCTCAAGTGATCCATCTGCCT